>NC_000008.11:9798495-10102976 GCF_000001405.40 Homo sapiens | reverse complement strand
CATTAAACAAGTTATCAAACACAAGTAGCACCAACAACATAAGCTAAATTTAAGGAATACAGAGCTGAGACACTGTCCAGGTTACTGCACCCAGTACAAAACTAACAATAAAAATAACAGTATCAACTATGGGTAGCCTGAATTTCACCCTCACCTACCAATAATAAGGTACCCTCCTACTCCCCCACCTCACAGAAATGAGGGAGTGCCCCCCTTTCCCCTGCTAGCACAGTGTCAGAGAAGGTTTGTTAACACAGAAGGCTTAAATAAAATCCAGTCTCATAGCATAGTACCCAACATGCCTGGATATAATCAAAATCATTTATCATACCAAGAACCAGGAAAACCTCAATTTAAATGAGAAAACACAGTCAAGAGATGCCAACATTGAGATGGCACAGATGTTGGAATTATCTGACAAGGATTTGAAAGTAGCCATTATAAACATGTTTCCACAAACAACTAAAAATGGGCATGAAACAAATTTTAAAAACAGAAAGTCTCAGTAAAGACATAGCAGATAAAATAACCGAAATTAAAACTCACCCAGTGAGCTAAACAGCAGAATGAAGATGACAGAGAAAAGAATAGGTGAATCTGAAGGTAAGAACAATAGAAATTATGCAATCTGAATAGTAAAGAGAAAATAGACTTAAAAAATAATCAGTATCAAGCACTGGTAGAACTATAACAAAGTTTTAATATTCACATCCTCCAAGTCTTGGAAGGAAAGGAGAAAGAGGGCACACCTGGGGAAGTATTCAAAGAAATAATGCCTGACAACTTTCCCAATTTAGCAAAAGACATAAACCTACATATTCAAGAAGGTGAATGAGCCCCAAACAGGATACACCCAAAGAAATCCACAAAAAGGCACAACATAACACATTCCTTGAAAACTAAGGACACAGCAAGATTTTGAAAGTAGTGAGAGAAAAAGGACATCTTAGCTGAAGGGCAAAACAATTCAAATGACAGCAGATTTCTCATCAGAAAACACAAAGGCAAAAGAAGGGAGTACAACTGAAGTTGCGCTGAAAAAAAAGAAATTGTCAACCCAGAATTCCACTTTTGGGGATATACTCAAAAGAACTGGAAACAGGAGCTCAAAGAGATATCTGTGCACTCATGTTCATAGCACCATTATTCACAACAGCCAAAAGGTAGAAGCAACCCAAGTTTCCACTGGCAGATGAATGGAGAAAGAAAATGTGGTCTGTCCATACAATAGAGTATTATTCAGCCTCATAAAAGAAGGAAATTCTGACACATGCTAAAACATGTATGAATCCTGAGGACATTATGCTAAGTGAAAGAAGCCAGTCACAAAAGGACAAACACTGTATGATTCCACTTATATGAGGTACCTGAAGTAGTCAAATTCATAGAGACAGAAAACAGAATCAAGGTTGCCACGATTCTGTTGCGGGGTTTGGGGAAGGGAAGAATAGAAAGTTATTGTTTATGGGTACAGAATTTTGGTTTTGCAAGATGAAAAGACTTCTGTGGCTTGATGACGGTAATGGCAGCATAACAATGTGAATGTACCTGATACCACTTAAAAATGGTTAAGACGGTAAAATATGTTATGCATATTTTATCACAATTTCTAAAAATTAAAAAAATAATTTTGTAAAACATAAATAATATCTACCATTTATTAAGTATTTACTACATACCAGACACTATGCTAAGAGCTCTGCATGTATTTCCTTATTTCTCCTCCCAAAATCGTGTGAGGGAAATACCATGATCCCTGTTCTGCAGATGAAGAAATTAGGTTTACATAACTTGGCCAAAGTCCCACAACCAAAAAATTGAGTCAAAATTCAAACTCAGTTTGGGGAGATGCTGAGGAACATTATCTCTAACCCAAGACGGTAAAGGACTATTTGTTTCAAAGGCAGATTTCCCATGAATACAGCTAAGGTGAAACACTCCTGGGTCTTTGAGAACAATTTGATCTTTTCAGATGAGGTACAATAACTTAGAAGGGCTAATAGGAAAAGAGATATAAATGACATTGATAGACAAGGATAAAAGAATGGCATCACTCCAGAGGGACTAATTCTTCAGTATTTTGCACAAAACCTCCAGATCCACACATAAGGGGTATTCTAATTGTGTAAGACTGAGAGATTCTTAACTGTAAGAGAAGAAAATGTTCATCTCCTCTGATAACGTGCAATACAGAACACACACAGGTAACATTTTTCACTTTCTGCTTGCTTTTGGAGAAATAAAATAACCTGAGCACAACTCACGGCCAAACTTTTAAGTCGAGCTTTGCAGAGGTGGTACAATTATTCAGAATCTGATGAGTTTCAGAATAAACTCCTAACTCCAGTACTCTCAAAACCTTTTCTTTCACTTGATCTAAATTTCTACTTACTCATCCTCCCCTGTTTCACCATGTTCTCTAGAACACTTCTGATCACATCCCCTAGCCCCCTAGACTCCATGGTCAGATACTGGAACACTGCCCTCCCTGGCCACAGACCTTTGACCTTCTCCCAATACCTGCTATTCCAGTTCCAAGCCTGTATGCACCCCAGGACCTCCACAAGCACAATGGGGACTTGGTACCTTCCTGCAGCAGATCAAGGCACAGGGCTTGGGCAGCAAAGCTGAGGCTAAATTCCAGCCCCTCACCGCCTTGGACACAGAACTATACACAATGCTCCTGACTCTGCCTCTCCCTCTCCTGGGCCTCAAAACCTCCCAGGACAAAGACCCAGAAAGACGATGTTCAACATGAACTGGCCTCAGCAACCCATTTACATCCCCCCATGCAGCCCCTCAATAACACCTTATGCCCTCTCAACGCCTGCGGTTGCTGATATTGCAGTCTAACCCAGGATCCCACATTCACCCTTGCTCCCTCAAAGGCCCCTAGTGCTGCAGCTACAACAGGACTGAAGCTGCTTGCTGGGCAGCGCCCTCAACTCTGCACAACTGCCCTCACCACCTTCTCTGTCTCCATCCCCTCTGCCTTTGTCCTGCCCTCAAAAGAAACACTTTAAACTCACTGGGCACTCCACTGGCCTGCTGCATGCTCAGGCCACACCACCAAGTCCTAAAGTACAATATGGGATGCTTTGGGAAAATGAGGACAGAGGGAATGCAAGACAACAGAGGGCTGGCCAGAGAGAAAGCCGGTGTCCAGGGCCACCCCACACCAGGCAAGTCCTTGTTTCATATCATCTCCAATGGCCACCGCAAGAGAGCCTAATGTGGTCACAAATAATGTGGCCCTCTGCTGCACCCCTCTAAACCCATAGCCAGCAACAGAGAAACAAGATAAAGAAAGCACAGTACTTTTTGTTTTTCTATCCATGAAGGAAAAAACACTCTCTTAGTCAAATAAGACTCAACAAGCTAATACTCTGGTTCGCCACTCAGTTTATTTCTTCCATGAATACTTATTAAGTGGCCATTGTGTACCAGTCCCTGCGCCCAGCATGGCTGCTTGGATTACATGGAATAACAGGCGAAGGTATTTGGTAACCTGAAAAGGTACCTACATTCATCAATTATTCCTATCCTCTCCTCTACCCAACTACACTAGGAATTCCTATGGGCAGCAATTATATCTTTTGCCTGGCACAGAGCAAGTCCTCTGGGAGTATCTGCTGAATGACCTCAGCAGTGTATACCCACGGCTGAGACACTCCTCATCTCCATTCCATGGGCCACCAGCTCTGCCTCACGCCTGGGCCACCAAAGCAGCCTACAAGTACATCTCCTCAGATCACGTGACTTTTATCTCCTCTTCAAAGATGAACCTATGCCTTCTTTTTGTATCAGAGAACAACTGCATGGAATAAACTTAGGCCACTGAGTTAAATGCACTCTCTCTCTCTCTCACTCACAAACATACACACACACGAACCACTAGAATATAGAAAGTGAACTGATAGGTCCATTTAAAATACACCACACCCCCTAGCAAACCTTCTTTCAAAGGGCCATGCTGGCCTCAGGATGTGGGAGGGGCCTTATCTTCCTCCTTTGTCTCACAACAGAAAACAAAGGAAAGAAAAAAATCCCACATAAACAGGCCACTGTTGTTTACGTTGCAGCCACGTCTTCGAAGGTTCAATTACACCTGCTTTGACATATGTAAGATCTAGCATGTGAGCAGTGGCTCAATCTCAGTTTCTTCCTCCCTGATTTGAATTGCTTATTTTACATGTCTGTCAGAAGACTTGAACAACTCAAGTTTTCTGGCCAATAAAATGTAACAACCAAAATAGTCATAAAACAAGATTCTTACAGCTACGTGTAATACAACTAATCTCCTGATTTTTTATAATCACACTCTACAATATGTGTATTGTGCAAGAAAAGTGAACATACTTTGTTGAAATTAATCTCATTATAGTACTGCCTTTTTCTATCTAGGCGTTTAAATTTTATTTTAAATCTATTCCCTCTTCCATCCCCGTTACCCAAAATAACTTTATCAATAAAATATTAGCATATTTAAGTGAGTGCTCAATAAACATTTGTTGAATAAATGAATAAATGAGCGAGTAATTATAAAATACTGGACTAACGCTTCCTGAGAAGTTCGCATTAATTTGTAGAATAATGTGCTTGTATGTTCAGGTACATACATCAAAATGGAATTTAATAATACGTATCAAGTAGCAGTTAAATATTAACGCATTTCTGCCTCAATAATTTTACTTCAAAATATTATACAATTCAAACGACCATAATTATGAGGTGAGATAGGGTTCATTTACAATCAAACCAATAGTATTTATATACTTTAAAATAAGATTTGAAATACTAATATGGAAATAGTTAATAACCTAAATGTCAATGTGTTTGTAGTACAAAAGGTCTAAAAATAAAGAAGCATGCATTATGTTACAACTAAATGTCTTTTTAAAAAAATGTAATCAACGCAACTTCTTAATCACACTTTTTTTTAAAAAAAGCTTGCACAAAGACGTGTCTATTATACCCGTTTTACAAGGAACATCTTTATGGGAGATTTTCTTTCATTTTAAGCTATGTAATGTGTAGGCCAGAGAGAATTTCTATTGGTAAGAAACTTCAGTGACTATAATAGCTAGTATTTATCAAATTTTAAGTTTAATATACACTGTAAAATGTAGTTTTACCAGTATCGAAAAATTTAATATTTCTTAAGGTATATTCTGACATATTTGTTTTTTAATTCACCTACTTTTGATCATACTGCTGGAAAATAATTGGACATGAAATAGTTTGGATATAAGTTTGTTCTGAGTTCGCTGCAAAGAAGTTAAGAAATCAGCTAGCAAAAATTATTTTAACTTCAAGAAAAAATGGACTTAAAAATTAAATAAGTTATATATTTAGCAAACCTAAATGGCAAGAAGTTATGTTAAATGTTTAAGAAGTAAATGGAAGTAAATATAAATCGGCAATAAGACGGTCAGTATTAAAATGAAGCTCAATTTAAACTTGTTTGCTGAACTTTCTTTTTGTTTCATATATTGTTGTTTTTTAGTATAAGCATGAATGATCCTGTAATCAATTCAAAAAGGAAGACTGCAGTCAGGCAAACATTTCCTTCCGAGTGCCTATCAGCATGTCTTTCATGTCTTGGCGTCCATTTTAGGAGTATCAGCGACGTAGTGTATAAAGGAGCTTATTAAACAAAGGTTGTCATTTTGGCAACACACATAAATGTTAAGTGATTTCATTTTACAGAAAATCAAAATGTTGATTAATTAAAAAGTTGAAGAACATACTTAAGCTTAACTGTTCAAACACCTCTGTTAGATTTCATATATTTTTCAATCATATTTATATATTAAATGCCATTTTCAGGATTGCTGATGTGTCACTATAATTTTATAAAAAACATGTGAAACAATTAATCATTTAAGGCGCGCAATAATGGAAAGCTATAGACAGGTTTTTATTGTCGAAGGATTAAGAAATCAATGATTACATACTCCAAACAAAAGCACAGATCCAGGGGCAGTCTTTTATACTGCCCAAAATGATGAGTACTTATGTGAATAGATACAATTTTCCTGTATTCTTTCGGCATATAAAATAAAAAGAAAATACATGATTATAGGAAGTCATAACTTAATCCTACAAGTCAAACTGTCTTTAAAAACAGAATACTTACAATCAGGGTGATCCACAGTAACACATGCCTTACAGTTAACCTCTCCTACAATAATGCTGATTTTTAAGAACAGAACTATCACAATCCAATCATAATCAGGCCTAATAGGAAAGATTCATTGTTCAGAAATTAGATATAAAGTATATATCTAAGTAAAACACCAGGTAGTATTAAAAAGAAAATCGGTAAACTTTCTAAATTTTCCTTCTACTTAAAACATTTTGAGAGAGCCAGGCTACAGTAATCGTTTAATTATAAAATCTAATCAACCAAAAATAAGAAATTTTTCTCCAAGTATTGCAAACACAGCTCACCACTTCTTCTCCAAAAGATTTAAATTTCTATTCTCTACCATTCCCAGCCATTTCTGCCAACATCATAAAAATCACCTTTCATCATTTCCTTCTCACAATGAGAATTCACTAATCGCATACATCTCTTAGACATAGACACCTCCCCACCCACCTCCCAAAAATGGTTCAGAGCAAAGACACACAAAAAAATAATGACCAAGCTCACATTTCTTGTTTGCCCTTCAAGCGAAGTCTGGTGTCTTCAGCTTGCCTTTCTGGTCTTCAGTGTTGTCACTAATTGCTGGGGGATGTAGTTTAGGACAGCATGAAGCAGCAGAAATAAAAGCTGTTGCTTTAAGAAAACGTTTTCTTAAACACATGGATAAAACAACTTTTACTCTGACTTCCTGGCTGGGCTGCATAAAATCTTAGAAAGGCTCCTTGAAAAGTTAATGTCTATAAATGTCTAAAAATAAAATAAAATAAAATCTAAAAACTTACGTTCTGAACACATTCCGAAGGATGTCTTTCTGATTTGATTTGAAAGCAGGTTTGTATTGATGAACAAACTTTATTTTGTAGAAAATTAATATTCCCTCTAATTAGAAATTTGCCTTGCCATCTTCTATATTAATCCTGTCTCTCATGGTATAATCATACATGCAAAAAATCAAATATAGTATTTCCCAAATGCATGGACACTATGGAAGCTTCGTTTTGAAAAAGGCTTTTATTTCCCTTAATACTGGTGACTAAACGTCATTGTATGTACCAACACTTTCAAATAGCCCAAGAGACTTAAAAAGCCTTCTAAGTTTGAAAACCAAAAAGTTCTGAGTTTTTCTGTACCCCAGGACGGTTTTCTTTCCTGAAGCTCAAGCCGAGAAAGCAGACAAAAGAAGCTGATTTGACTGAGCTGTGCCAAGTCTTGCCTTTTTTTCTTTCCTCAGCTCTCCCTCTGCCTCTCTCTCTCCCTCTTTCTCTCTCTCACTCTTTTGCTCCCAGTATGGCAACCTTCCGAGCAGTCTTGGCGGAGGTCCAGGCTGTGCCAGTCTGTCTGAATTCTTGTCTCCAAAAGATGTCCTTTGCGGATCAATTAATACATTTGAAAACAGGAAACCGTGGTACGGTACCCAAATCCTGGCACCAACAGCATCGACTTCTGCCAAATCACCTTACAGATTTCATGGTATCCTACCTTTCATAATTATTACTAACATGTTCCCGGAGCAATAATGGAGTACTAGAAGCCATTCACTGCTCAGCAATAAGGAATCTGTTCCCTAGAAATGTCCATATGCGACATATGCACAACCTGCAATAAATCAAATTTCTCCTGTGAGAAGAGATGTATGTAACTTTAATAAGCACCACATACTGTATTTCTTTTTATAAGACTTGCTTTTCCTTGTCCTGCCGCAAAGACTCATGGGAGAATAGAAACGGAGGCATGCAGATTAAAATTAAAACCGTATGCCCAGAAATGTCATGCTTTATCCTATGGAGAATGAATATAGTTTTGATTGATCTGCAACTTTATTTTTAAGGAGGCTCTAATACAAACTGTACCTATTCAAAATTTTACTACAGATGTACAGGGGAGAAGAGTTCTTTTGATAAAACAAATAACAATAAAAAGGAAAATAAAACATCTAAGGTCAATTTAATAACAGCAAGTATCTTTTCATATTTTGACACCTCAAGTTCCAGCATAGTCACTTGTTTACTTAATTCATGTTAATACAATATAATAAGCATAAATAAGTACTGTTTGCTTTTATTTTTAACATAAACACCTTTTGAAGCAAAATAGCCAGTCTGTGCTTCACACACTTACCTGGTTTAAGAAATCATTTTTACCTATGATGCTTGAACATAGAAAAGAGCCACATTCTAGAATCATCGTTTCATAGAAAGAACCCAGAAAAGTGACTTCTAGTCCTTGATTCTGCCACGTTCTAATTTAGATAACTCAAGGTCTCAAATTGCTAATCTATCTAATCTCCTCAGTTTGCTCATTTACCACTTATGAAAATCAGTGACTTCCTATTCTTTGCTTCCAAACTACTACGTTTATGCACATAGATACCTTCATCCTAATTGCATAGTAATTAGTTAAGTTTGTGTGCTCCGCCAATCAAATGTGTCATCTTCACAATTAGGATCATGTGTCATTTATCTAAGAAAACTCAAAGTCTTGCATACAGCCTTCCATATACAGCTGTCCAACAAATCTATTAAGTAAATAAGTTATGGGAACGGATCACATAAATATCAATCTGAAATTCTATTAAGTAATATAACAGTGAAAGACAAAACCACATATTACTGAACCATAAAGTTGATAGATCAATAAAATGCTACAGAGATATCACAAGTGTTGAATTAAAGCACTGACAAAAGTGTCCCATGCTGTCCCTTCAAATAGGGATGATGAAACGTGGGCAGACTAACAGTGAATTTGTAATTCAAAACCAATAACCTGTTAATAGCCAAAGACTAAAGAGAATCTTGAAAGCAGCATTGGAGAAGCGACTCATCACGTGCAAGGAATCCTCAGTAAGATTAACAGCCGATTTCTCATTGAAAACCATGGAGACCAGAAAGCAGTGGGATAACATAGTCAAAGAGCTGAAAGGAAAATAACTGTCAACCAAGAATTCTATGTCAGCAAAACTATTCTTTGAAAATGAAGGAGACATTAAGACATTCCAAATAAAAACAGAGTTCATTACTAGCAGACCTGCTCTACAAGAAATAAAGGAACTTTTCCACCAAGCTGAAATGAAAAGACACTAGACAGTAAATCAAATCAATGAAGAAATATAGGAGTAAGTATAAAGGTAACTGCAGAAGTGAATATTTTACAAATAGTATAAATGTATTTTAAAATAAATGTAACATAGTTTAATTTTTTAAATATCCTTAAGCATTTCTAAAATATTTAAAATGGGATAAATGTACTCTTTTTTCTATCTGATGTAAATGACAAAAGCATAGAACTGTTGTTATAAACCTATGTTGAAAAGCACACAATCTATGAAGAGGTAACATGTGACAATAAGAGTAAAGAAGGAATAGAACAGAGCTATATAGGAGCAAAGTTTTTGTATATTATTACATTGGTATTAATCTGAATTAGATTGTTATAAATTAAGATGTTAACTGTAATCCCCAGGGCAACCACTAAGCAAATAACTCAAAAACATAGAGGAAAATAAATGGCAAGGAAATTAAAATGTTACTTGAAAAAATATTTAACATAAAATAAGGTAGTAACAGAAGAACAAAAAAGACAAAGATACGTAGAATATAGCCCAATAGCATAAGTAAATCCTATCTCATCAGTAATTGCATTAAACTTAAATGAATTAAACACTCCAATTAAAAGACATAGATTGGCAGAACGGATTAAAATTTTAAAACAAAATTCAACTATATGCTGTCTACAAAAGACACACTTTATACTCAAAGACATAAAAAGGTTCAAAGTAAAACTATGTAAAATATATATACCATGCAAAAAGAAACCCCAAGAGAGCTAGAATGGTTATACTAACAAGCAAAACAGACTTTAAGAAAACGCTTGCTACTAAAGATAAAGAAGGACGTTTTATAATGCTAACAGGGTTAATTCATCAAGAAGAGACAACCAATATAAACATACATAAGAACAGAGCCCCAAAATACACAAAGCAAAATCTAAAATAATTGAAGGGAAAAATGGGTAATTCAACAATGATAGTTGGAAACTTCAATACCTTTCATTCCACAACTGTGAGAACAACTAGACAAAAGATCAGCAAGGAAACAGAAAACTTGACCAACACTATAAATCAACTAGTACCAACAGACATCTACCAAACAATCTACCCAACAAGAGCAGAATTTTTTTTTTTTTTGAGACAGAATCTCACTCCGTCACCAGGCACAATCTCACCTCACTGCAACCTCCACTTCCTGGATTCAAGCGATTCTCCTGCCTCAGCCTCCCAAGTAGCTGGGACTAAAGGCGTGCGCCACCATGCCCAGCTAACTTTTATATTTTTAGTAAAGATGGGGTTTCACACATGTTGGCCAGGATGGTCTCGATCTCTTGACCTCGTGATCTGCCCACCTCGGCCTCCCAAACTGCTGGGATTACAGGCGTGAGCCACCGTGCCTGGCCAGAATGTACATACTTAAGGATATATGGAACATCCTCCAGCAGGCAATATGTTAGGCTATAAAATGAACCTCAATAAATTTAAAATGATTAAGTCAAAGTGTGTTTTCCAACCACAATGGAATAAAAGTAGAACTCAATACAGACCAAAAAAAGAAAGGAAAAATCACAAATATATGGAAATTAAATAACACTCCTAAATAATGAAGAAATAATAAAGACTAGAGTGGAAATAAATGAAATAAAGAACAGGAAAACAAACACAGAATATCAGCAAAGACACTGCAAGAGTACTACAGACCCTTTAACTCACACCTGTTAGAATGGCTATTATGAAAAAGATCAACAAAAACAAGTATTGACAAGAACGTGGAGAAAAGGGAACCATCTACACCATTGAAAGGAATATGAATTAATACAGCCATTATGGAAAACAGTATGGAGGTTCCTCAAAAATTAAAAATAGAACTACCGGCCGGACACAGTGGCTCAAACCTGTAATCCCAACACTCTGGGAGGCCAAGCCAAGCAGATTGCCTGAGGACAAGAGTTCGAGACCAGCCTGGCCAACATGGCAAAATCCCACCTCTACTAAAACTACAAAAATTAGCGGGGTGTGGTGGCACGCATCTTTAATCCCAGCTACTTGGGATGCTGAGGCACGAGAATCACTTGAACCCGGGAGGCAGAGGTTGCAATGAGCCAAGATCGCACCATTGCACTCCAGCCTGGGTGATAAGAGCAAAATTTCAACTCAAAAAAAAAAAAAAAACTACCATATGATCCAGCAATCTCACTTCTGAGCATATATCCAAAGAAAATGAAATCAGTATACTGAAGACAATGTGTACTCCCATGTTCACTGCCGCATTATTCATAATAGCCAAGACAGGAAATCAGCCTAAGTGTCCATCAACAGATAAACGAGGAAAATATATATGGTAAACGGAATACTATTTGGCCTTTAAAAATAAGATTCTGCAATATGTGACATCACAAAAAATAATATGTGAGGCAATGCACATAATTAGCTTGATTTAGCTATTCTATAATGTATACATATTTGCAAATATGTTATACACCATAAATACAATTTTTGTCACTTTTTAAATGTGAATAATGAACATAAGTAAAAATTTAAAGCACTACAGACCAATATCGTTACGAATATAGATGAAAAAATTCTGAACAAAATACTAGCAGACTGAACACAGCAAAATATAAAAAGGATTATAAGCCATGACCAAGTGGGATTTATCCTAGGAAAAGAAGACCAGTCCAACATATAAAACTCAATCAATGTAAAATACCATATTAATAGAACCATGTTCAGAACCCACACGATCATCTCTACACAGAAAAGGATTTGACAAAAATGCACACATAAATGCCCACAGAATCATTGTTCATAATAATCCAAAATGCAAACAATCCCCATGTTCAGCAGCTGATGAACGGATACAATGTTGTTGGGCTACACATTGGAATATTACTCAGCAATACAAAGGAAGGAAGCACTGACGCATGCAATGGCATGGATGGGCCTTTGAAAAAAGTATGCTAAATGAAAAAGCCAGACACAGAAGTCCGCATATTGTATGATTCTATATATATGAAAGGTTCAGAAGAAGCAAATCCACAGACACAGAACATAGCTTATTGGTTGCTGGGACCTGGGCAGAGGGAAGAATTGGAAGTGACTGCCAATGACTATGGGGTTTCCTTTTGGAGTGAACCAAACATTTTCACGGTTTAATGGTGATGTCTGCACAACAAAGTGAATGTACGAAAAACCACTGGATTGTACATAATAAAATGACAAGTTTTATGGCATGTGAATTACATCAACTTTTTAAAAGTTGCAGTCCATCTCTCCAGTATTTACGGCTGTTACAACCCAAGATAAACTCACAAAAATCCTTTATAGCCTCTTAAACAGAGGCAATACTATACATTAACTAAACTCTTATCCACCTGAATCTGCTTCAGGAATCTGCCCAGCTAATTCTAGTGCCTTACTGTTTTGACTTCTTGGTTCCATCCCAGCCAACTCCAGCATTCCTGATTCCATCCAAACATCGCTCCCTTCTGCCAGCTCTGTTGGTTCTGGCTCTGAGAGCTTCTGCTCTCCTGGACTGCTAGGCCCTCCCAGAGGCACCCAGTCATTTTTGTCTTCCAACTCACACTGCCAGGCCCTAGGGAATTCAAAATTTTAACAGCCAGCCCCCTCTGCATTAAGTCTCTGCTTCCCAGGACTCATTTTGCTCTCCATGTGCACCATGAATCCCAGCAGGCACACACAGCCCTTTTCAATAGTAACCCAAGATCTGACTCATCCCCTTTCATGCTGCTGTGGTTTGGATGTGGTTTGCTTGTCCCCACCAAGTCTCATGTTGAAATTTGATACCCACTGTGATGGTGTTGGGAGGTGGTGCCTCGTGGAAGGTGTTCGGCTCCTGGGGGCATATCCCACATGAACGGATTGGTGCCATTCTCAAGGGATCAAGTGAGCTCTCACTCTCATGAAACGGGACTGTTTCTAAAGGAATAGATTCGTTCCCTGAGACTGGGTTGTTATAAAGCCAGGACGCCCCTTGGGTTTGGTCCTTCTTCGCAGGTGCTCGCTTCTCCTTTGACCTTCTGCACCAAGTTTTGATGCAGCACAAAGGTCCTCACCGGAGGCCAGCAGATGCTAATGCCATATTTCTTATACAGCCTGCAGAACTGTGAAGGAAAAAGACCTCTTTTCTGTATAAATTATCCAGCCTCAAGTATTCCTTTATAGCAACACAAAATGACCTAAGACAAACACCTACCTCTCGTCTACCCGCTGTGGTTTCCCCTCCTAGCCATGTCCTTGGACAAGATGCTGCTTTCTATATCCACATCAGACACTGACCATGGGAATGTGCAATGGCAAATTCACAAATATGAGGCATTTTCCCTCCAGTTTTTACTGTTTACCTGATTTACTGGTGGCCTCAAAACCTTTTGATTCAAGCTCAAAGAGGAGGTGAAAATGAACACAAAAAGGGAAATACAAAAGGAGGCAATTGTTAGGTTTGTTCTTTTGTTCTTTTAAGGCTTTGTTCTTTTTAAAAAAATAAATTTTACTGTGTATTTTTGAGTTTGACAACGTGATGATACGGGATGCATATAGATGGCAAAATGGTTACTGCAGTGAAGCAGACTAACATATCCATCACCTCAGAGTTACTGTGTGTGTGTGTGTGTGTGTGTGGGACAAAAGCAGCTAAAATTTACTTATTTAACAAAAATCCCTAATACAATTTTATTAACTTTAGTCATGATGTACATTAGATCTCTCATTTGTCCAATATATCTGTTTTTATTTATCCTTTGATCTACATCTCCCCAATTCCTCTCCCCACCCGCAACCCATGGAAACCACTGCTTTATTCTCTACGTGTGTATTAATATTTGAGATCTTTTTAAAAATATTTCATATAAGTGAGATTATGTAATATTTCTCTCTCTGTGTCTGCACATTTCACTTAGCATAACGTCCTTTAGATCCGTCCGTGCTGTGGCAAATGGCAAGATCTTCTTTCTTAAGGCTAGTATTCCATTGTATACATATATCACATGGTCCTTATTCCTCCCTTGATAGACTTTTTTTTTCTGAGATGAAGTCTCACTCTGGTGCCCAGGCTGGAGCACAGTGGTGTGATCTCAGCTCACTGCAACCTCATCCTCCCAGGTTCAAACGATTCTCTCGCCCCAGCCTCCAGAGTAGCTGGGACTGCAAGCATGCAGCCACCACACTCAGCTAATTTTTGTATGTTTAGTAGAGATGGGGTTTCGCCATGTTGGCTGGGCTGGTCTCGAACTCCTGACCCCAAGTGATCCACCCGCTTCAGCCTCCCGAAGTGCTGGGATTACAGGTGTGAGCCACCACGCCTGGCCAGTTCCTCCCTTGATAGACATCTTAGTTTCCACATCTTAGCTATTGTCAATAATGCTGCAGCATACATTGGAGTGCAGACATCTTTACAAGGTAATGATTTCATCTCCTTTAGCTATATTCCCAGAAGAGGAATTACTGGGTCATATGGAAGTTCCATTTTTAACTTCTGTAGGAACCTTCATGCTGTTTTCCATAATGGCTATACCAAAATACATTCCCACCAACAGTGAACTAGGGTTCCCGTAGTTGGTGGTTACAGATGGTAGCATGGGGAAGTCTTTCTACAGACTTAACAGAAGTCTCTTGAGAGTGGCAGAAGAAACAGGAAGTCAAAATGAACAGACTACCTCTATACCTGGGGTTTTTCAAACTTCCTTCCAAGGAGCCCTAAAGTCCCCCAGATGCTTCAGGGCTTTGACAAAGGACAAAGAAATGATAAGCAGGTGAGGTCCTAGATCACCCCTGCATTAACTGAAGTATTTGCCATTAAAAGTAATGGCAAAAACCGCAATTACTTTTGCACCTACCTAATTCTTCCATTTCTGTGATTTATATGTATGAGGTTTACCTGAGATTTTGCCAAAAAGTCTACTGCATTTGGAGAACCCATGAAAATTAAAATAAATTTAAAATGTCTCTCTTAGAAAAAGTTTAAAATCCTTTACTTTAAGCCAATCTTAGAAAACACTCCCTAATGAAATAACCTAACAAGAAACCTTGAGGGTATGGCACTCTCAGAATATTTACAATGTGAGCTAATATTGTCATCTGACATTGAACACTGAGACAGGCAACCACTCTCCCAACCATATCAAGAACAGACCTACCTAGCCCACGGGACAGAAAATGGAAGACAAATGAGTTATGGACCATTTCCCTACTTTCTCTCCCTCTGGAAATTTAGATCCTTAGAGCTACAATCTGAAACTCCAAAGAGCACAGATCTGGTCTCCTTTCCCTGCTTTCCTTCAGTGTTAGACACATCCATTCACTCGAACAATTCTCTCCAGCACTCTCTGAACAACCACTACTTGCCAGGCATGAGCCAAGGGATATGGAGCCCCTGCCATCATGGAGCTCAGGACAGACAGAGAGACATGCAAACAAATCATTATAAACACAAGCCATGCATGAGCTGTGGTAGAAGCACAGACATGCTCTCCCAGGGACACAGGAAGGAAACAACCTGTTCATGAGTCATCCACCAACATACTCATTTTATAGGTATTTGTTGTATTTATAGTATGCTGAAATTAGTAAGGCTCTGGGAAATATAGAGGCACATCAGAAAGGCTCCAACCCTCAAGATGTTTAAGGTCTAGTAGGAAGATAAGACACTTTGCAAACACAACCATGCTTTACACGTGACAATTCTTATTATTGAAACATCTCCCAAAATCATGTCTTCCATGTTGCCTCCCTGGTGTCATAGAAGATAAACTTCCTTTACACAAAGCTCCAGTGTGGAATTCTGAGAGCCCTCCTTCCTAAGGCCAACCCAAATTATATCCATTCTCATTCTCATTCTCATTCTCCTCTCTCTCCCTCTCCCTCTCCCTCTCCCTCTCTCTCTCCCTCTCCCTCCCTCTCTTCTCTCCTCTGCCTGGCCCACCTCTCTTCGCCTCTCCTCTCCTTTCCCTCCCCTCCTTCCTTCTCCACTAGTATATACATAGTCATTACTTGCATTCATTGATTTATTAAGTATTTACTGAGTACCTGCTATGTGTGAAATATGAGGTTAGAAGCCACAATGGACATAAAAATGAAATAAATGAAAAGTGAAATCACGTATTAATAACAACCGCCACAATAAGAAACACTTTGCACTCTTTAACTCATTCACTCCTCACCTAAGCTTTGGAGGAAAATAGGTATTACTTTATGGATGAGGAAACTGACATCCGAAACTATGTGACTTGTCCAGACCATCAGATTCATATATAGGGTAGAAAAATTTCAAGCAACCATCCCAGGTTTCATTATTTAATGAATTCACAAAGCTGGAATTAACATAGGTGCCCTCATACATCCAACTTCCTACTTAACGGTGCTTCTTCAAAGGCTAACTGGCACCTCAAACTCAACTTGGCCAAACCAGAATTCTTGACTTTTTCTCAAAAACCTTCATTCCTTTCTCAACCTCCATTAAATGGTAGCACCAGCATCCAACTGCTCAACCTGAAAACCCAAGAGTCATCTTCAATTCATGCCTCATCACCCACTAGAAAGGCTATTAGGATAAAGACAGACAATATCAAGTGTTGGCAAGTATGTACAGAAATGAATCCTCATACATTGCTGCTGGGAATATAACATGATAAACAGTTTAGCAGTTTCTTAAAAAGTTACACTGATCATAGGAACCAGTTATTTCTACTCCAAAATCTATCCATGAGAAATGAAGACATGGGCTCACAAAAAGACCTGTACATTCATGGAAGAATTATTCATAATACCTCAAAACTGGAAACAATCTGAACACCCAGCAGCAAGGTCTATCTGCTGCCACTAAGGAATAAAATGAAACAATTACTAGTAAGTGCAACAACATGGAAGAACCACAGGAACACTATGCTAGGTGGAAAAGCCCATACAGAGAAGACTACATGTTGGATGATTCCTTTTCTATGAAATTTATCTTTAAAAAGATAACTATGGAGACAGAAAGCAGATCAATTGTTAGCTGGAGGCAGGTGAGCAGACTGACTGCAAAGAGGCAGGAGACAACTTTTGGGGGTGATGACAGTGTTCTAAAACTGGACAGCATTGATGGTTTCACAACTGTACAAACTTGTTAAAAAGCAAATTCCACTACTTTAGAAGAGGTGAATTTTGTGGTACATAAATGATACCTCAATATGGACACATAACAGAAAATATTAACATAGAAACCATCCAAGGTACCGTATCATGCCTTCAAGGGGCTATTGAGATGACTAAGACACTGTCCCCACCTAAAAGAGGTTCCGCTCATCTTCTTCCAGTTGCAGAAACAGGACAGATCCATGGAAGTTATTAGATATCACGTGGCAAGAAATGACTGCCAAATACACACAATAGGCACTTTCTTGAGCACGACAAAGTTTGGAGGAAGAAGAGAGGCCTGGAGCCAGGCACTGGGGAGGCCTTACAGATGATGTTCATCTCAAATGGGGCCATGAGGATGAGTGGAAATCAGAAACGTGGAATAGGGTGGGTATTCTCAAGAACAAACCCAAAGGCAGGAATGCTCAGGATGTGGCAGTCATCAGTGGGCTGTCTGGCTAAAACAGAGGCCCACAGGAGGGCAGGAAGAGCCCCAGGCTAGCTAAGACCTACCAGAGGCCCGAAGCACCCACCCCTCACAGATTTTCCTCAAACTTCAGGCATTTGAGCACTGTGTTCACGATTTTTGCCATATTTAAAACCATAGTACGATTTATTTATGATTTAGTTGATATGTTTTAAACTCACTTCTTTTTAACCTAGATTTTTAAAGGAAATTTTGTATTAAATATAAAGGGGAACCAGCTTCATCTGAAAAAATAAATTTTTTAAAAAATAAAAGAATGTTAATTCGCAAAGCCTATAACTACCTCTAAACTCGAGACTTATTTCTATTAAAAAAGACGATAGCAAGTACTGAAGATTAAAAACATTCTAAAATTCTAAAACAGAAAATTCTAAAAGGATAGGGCAATCTATGTAATAACTAATTTTATTTAGCACTTACTATAGCCACACAGTGTTCTAAACGCTTCTCCTTCTGTGTCATTTAATCTTCATAAAATAATACCTACCTCTCATCAGGGTATCATCAACCCCATTTTTCACCCTAGGAAACTAAGGCACAGAGACCTTAACTAGCTTGACCAAGGTCATGTAACTTGCCCAAGATCATAGAGTAATAAATTTCAGGGTTGGGACTAAACCCAGGTAGTCTGTCTCCAGTTTGTATACCCACCCGCTAAAATTGAGCCAATCCCCACATGAAATAATATTTACGAAGGTTTACATGGTTAAGATCTGTTTGATGAACTAAAAGAAGAAGAGACCAGAAGACTATTACAACGATCCAAGCATCAGATCCTATGAGTCAGTGGAGCCGGGCAGGGGTCACTGTCGTTAGCTGCAGGCAGCAGAGGGCCGCAAAGCAGGAGCTGGGCCCCTGCCCAGGGATCTGGCCAGAAGGCAAACCTTAAAGAAAGAGGCTAAGGCCCAGGTCAGAAATGCAAAACCTACTGTGAAAGAGAAGCGCTAGGAAAACCACCATCCTCAGGAGGCCAGAAATCAGAACTTGGAAGCGTGGACAAGTCGGAGAGTACTCCATAACCAGCATGTGGAGCAGCAGGGTCGCTGAAATGCCAGGCCCTGCCTCGACTCCCGATGGCACCCAACAGCCTCTTAAGATGTGACACTGCACAAGTCCTTGCACATTTCACTTCCAAAACATAATATTGATACGAAGACCTCAATTTTATTTGTAAATGGATTTCAGGTCTTTCAAGAGGACAAAATTTAGCTGTACCTTGGCCTAAATCCCCTCTTTGAAATTCAAAGTACTCACTTAGGACTGGGATCTAATTCTCAGAGAAAGTATTTTAAAATTAAAATTAAGCAATACATTTAAATGCTATTTCCAAGCTCTGACAGGTCTGAAACATCGTGAATACAGACGCCATTAATCCACAGACATCAAAATTGTGTTATTACCTTAAATCTTCAAAAATCACTGTTTAGGGAAAAAAACAGGATAGCAGATAAAACTGTCAGAATAAGGAAAAAAAAACCTCTTTGAATAAAATTTCCTCTGCATAGTTTAAAAGACTAAAAAACTTAAAAACAAATGATCTGGAACTGCCCAATTTGATACTTAACTCAGGTTTTGTTAAATAAGCAGAAAAATTAGACACTGTAGGTTTATGATTCACCCTTGAAAAAATGTGATTTCTTATTTCCCTGGAGAAAAACTTTAAGTGCATCAATAGATTTCCGTGGATATCAAATATTTCTCCATCATTGTGAGTAAATTATATTTGGATCAAAATCAGATGGATTAAATTTCTCTTAAGATACCCAAGAGATTTCTAAAATACAGGGAAATGTGTCACATATCTAAAAACAGTATTTTAACCTAATACCTCCATGGAAATGTCTCTCAATTAGAATATTAGCCAGAAAACAAATCTAAAGTGAGTTTTAGATTTGACTAATTCAAAGTAACTTGTTAAAACTAGATTGTCATCTGCTGATGTTAAGATCAAATTCATAATCTTTTGGGCCCTTTAAAAATCTCTGGAAATATGGCTTTATATTTTTAACACAGAAAAAAATGTATCTGAGTGATAAGTTGGATGAGAGTCACAATTTAAATGCTATGTATGCAACAAAGAATGTAAGTATGGTTACGTGCTTCCAAATTCTTGATAAATGCACCCCCAGTCAGTGCCATCAGATTGGAGGCTTAATTATTCTCATCTGTGTTATTTTTGGCTTCCTGACTAGACTATAAACTCCTTAAGAGCTGAGATTATTAACTTTTCTAATCATCCATTAGCACCGTGCTGAGCACATCTAGTCGTTCGGTAAATATTGATTGAATTCCTACTCTGTTCACGGCACTTTGGTGGGTGCTCCAGGGATAAGGTGATAGAGTGAACACAGTGCCCCCTTCACACGAGGAGCGGGTGGAATAAAACACAACCACACAACCGTGTGATGGGCAAAGGGGGTCACAGCACACCGGAATGGAGATCACAGAGAGGGACCCCTCAAGCCCGGTCACCACTTCCTCTTGCCTGTTTGGTTCGACATGTAGTCCAACCTCCAAGGTTACACAATTTAATGCGAGGTCAGTGTTCAAAAAGTCCCATCTTTGCTTGAGAAAACAACTTGGTAGGATTTGGAAGTAACAGATGAGACCCTTAGTGCACGGATGTTAGCCAGAACCCACGCCAAAAAGAAGTGCTCCATCTGTTTTGTGGGAGAAAAGATGACGTATGTTTTCTTAGGAGGGCGAAAGGAAGGAGGGCTGGGAAGGAAGGTGGACAGCTTCGCCCTCAAGCAGGGAGAAGCTGTGAAATGAGGCTGCCTTGGCAGCAGGAATAACCAGGGTTAGAGGTCCCCCTTCCGTGATGTGTGCAGTGTGGCCCCTCCCCCATCACTCCTTCCCCAGTCTTCAGGAAAGTCTAGGACATTCTCACCTGTGTTATGGGTCAGGTTTTGTAGGGTTTGTTTTGTTTCGTTTGTTTGGCTTTTTCATTTTTTAGCAGCAGGGTTTCACACTACCACCCAGACTGGAGTATAGTGGCACCATCACAGCTCACTCAGTCTTGACCTCCTGTGCTCAAGCAATCTTCCTGCCTCAGCCTCCTAAGTAGCTGGGACTACGGGTGCACACCACCACACCAAGGAAATTGCATAATATATTTTTGTACTGTTGGGGGTCTCACTTTGTTGTCCAGTCTAGTCTCAAACTCTGAGCTTCAAGCAGTCCTCTTGCCTTGGCCCTCACAGCGCTGGGACACAGGCATGAGCCACCAAAGCCATGGATGAGGTTTTGATAGAAAATGAGACAAGAGTCAGCAGAGGGGGTAGAATTCGGGGTAGAACATTTGACTGCAGATCAAGAGGTCCCCGCTTCGAATCTGGGTACCCCCTCAATTTCCTTTACATTGGCCAGGCGTAGTGGCTCACACCTGTAATCCCATCTCCCGGGACTTTGGGAGGCCGAGGCAGGCAGATCACCTGAGGTCAGGAGTTTGAGACCAGTCTGGCCAATATGGTGAAACCCCGTCTCTACTAAAAATACAAAGATTTGTCAGGCGTCGTTGTGGGCGCCTATAAGTCCACCTACTCGGGAGACCAAGACAGGAGAACTGCTTCAACCCGGGAGGCGGAGGTTGCAGTGAACTGAGATCACGCCACTGCACTCCAGCCTGGGTGACAGAGTAAGACTCCAACTCAAAAAATAAATGAAAAGGAGTCAATTCAGTGTGAAAAAGAGGTAGCATCTGGAGATGCCCGAACCTTGAGGCGGAAGTAATCATGAGAACACAAACTCCCCGAGTCACACACACACTCCAGAATTTAGAGAAATATTAAGGATAGCTTCACGTTCCCATGGTAACGAACTAGGGACTAAGCCAAGGAGCAGGAGGCCCAAATGGCACGTGGGTTATAGAAGTCAGCTATGGGATGCCAGGTTCTGACCACCAAAGGAACACCAGCAGCCTCAGAGCAGGCCCCTCCACGTGGAATCAGCCACTGCCCCATCCGCCTAGTTCTTATATGATGCCTCCTGATCAACCCCTTCCTGCTGTTGCTGTGGATGGCCCTCCAACTGGACCACGTGTGCAGCCCAGACAGGCCTGCTGTGTTGGCTTGGCCTGTGGCCCTGCCCTGCCCTGCCTCCATTTTAATCCATGTTGTGACATCCTGCCCAGGCATCTCCCTAGCATCCAACCTCAGCCTGTTTCCCGTTTGCTACTTCTCTGTCAAGACAGTTTATCTGGACTATGCCTTGCCCAACAGCCTTCTGCGGTATGGAAGACCTTGCACATGGTAATTAAGAAACACTAGTCTTTAGCAAGAAAAGCTGTAAACAAATTTCACACTCAAGATGAGGCTGCCAAGGCCAGGCACGGTGGCTCACACCTATAATCCCAGCACTTTGGGAGGCCGAGGCAGGAGGATCGCTTGAGCCCAGGAACTCAAGACTAGCCTCGGCAACATAGCGAGACCTCATCTCTACTAGAAATTAAAAAAAAAAAAAAAAAAATTAGCCAGGCATGGTAACGCATGCCTGCAGTCCCAGCCACTAAGGAGGCTGAGTTGGGAGGATTGCGTGAGCCCAGAAGTTCAAGGCTGCAGTAAGCTGGGACTGTGCTACTGCACTCTAGCCTCCACTCCAGAGTGAGACCTTCTCTAAAAAACACAACAAAATTAAAAAGAGACAGCTGCAGGCTGACACAGAACTGACAGTCCACAAAGCACAAGGCCCATGTGCAGTCCTGTGGAAAGAACCTCGGCTCCTGGAGGAAACCACAGCACGGTTCTCCTTCCAAACTGCCTGAGTTTCAACTATACTTTCAAATATTCAGATAGTGAAAACAGGGTTGGTCTCTGTAAGAAATTTCAGGAAAAAAAAAAAAAAGATTTAAAAAAAATCTGCAAGAAGCCATCCCATAGAAATGAAATACTAATAAGGGGGATAAAGTTAGTTCCTAGGCAGGGATATGGATTCATAATTGCCAGAGTAACTTCCCCTAGACTGAGAAAGAGAATGTCGTAACTGTATTAGCAACCAGTCTGCTAGGCCTCCATCTTCTTTCTCTGCCTTTGCCTCAAGGGGAAAAAGAACAGAGAAAAAGATGGGGGAGAAAAGCAAGTGAGACCATGCAAGAAAGAAGCGTGGCTTAGAGTTCTAATTCATCAGCTTCTGAGGAAAGGAGATTAATTTTGACGGGAAGAGAGAAAGTGCTAAGCGTAACACAAGAAAGCACTTAAAATTACCGCAGGTCAGGAGGAAAAAAGAGCCTCTAGGAACTTCGCTTTCAAGCACTTTTCATAAGTAGCAAATTTATGAACAGAGAAGTTAGGTAAATAGCTCAAAGCTGCACAGCAAATTAATAGCAAGCCAAAACCGAGAATTCCTGAGCCCACTCTCAGGGGCCACAGTGGCTTCTCACCTTGGCTCTGATAAGAGAAGAAGCCCAGTTGACAGGGAAACACTTTGTGGCTTATGGGCATGACTGGATAGCCAAGAGCGCTGTAATGCTTAGCACCCAAGCACCAAATATGAAGGACTAAGAAAGGTTTTCCTTATGTTGTGCGGGGAGGGACACTGCGGGGAAGGAAAGAGATCCAAAGCTTCATGATGTGACACTTAAGACCAGTCAGTTTTAATAAGGGAGCTATTCATTTCTACCAGGAGCTCACGTCATGGCTGCTAGTGAGAAAGGCAGTAAGCTGCGATGTTCCTGTAATTAATGAGCTTTATTTTTCTAGAACAAACATGGTCGGGTGTGGTGGCTCACACCTGTAAGTCCAGCACTTTGGGAGGCCTAGGAAGGCAGATTGCTTGAGCCCACGAGTTCGAGACAAGCCTGGGCAACATGGCGAAACCCTGTCTCTACAAAAAATACTTAGCCAGGCATGGTGGCACATGCCTGTTAGTCCCAGCTATGTGGGAGGCTGAGATGGGAGGATCACCTAAGCCCAGGATGTCGAGGCTGCAGTAAGCCAAGATCCTGCCACTGCACTCCAGCCTGGCCCACAAAGTGAGACCCTGCCTAAAAAAAAAGAAAAAAGTACCACATCATATGCTGAGCCAGGTGCTATCTCTCACCTGGTTCTTGACACCTATGAGCCTGCGGGCAACGCTAAACTCTGCGGGATGGGGAAGCAGTCCCCAGAACCTCCAGGTAGGATCCTGCCAGCACACAGCGGTGAATACTGGAACAACACGAATGTCCAGCACGCCTGCGGCCCTAGCACGGCTTCTAAGTGTGGCTCACATGAAAAGCTAGCGAGGGACCACTGGCTCCAAATGTGATCCCCATTTATTTTCCATTCAAGACAAACCTTGTTAAGGATAAGGAAGGCATCCATGTTAATTCAGCTGCAGGTGAAAATATTCCAACTTGGACTGCCTTAAGGAAAGAGAGGCAAAGAGAAACAGGGAGATAGACTGGTTGTTTTTGGTCAAAGAATCCAAGGAAACGCTGAAGACTGAAGCCATGGGAAGGGCAGAAAAATGGTTATAGCTAAGGAGCTTGGGACCAGCTACCATTTCTGCCTCCTCCCGTGGGCCTCAGCCTCTCCTGCTGAAAGCAGATCTTCTGCAGGGTGCAGCACCGTGGCAGCTGCCAGCCCTACACTTTCACAGTTTACAGCTCCCATCTCTGGAAAACAGGCACACAAGCTGCAGGAAGCAGACGCTGTCCAGAAAGGGTCAGATGACCCACCCCAGGGGTCACTGGTGCCTGAGGGCAGAGTCCCAGTGGCCAGTCCAGCACCACAGCAACCATGTGAACGGGGCTGCGCCAAGGGTCCCCAGTGAGCCTACAGGACCCACCTCCATCACACTGAGCTCCACGCATGAATGTGAACATACACCCAAACCAACCATTCATACACACCTCTCTCACGTTTCAGCTTCCATCCTGGTCTCTACCATGGGTATTACACTCGATAGCAAACTGGCTGAGTAGGGAAGGAGGAGGAGGGTAAAGAGGAGGAAGAAGAGGGAAAGAAAAAGCAGAAAAGGAAATTTCAGAACTGCAGAGACATCTTTATAGTGCTCACCTCTCCCCATCCAAAACACCTGTTGCTGTGTACTTACCGGAAAACAGTGACTAAATTTTCCCAATTTGGCTTTAGGGCAGTTCTAAATTAAACTTTTATTTTTTGTGTTTAATTTCCTATGCTACTGCTCTTCACAGAAATTGGTTGGGCTTAAATCCCAAAACCTTCAAGGAATTAAGCACAAAACTGAAAATATTAGTGAATATTTTCACTAATATTAGGGTGAATAAGATGCTGTGAGATACATCTTGACATATATAAATACTGTAGCAACAACGTACAGAATTACAGACAGCTAACACATGGCCGGGGATGAGTAAATGGGACCAATGGACACCAACAGTCTCCTCCTAAATGGATAGCAAGAAATTGCCAGGTCCAGATTCCATGTGGCACTGAGGGCTTCCAGAAGGACAGGACTGTAAGAAACTTATTAATAGATGAGTTGTCAGAAGCCTCAGAAAGCGAGCGAGGGAGGGAAGAGTGAGGGAGGCTGAGAGGAAAAAGAGCAGAAAAGTAACTAGGAATAAAAAACAAAAGGGGTCCAGTCCTGGGGACTCATGGCTGTAATTCCAACACTCAGAGAGACTCAGGAGGGAGGGTCACTTGAGCTCATGAGTTGAAGACCAGCCTGGGCAACATAGTGAGACTCTGTCTCATTTAAAAAAAAAAAAAAAAAAAAAAAGGAGAAGGTAGTGAAAAAGAATCCATGTATAAAATGACAAACAGTAGTACAAAATTTAGATTTTCTTCAACATCTTCCCATATCTTCCCCCTTTAGAATACACACATTTTTGAGTCTCTCCCATCTTTAAAAACCCTACCCCTTTTGAACCTGTTGCCTTATTTCCAGCCAAGCTGTTGAAAGAGAAGCCAGGATCTGCAGGTCTCCACACTTTCCCACCTGGCCATGGTGCCTGGCTCTCGCCCTCCCTCTCTTTGCCCATCATTGTTGGCAAAAGCTTTTGGTTGTCAAATGCAATGGCTGTGGCCGACCATCCATTTCTTCCTGATGTTCTCATTTCTCTTGGTTTCCTGAGTACTCTTTTTGCTTTTCTAACTACTTTTTCCACATAAACTTGGAGGCTCCTTGTCCTCTGCTCTTTTTTTTTTTTTTTTAAGTTCTGAGGTACATGTGCAGGATGTGCAGGTTTATTACATAGGTGCAGCAAACCACCATGGCACACATTTACCTATCAACCCATTACCTACGTATTAAGCCCAGCAGGCATTAGCTTTTTTTTTCTAATGTTCTCCCTCCTCACACCCGGCCCCAGTGTATGCTCTTCCCCAGCCCCCCATCCTCTGCTCTTAAATGTTGAGATGCTACAACACTCATCCCTGCCCTCCCTTCTCCTGATGCTACCCACTCTATCGGAGCTGGGTGGAGACACTTGCGGAAAGGCAGGAGACTAGGAAAGTAGAACCCAGAGCCGGGAGGCACTACAGAGCCAGCCACCACTGTGGGTAAGGGAACCTCCCAGCCTCTGCTTGACTCTTTCTTCTGCCAAAAGGGAGCTCACTGCCCCGCAAAGAAATTCCCTTGCGATAAACTAGACTGGGGCAATCAGGAACAACACTGCCTGCAAGAAGCGATGGGAATGGAAGCTGCGTAAATGCACACCCATGTTGACCATCAAGAGTCATTTTGAGAGAATCTTTTCCCAAGAGGTTATAAGACTATGGGTTTAAGTAATAATCAACCTTCCTGCTTCATAGGTGGACCCAGAGGCCAGTTCTCCCAAAAAGAAGGCTGGAGCTCAGGTGGAGTTGAAGGCCATGTGCACCTACAGCTTAGCCACGTGCCATACACCGCAGCTCTTGCAGGGAGTGTGGTGATGTCACGTAGCCATCAGTCACTCTTACAAAACAGGGCAACAGTATGACAGTACACTGTCCCCTAAGTGTCCCTACTGGACGCATCACACTGCAAAACAAACATTCTGTGCAACTGGCAGGAGCCAGGTACCATTCTAGGTTCTTTCCTTATTATCTCATCTATTCCCAGAAATAGCGACTGTCTGTTTTACAAATGAGAAAACTGAGGCAAATTTATCCAAGGTCACACAGCCAGTAAGCACATGACGCACAGCTCTGACTCGCAGTCCAGACGTGAAGTCCCTGTGCTTTCCACCAAGCCAACATGCCCTTCACTAGAGAACACATTTCTGAATGTGCCTATTTATACTGAGGCGGCAGACATCGACGTATGGTCATGAAAGGTCCTGTGGAGAGAGGTAATAAGCAAGCATTCATTTCCCAGCATCACACTCCACGGCATAAATGAGTCTCCATATCTTGGTATTAGGAAAAGAGAGGAAAGTGGTACCCATGGGAGAAAAATATGAATGATGCTAACAGAATGCAGCAAACCCAATAAATCCAGAGAATAATATTGCTCTGTGATCTCCGTAGCAGTTATGCCGGGACTGAGAACCACCTTACGAGAGTTCTTTGTGGAACTTGTTATATCGTAAAATCATCTCTTGATGCTAGAACATAAAACAATGTCTTTTTTATGTAAACACAACCTTGGGGAAACTGCAGATAACTGTGGATCTCTTTAGGATATTTTCTTCTGTCATACTGGGAGCCATTTCTTTCACTCACCAATATTTTTACATATTTGTAGAAACACTTCTCTTCCATAAATATTCAACATGAATCATAATGCAGAAGCTAAAAACTCAGATCTCCTCTAATAACTGCTTGGAAAGTCAGCCACTGGACACACATACACAGTCGTAATAAAATTTCTAAAGATGTTTGTGCTAGAAGGTAAAAACATAGCTTCCATTTACTGACATTCATTAATATTAATACCTATTGGCCTGAATTATACTAAAAGAGTTTTATTGAACACACAACTTCCAAATACGATACTACAGAATATAAGCTCAATCATTCTTTAGTTCATTTAACTAATGGTCATCATGTAACAGACATGCCTAGGTGTGGGAGGGATCCACATAAGTAAATAAGCTCTCATTAAATTTGCAATGCCATTATACAGAAAACAGAAATACAATAATCACTATTATAAACTTAAATAAAAAGACAATATATGAAGTCTTCAAATAATATGAATGCATACCAAATGAGTAGTAAAGAAAATAAATGCTAGCAATTCCTAAGCAAGGAGGGTCAAATGGGTTGGCAGTAATGGGTAAACAGAAGCATGGCAAAGAGAAAAAAGAAGTACAGGGTGCCGGGCGTGGTGGCTCACACCTGTAATCCCAGCACTTCGGGAGGCCGAGACAGGCAGATCACTTGAGGTCAGGAGTTCAAGACCAGCCTGGCCAACACGGTGAACCCCCGTCTCTGGGTAATCTCTAAAAATTAGCCAGGCATGGTGGTAGGTGCCTGTAACCTCAGCTACTTGGGAGGCTGAGGCAGAAGAATCACTTGAACCCAGGAGGCAGAGGTTGCTGTGAGGAGGCGTCGTACTACTGCACTCCAGCCTCAGCAACAGAGCAAGACTGTGTCAAAAAAAAGAAAAGAAAAGAAAAGAAGAAGAAGGGGTGTATTATCAATAAAGCCATGTTCTGGGGAGAGATCAAGCAAGCTGGAAAATAATCAAATGTGAATGTAGAGATGCAGGACATAATATCTCTATCAATTAATAATCAATAAACACAATACCACAGTGGTTTACCTTTCAGTGATCAAAAAAACTTATTCACTTATTTCCTAACTTAGAGACTCAGGTCATACTTCATCCCACTCTTTTCAGTGAAAGCAACAAACTTTTCAAAGCTAAACATTTTAAAACTCCCTTAGACAGGCTGGGTGCGGCAGCTCACACCTGTAATCCCAGCACTTTGGGAGGCCGAGGCAGGCAGATCACGAGGTCAGGAGATCAAGACCATCCTGGCTAACACGGTGAAACCCCATCTCTACTAAAAATACAAAAAATTAGCTGGGCATGGTGGCGGGTGCATGTAGTCCCAGGTACTCGGGAGGATAAGGCAGGAAAATGGTATGAACCCTGGAGGCAGAGCTTGCAGTGAGCCCAGATCGCACCACTGCACTCCAGCCTGGGGGACAGAGCGAGACTCCATTTAATAAAAAAAAAAAAAAAAAAAAAAAAAAAAAAAAAAAAAAAAGCACCTCCCTTAGACAAAACAAAATGGAACTATGTAACTAAAAAGTGAAGAACTGTCACGTATAGAAAGCAACACTCCCCTAGATCCCTTAGAGATCAGTGAAGTCATGTATCTTTCCATCATAAGGAAACACAGCAATACAAACTATAGGAACAGTCAGAGAATCAAGGCAGGAAAGAAGGTTGAGGTCAAGAAGAAGTGAAATGAAAGTAATTTGTTCAGGGTAACTGTCAAGCTACAGAATTAATAGAAGTTATCAAAAGAACATGTTAGAACTACCCCAAATGCTACCGTTGATAGAAATACAGACAAAGAGTAGAAAGTGCCTTTAGAAGGCAACTAGATCTACATCTATCCATCCTCCCTGCTTTCTTCTGAGGCTGGCCGCAGCCAATGGCTCAAGCTCTAGGTCTTAGCCAATTAGAGTAAGAGTGTGTGGAGTAAGAGTTTGCAACCATGGTAGAATATCAAGAGATAGGAAGAACTTGGAAAAAAAGAAAGAAAAAAGGACAATTCAAAAGAAAAAGTTGGTGAAACTATAGTAAGATTCAGCAAACCTTTTCTGTAAAATTCCAGATAATAAATATTTTAGGTTTTGAGGGTCATATGGTCACTATCACAACTACTCGATTCTGGTGTTACACTGAGAACGCAGACACAGAAAACAGCTAAAGCAATAAGCATGCCTGTGTTCCAATAAAACTTTATTTAAACAGGTGGTAGAAGACCCTTTTCCTGATAAAAACACTGAGGAAGTTAGGAATAAAGAGGAACTACCGTAACTCAATAAACAGCATCTGCAAAAAAGCCTACAGCTGACATCATATGTGATAGTTTAGTGAAAGGCTGAATGCTTTTCCCCTAAGATAGATACAAAGTAAGCATGTCTGCTCTCAATACTTTTTTTTTAAGGCTAGGGAAATATCCACAGATCACTACTTTTATTTAACATAATACTGGAAGTTCTAGCCACTGAAATAAGGCAAGAAAAACAAAAGGCACACAGATTAAAACTCTACTTCCAGGTGATAGGGTTATCTATGTAGAATATCTGAAAAAGTCTATGAGAAAACTTCTACTAAAGTGAGTTCAGCAAGGTTGAAAGATGTAAGATCAACATCCCAAAATCAACTGCATTTTTAAATACTATCAATGAACAGGTGGAAACCAAAATTAAAGATACCATATCATTTACAATCACTCCAAAGAAAATGAAAAGCTTAGGTTAGGTATGAACATAGCAAACATGCACAAGATCTATACACTGAGAATTACAAAACGCTGATGAAAGAAGTTGAAGGCAACTTAAATAAATGGAAAGACATGCTGTGCTCATGGATTGAAAGACTCAGCATAATAAAGACATCAATTGTCCCTAAATGCAATTCCTATCAAAATCCTAGCAAGGTTTTTCTGTTGACAGAGAGTTTATTCTGATGTTTATTTGGATGTTTATATGGAGTGGGACAGACCTTAGAACAGCTAAAACAATCTTGAAAGGGAAGAATAAGGTGGGAGGGATGACTCTAATATTAAGGCCTGCGATATAACCATCATAACCAAGACAGCATGACAATGTCACAGAGGGAGACCCATAGATCAACGGGAGGGAGTAAGGACCCAGAAACAGACCCACACAAATATGGCCAACTAATTTTGGACAAAAATGCAGAAGCAAATCAATGGAGAAAGGATTTCAACAAATTATTCTGTAGTAACTGAATATTCATCCATAGACAAAAAAAAAAAAAAATGTTGCGAAAGGGAGTCTTGTGTGCACAGCCTTTCAGCCCCCACTCAGTGGCCTAAGAATGGGCCCTGGGCCTGAAACACATCTCACCAACAGATGAAGAGCCCTCATCACCTGTGGCAGGCTTATGCCTTGTGTGGAATACGTATCTCTCACTGCTGCAAGCTCATGTGTGCGCCTTTGTTCTGCTTAAGGGTGTGTGTCACATGGCACCTGGCCAACCTGCCAACCTCATTGCTCTATCTGTTCCCCACCCAGGAAACAGGGTCCCTTAGTTGCAGTACAAAAGGGGTGCTCGTAGGCAGACCACCCCGTACGGGCAGCCACGAGGGACCCCTGGACACAGGGGACCCATACGCACTACTGAAACTGATCTTGCTCTGTCTCTTCTCTGTGTAACTATTGCTCCCTCGACTACCTGACTGTGTTGTGTTTTCCTTGGAGACTCTCGTACTGAGATACAGCGGGCACAAGTGTCTGGATCGTATTCCTGATGGTTGGCATAATGATGGTTTTTGCTAACCTCCATGGAGTGCCAGCCTTCCCTTGGAACTGAACACCAGTACACAGAGTTCTGTTTGACACAAATGAACCTCAAACTAAACATCAACCTCAACCTGAAACAAAAATTATCTCAAAATGGATCACAGACTTAAATATAAAATGTAAAACTACAGAACTTTAAGGAAAACAAAAAGCATAGGAAAAAATCTCCAGGATCAACGCAAGGCAAAGAGTTCTTAGACTTGACATGAAAACATGATCCATGAAAGGAAAAATTAGGAAGCTGGAACTCATCAGAATTAAAAACTTTTACTCTGTACAAGTCTTAAGAAAAAAAAAAAAAAAAGAAAATTAAAAGGCAAGCTACAGCCTAGAAGAAAATATTTACAAACCACATATCTAACAGAAAACTAGTAATGAGAATATATAAAAGACTCCGCTGAAGAGTAAAGCAATAATTCAATTAGAAATGTTTAACGTCTACCAAAGACATTTAACGAAAGAGGATATACAAATGACAAACAAGCACATTAAAAGATCTTCAACATCCTTATCCACCAACGAAATAAAAAGTAAAACCATGATGAGATATCACTACATAGCTATCAGAATGGCTAAAATAAAACAGTGACACTACCACCAAATGCTAGAGAGGATGCAGAGAAATCAGATCCTTCATATGTTGCTGGTGGGAATATCAAACTGAAGAACTCTGGGAAACAGTTTGGCAGTTTCTTATGAAACTAAACATGCAATTATCACATGTAAGTGCCCAGCAATTGCACTCCTGGGCACTTACTCCAGATAAATGAAAACTTATGTTCACACAAAAACCTGGACATGAATGTTCATAGCAGCTTCACTCGTAACAGCCAAAGACTGGAAACAATCTAGATATCCTTCAATGTGTGAATGGTTAAACTGTGGTACATCCACACCAAGTAATAATACTCTGTAATGAAAAAGAACAAAGCACTGGTACATTAACCAACTGGGGTGAATCTCAGGGAATTGTGCTGACTGAAAAAAGCCAATCCCAAGAGGTTACATACTATATGACATCGTTTATGTAAAATCCTTGAAATGATGAAATAACAGCAATGGAGAACAGGAGTGGTCGCCAGAGGTTGCACATGGGCAGGGGGTGAGGAAGAAGGTCAATGTGGCTATAAAAATGCAGCACAAGGAATCTCTGGTGGCAGAACTGTTCTGTATATTGACTCTGTCATTGTCAATATCCTCGTTGTAATGACGTACTATAGTTTTGCAAGATGTACCACTGAGGAAACCAGGCAAAGAGTACAACAGATCCACAGAGTACAACAGTTTGTATTACTTCTAACTACTGCATGTAAATCTAACATTATCTCAAAATTTAAAACTTAATTGAAAAAATAGCAGGTCACACTTGGCCTGTGGGCTATTATTTGCCAACCCCTGGTTTACAGAAAGGTGCTAAAACTTTGTAACCCATTTCATCAAATGTGACTAGGTGACTCCAGATGCAAATTGACTAAGTTTCCAGAACTAACAATACCATAACCCGGCTGCCACGCTGTACTTAGAAACCAATCCAAATGCACTGGCAAAGATCAAAGACCCATAGGACATTTTTGCTCCCTTGATAGAAAGGTGGGCATCAGCTACCTAATCCTCTTATTTTCCCCAAAGTATTCATCATCACAGAATCTACATTCTTTCCATTTTCCAGTCTGATCCAAGACTCAAGTTGGCTTCAAAAGCATTACATAACCTGGCACCAATTTTATATCCTTGGCAAGATTTAACAGGGAGGTACCCGTAAGCACTTACCATATACATACCACGTGCTGTGATTAACAAACATATCAATATTTCAACGTTAAAGAGGGTGTGGTTTTGTCATGTTTCATTTTAATAAACTATGTGCATATATACCATGGAACTTCATGCAGCCATTAAAAAGAACATATTAACTCTCAGCAGACTAAGAGTAGAGAACTTCTTTAACCTGATAAAGAACATCACTTTGGTTTGAATGTGTCCCCTCCAAAATTCAGGTGTTGAAATTGAATTCCCAGTGTGATGGTACTAAGAGGAGGTACCCTTAAGAGGTGATTAGGTCATGAGGGCTCATCCCTCATGGATGAGAATAAAGCCCTTATAAAGGAGGCTTCACAGAGCATTCAGCTAGCTCACTTTTCTGTTCTTCTGCCATGTGAGGACACACTGTTTCTCCAATCCAGAGGAACCATCTTTGAAGCAGAGAACAGCCTTCAGCAGACAACTGAACTTGCTGACATGTTGACGGTGATCATGGACTTGCCAGCCTCCGGAGCTGTGAGAAAATACGTTTCTTTATAAATTACCCAGTTCTGTGGTATTCTGTTATCACAACACGAATGGACGAGGACAAACATCTATTTTTAAAAATCCAGAGCTAATATCATACCTAAAAGTAGAAACTAGATGCTTTCCCACTAAGTTCTGGAACAATGCAAAGATGTCCACTATTACTACTCCTATTCAGCATCATACTAGAAGTCCTAGCTAATGTGGTAAGACAAGAAAAAGAAATAAAAGGTGTACAGATTGGGAAGGAAGAAATAAAACTGTTCATTCACAGATGACATGACTGTCTATGTAGAAAATCCAGAAAACATCCTGGAACTAATAAGAAATTACAGCAAGGGTGCAGGTTACAAGATTAATATACGAAAGTCAATTATTGCCTTCCTATACCAGCAACGAACAACTGGAATTTGAAATCACAAACAAGACCATTTACATCAACATCAAAAAAACACGAAATATTTTGGTATTAATAAAATATGTGCAAGATCCCTAAGAACAAGACTAAAAATCTGATGAAAGAAATATATCTAAATAAATGGAGAGATAGTCCATGTGCACAAATAGGTAGATTCAATATTTTCAAGATGTCAGTTCTTCCCAACTTGATCTGGAGATTCAGTGCAACCCTATCATTGCAATCAAAATCCCAGCAAGTTATTTGTGAATATTAACAAACTGATTCTAAACTTTATATGGAAAGGGGGAAAAAAAGAATAGCTAACTCAATATTAAAGGAGAAGAACAAAGTCAGAGAACCGATGCTACTCAACTTCAACAATCAGCAAAAGAAAAGACATTTGTCTATTCTGACAAATGGATCATAATAAGGAGCCCAGAAATAGACCCACATAAATATGGTCAACTCATCTTTGACAAATGAGCAAAGGCAATACGATGGAGAAAAGACAGTCATTTCAACTAATGGGCTTGACCAACTGGACACCCACAGGCAAAAATAAATCTAGACACAGACCTTACAACCTTCACAAAAATCAACTTGGAATGGATCACATAGCTAAATGCAAAGCTATACAAATCCTAGAAGATAACACAGGAGAAAATCTAGGTGACCTTCGGTTTGGCAATAACTTTTTAGATACACGAAAGGCACAATCCATGAAAGAAATGGTCCACAAGCTGGATGTCATTTAAATTAAAAACTTCTCCTTTCCCAAAGATACTGTCAAGAAGATAAGAAGACAAGCCACAGGCTGGGAAAAAATTGGAAAAGACACATCTGATAAAGGATATCCAAAATATACAAAGAGCTCTTAAAACTCAACAATAGGCCACTCATGGTGGCTCACACCTGTAATCTCAGCACTTTGAGAGACCAAGGCGGGCAGTCTGCTTGAGGTCAAAAGTTCGACATCAGCCTGGCAAACACAGCGAAACCCCATGTCTACTAAAAATCCAAAAATCAGTCAGGCATGGTGGCACATGCCTGTAGTCCCAGCTACCCAGGAAGCTGACGCATGAGTATCACTCGGGCCTGGGAGGCAGAGGTTGTGGTGAGCCAAGATCGCACCACTGCACTCCAGCCTGGGCAATAGTGTAAGACTGTCTCCAAAAAAAAAAAAAAAAAAAAAAAAAAAACTCAGTAAGAAAACAACCCAACTGAAATATGGGCAAAAGATTTGAACAGACACATCACCAAAGAAAACATAATATGGCAAATAAGCTCAGGAAAGATCTTCATCAGCATATATCATTTGGGAATTGCAAATTAAAACAATGAGATCCCACTAAATGTCTGTGGAATAGCTAAAATCCAAAGCACTGATAACAACAACTGCCGGGAAGGATGTGGAGCAAGAGGAACCCTCATTTATTGCTGGTGGCAATGCAAAATGGTACAGAAGACAATTTGGCAGTTTGTTATGGAACTACATATACCATACAACCCAGAAATCACACTTTTGGGCATTTACCCAAATGAGTTGAAAACTTATGACCACACAAAAACTTGAATAAAAATTTTAATAGAGGCTTTATTCATAACTGCCAAAACAATTATAGATCCCCATGTAAGTGATGCACATATTTATTCAGTAGGTGAATGGATCAACTGTGGTACATCCATACAATGGAATATTATTGATAATAAAAAGAAATTTGGCTATCCAACCAGGAAAAGACATGAAGGCTCCTCAAATCATATTGTTAAGTGAAAGAAGCCAACCGAAAAGGCTATATACTATATAATTCCAAATATATGACATTCTGGAAAAAGCAAAGACTATGGAGACAATAAAAAAAGTTCAGTGGTTGCAAGGGGTTCTTGGGAAGGGGGAGATGGACAAATAGGTAAAGCACAGAGGACTTTTAAGGCAGTGAAGGCATTCTGTTCTGATACTGCAATGGTAGGTACATATCATCATGCATCTGTCAAAACCCACAGACTGGATGATAGCAAAAATGAACTCTAATGTAAACTACAGACTTTAGTTAATAATAATGTATCTATATTGGCTCATCAATTGTAACTAAAGCAAGACGTTAACAGGGGAAACTCAGGGAGGAGTGTGTATGGGAACTCTGTACTTTCCACTCAATTTTTCTGTAAACCTAAAACTGCTCGAAAAAAAAAAAAAAGTCATTTAAGATAAAAGAACATACTAAAGATATACCAGCTGAGCCAGGTGCAGCAGCTCACACCTGTAATCCCAGCACTTTGGGAGGGTGAGGTAGGCGGATCACCTGAGGTCAGGAGTTCGAGACCAGCCCGGCCAACATGGTAGAAACCAGTCTCTACTAAAAATACAAAAAAATAGCTAGGTCTGGTGACGGATGCCTGTAATCCCATCTACTCGGAAGGCTGAGGCAGAACAATCACTTGAAGCTGGGAGGCAGAGGTTGCAGTGAGCAGAGATCGCGCCATTGCACTCCAGCATGGGTAACAACAGTGAAACTCCGTCTCAAAAAAAGAAAAACAGATATATCAGCTGAACTGGAGATATTATGATGTACTATTAAGCAAGAAAAGCAAGATACAGAAAATACAATCTGGTCCATTTTTATAAAAAACCAACAATTGTGCGTGTGTGTGTATGATTTTATGAATACAGAGAAAGGTTTTGGAGAATGCTTTCTCGGGTCTGAACATTGGTTAGTTGGGAAATTGGAAAAAGGATAAAAATGATTCAAAATGTACAGATCAAACTTTGAGCAAAAATACAAAGTTGGCCGGGCAGAGGGGCTCACGCCTGTAATCCCAGCACTCTGGGAGGCCAAGGCAGGTGGATCTCCTGAGGTCAGGAGTTCAAGACCAGCCTGGCCAACATGGGGAAACCCTGCTGGGCGCCTGTAATCCCAGCTACTCAAGAGGCTGAGGTATGGAGAATCGCTTGAATCCGGGAGACGGAGGGTGCAGTGAGCCGAGATCATGCCACTGCACTCCAGCCTGGCCGACAGAGCAAGACTCTGTCTCAAAAAAGTTATTATATATTATTATATTAAGTTATATTAATAATTATTTTATATATTTTATATATATAATTGAAGTTTCAGCCATAAAGGCCCTGAAGCCAGGAGGAGCTATCTCAGCACAGGCACGGTAGGAGCAGGCACTGTCAGGCAGAAGAGTTGACTCTTAGCGCCACTGGGACAAGAAACCAGAGGCTGATAGCAGGGCGACTGTGTTCCTTCCTACTTTAAAACAACACATAAAGTAAACAATACAGTCCTCACTTTAAAAACTCTATCAATTTCCTTTACCAACCATCCGGCAACAGCGGAAGCAAATGTACACGCAAAATGAAGCCCAGACTTCAGCTCTTTCATAAATCTCCTTATTCTGAAAAAATAACTGCCAGGTTGTTAATGAACAAAAATAGTTCAGGCTTGAGTTCCATCGTTACGTTAAGAGAAATCCTTTGGTTCATATCTTACACTTGGAACTTCATATCCAAATTCACATAGCTTAAGTCAGGTGTGTGTCTCCCCAAAACTACTGCAGCAAACAGCTGCATAACCCTACTCATCCAAGGTCTAAACTGCACCAGAAAATAATTCTTGCCTTTTATTCCGCACATTGAAATAATTCGACAGAGCTTGTTAGTATGAGCATAAGCCTGAAGAAAAAAAACATTTTTTAAGTTATCTAGAGTGGGCTCCTGAAACCCCTCTTACATTCTGAGGATGGGCCACCAGGTGAAGTTTCTACTCCTGGTGTCAGGTGCTTTCCCAGCAACCTGCATGGGGCTAGCAGGGACAGACTGCCTGAGTGCCCTCTGTTATCAGGACCACCTGGACACCCTGGGGCTCTGAGAAGCACTCCTTCATGCTGATGCACACATCTCGGGGTGTGAGGAATGCTGAATGGTAAGCCAGACACCCCAGGGACCAGCAGAAGTCCCTGCAGAGGGCTCACTGGTAGATGAGGTGGCTCTTTGTAAACTGCCTCTCAGGAAGAGGTAAGGCAATGGAGTTTTCAGCAATGCAATGCCTTCTCGGGGGCTCTGTGACAGCCTACCATTCCATTCTGCAAACTCTTACGCGGTTTTCAACTGCTAACAACAGTGCATTCAAAATTTTTTACTTCAGGTCTCATTTTCCCCACGTGGAAAGCTATGAATTCCCTCAAAGTATTTCATTTTCATGACTCTTCCCTTCTGGGTACAATCTGTTAAAATATCAGATCTTTTCAGCAGGCCAAAGAATAATTTGTGGCCTCATCTGAACCATGCTTTTTAATTTTACACATGACTTTTGACCTATGCAAAGTATAAAATACCTAATGGTAAACTAATTTTTTTAAATCAAAGGTAAAATACGAAAACTTTTTAAAGGAAAATTCAACACTAGTATTACTTTCCTATGGTAACATCTTTGAAAGAATTCATTTTATAAACATGCTCTGGGAAGACATCCGATGTTCCTAAATTTTGTATTTTAATGTATTTATAATCATCTAAATATACTGTCACCACATTTCTTCCTGTTTCATTATTACTAGCCTTCGCTGTATCATGATGCCAATTTAATATACTTGTTCAACAAGTTAGTGGATTAGGAATATACCCTGCTGAGAAACACTACAGATGCACTTCCATGAAAGGATACAAAATTCCTACAGAAATACAAGAAACCATGCCTTTAAAAAAAAAAAAAATGGGCAAAAGCCTATGTCCCCTTTCATAAGAGCCCGAGCTTACAGAAGAGGTACCAGCTGACCCAGAGGACACGCAGGTCTCTGGTGAAGGAAAAATCAATCATTTGGCATCATGAGTCAAAGTCATCGAGTATCTCACTGAACGGAGAGGGCATTTTGATAGGATATCCAGGAGAAAGCAGCTGGAATCTGAGAACTCTGATCATGCCAGCAGCTTCTATAACCAGGCTAGGAGTTCCGAAAACACAGCGGGGGAAATGACTACCACCAAGCACCAAATACAGGAAAGGGATTCTACCTTCATCTCCCCAAGGAGAGACACTGGAATGAAAGCACAAAACAGAGCCCCAAAGCCCTAGTTCCAGCTCCAACTCTAAGAGCAATCTAAGCTGAAACAGCCCCAAGGGGCGGCAGAGAAGTGGAAGAAGCCAAGTTTAGCCTTGAAAGCCCCAAGATGTTTTAGACAGGGCTGCAAGGAAAAAACATCCTGTGTCTCAGTCCGCCAGACTGCTATAACAATTTACCATAACCTGGCAGCTTATCAATAATAGGAGCTTCTTTCTCACAATACTGGAGACTGGAAGTCCAAGATCAAAGCGCTAGCAGGTTCAGTGTCTGGTGAGAGCCCAAATTCTGGTTCACGGACAGCGCCTTCTCACCATGTCCTCACATGGCCGAAAAGACTAGCTAGTTATCTGGGGTCTCTTTTACAAGGGCACTAATCCCACTCATGCGTGTTCCACCCTCATGACTAATCACCTCCCAAAGCCCCCACCTCCTAATCCCCCATCACCTGGGGGGGTGAGGATTTCAACATGAATTCAGTAGGGGCACATAGGCATTCAGACCATAGCAACCTGCAAGGAAGGAGCTCAGAGCAGGAGCCAGCCTCGGGGTGGAAGTGGAGATCTGAAACACTGAGGCCAGCAGCAAATTACAGCAAGTGTCCAGCATTGAAGAGTGTCATTGGACAGGTCCAAGTCGCTGCTGTTCCCTAAACAGTGAGAGAATGAAATTCAAATTTTAGGTAGATGTTGATAATGCTCTGAACAGCTCAGGCAGGGGAGAGTGAAGACAGATCAGAGACCAATGAAGAAAAGAAGTCATCGGGACTCATGGGAGGAAGGACAACTCAAATGTAGAGGTAAGGCTCAAAGATGACCCTGACTGCGGCTTCTGGGATTTGAGAGGAGAGCAGTGCCACTGAGAGAGGTTGGGAAATTAAAATATGTAGTCAATCTTTTGGAAACAAAATGCTAAGTTTGGTTTTAGATCTGAGTTCAGGCTTACAGCATCTCGTATTTGGAAACAGAAGGGCAGAACTTTCACAAGGTGAAATGTAGCTTTCAGACGAGGGTGGTTGGAAGCGTGAGAGAAGAAAGCAAAGCCATGGCCAGACTCTTACCCTTCTGACTTCTTACCTCTTTTAGCTTAAAATGTGCTAAGGAATTCCAGTGGAAATGGTGGAATTGCTACCTGATGACAACTCAGTGCCTCACTAGCAATCTCACGCAGCTAACACGATCCACTCCTATCACACGATCCACTCCTATCACATACATTTTCATCTGGCTGCAGAAATTCCATCTAGTTAATAAAGTTTTCTGATGCGATAGGAAAAACCAGTAACATAACCACAAATGTAGGCCGGAGCCCCCAAACCCCGATGCTTCCTGTACCCTTCAGTGCACTATGCTCGTCCCCATTACTCCAACAGTTATGGACTTACCGATTATGTGCCATAATACATAACATGCGTGTGTCTGTTGGCATGATACTGCTCAGAGGAACCCTGGCCTCTCAAACAACTCAACAGGTTATATGCTACAGTCTTTCAACAAGTATTTATCATCAGCTTACTGTGTTCCGGGTACAAAGAGTAAGTCAATTCCTGCCCTCAGTTCATTGTGTAGTGCTACATATCGATGAATATTGTGATGCTCTCAAACTTGGAGTTTATGATGTGAGGAAGATAAGAGCAGCATGTAGAAGATCCACAACTTTCATTCATCATGCACTGACATCCTGAAAGCATCTCTTGTAGAATTCAGTCTTCCATACATCCCCAGAGGGTTGCCGATGTCAGCTGAAACAGGAGGGCAGGGCCAGCCAGCTGCTGCTGCTGCTGCATGGGAAGGAGCCTGGCCATCTGCCAAGGAGGAACGGATGATTGATGGCACGCTGCTGGGACCCATGCAGGAGCCAGACCAAGCTTAGCAAAGAGGCTTCCACTCTGGTCCTTGCTGAGGGCCTGGCGGCCACTCACCCTCATAAGACCCATGCCCCAGGCTGATGTCTCCTCCCCCAGCCAGGCTCCCACTCCTTGCCTCAGCTGTCCTCCTTTCCTCCCTTCCCCCACCCAACGCAGGGGCTCACAATAACTCCTGAGCCTGAAGATCGCAGGCCAAGGCCCCACGTGGACTGCACTGAGCTTAATGACCTCTTCCCCACCACTGCTGCAGATGCCTAGCAAGTCTCTGCTCAGAGATTTAAAGATGAGGGGTTCCCCACCCTTCATCCTGGCCAAAGTCACAAAAATAACTCAGGGAAAAGTTCAGAGAAATCAGCCAAAATCTATCACCACTACTGGAAAAACTCGGAACATGCCCCATGGACAATGGGGCAGCTCTGTTAACTTCTCTGTATCATGATGGTCACACGAAAAGATGACATTTCTGGTCTTTGTTCTCAGGCATTAACCATATTCTTCCCAACGTTCATAAAACACTATTGACTGCACTCTTGGTGAAGTGCTGTGAGTTCTTGGTGGGCAGCACTCTTGGTGAAGTGCTGTGAGCTCACTACGTGGGGAGATGAGACAGATTGTGCGAGTTCCGTGCAATAAGACATCTAATTAGCAACGCAAGATGCCATAGAAAGGATTCATAAAGTAGTACATAGCTATTTGTCCAGTAGAGAAGAAGGAGATCACTTAGGTTGGAGAGAAAAAGGATGGGTTTCCGGGAGAAGGGGAATTAGAGCAGGGCAAATTTCAAGGATGCTTCCTTGAAGATAAGGATATATGGACAATACAGGTCTTTCCTAAGCAGGCCTTTAATAGACATTTAATGAATGACTAAGTAAAAAGATCCAAGTGTGCAATCCACGCTATGGGTATGGTCGTGTGAGCAATACAGAGGCAGAAAAGTGAAACACATTAGGCAGAAGATGGGGTTCTACAGGGACACAGTGGAGAAAAAGACTGGGAAAGCAGGTAAGGATCACATTGTGGGAGGTACAGAATACCCTCATCCCAGGGACTTCAGGGAAACACTAAACGTTCTGGAACAGGTTGTAAAATCAAAGAGCTCTGGGCAGGATGCAAAGAGGGGAAATAACAATTCTGTATCCTACAATTTAGAAATTAATCACACATTGGGGAAAACTTTTCTAAAAGGAAAACTGTTTTCTATCATTTTCTTTTAAAAATCAACGTACATCACTCACAATACAAGAAATACACATAATGCCTTCTACATAATAGTGGAAGGAATTTGTCCTCAAAGATCTGTTCTTTGTATAAATGATGCCATCACAATTGATGCTTCAATAAAAATGAATATTTATGAAATGTAAAATGACTTGGATTAACTTATTCCGATTTCACTCTCTAAATTTTGATTTTTCAATCACGCCAAAATGTAGATTTTGATTACAAAAGCAAGTTGCAGAAAAAAGATGTACTTGACAAGAAAGAGCAAAATTGAAAAAAAAAAAAACTTCAAGTAAGTATGACAAAAGATGACAGAAAGGTGGTCAATTAGACTAAAAACAGCGAGACAGATCATCTTCAAAGTGGAGTTATGTAATTCACAAATGCAGTCACATTACAAGAAGCAAGTTACAAAAAAGCATCAAAAGTCTATGTCTTCCATCCATCCTCATTACACAGCCCCCTCCTCAGCCATTAATTTCTTAGCTATCCTTTCAAAGTTTCTCTATACATATTATTTTCCCTTCTGTTCACAGAAAAGTTAGCATACTGTATATATACACTGTTGAGACCTTGCTTTTTTCACTTAATGCTACATCTTGGCAATCCCTCCATACCCATTCACACAGATGTTCCACATTCTTTTTTACAGCTGCATATCCATTGTGACAATGAACTGTAATTTATGTAACTAGCCACTACTGATAGGCACCTGGGTTGTTTCCAGTCTTGTGCTATTGCAAACAAAGCTGTAGTGAATAACCTGGTGCAGTCATCATTTGGCATGCATAGCAGTTATGTCCAGACGATAAATTCCCATAAATTGAATTCCTGGGTCAAAAGGTATATGCATTTGAATTTTTGATAGATACAACCAAATTGCCTTCCATAGGAGTTGAGCCAATTTATACTCTTGCCAGCCATGTACAAGAGTGTATTTTTCCTTAAGAATTTACCAACACAGTGTATCGTCAAAGTTCTGGATTTCTGCCAGTCTGAAACATGAAAAATGGTATTTGCATTCTCATTATAAGTGAAGTTGAGCATCTTTTTATATGCTTAAAAGCCAATTGTACTTTTCTGTAAACGGTCTGTTCATAACCTAACGTCTACCTTGCCAATGGATGTTGGTGTTTTTATTTCTAGAAGCTTCTTATATAATTAAAAAGATTGGTCCTTCACCTATGATATGAATTGCAACTATTTACCATCGTTTGTCTTTTGGCTTTGCTTATGATGATTTTTGCCATGCAGAAGAATTTTACTGTGATATGATCTAATTTATCAGTCTTTTTACTGTGATATAATCTAATTTATCAGTCTTACGTTTTCCGATTTTCAAGTCATGGTTAAGTCATGGCTTTCCTCACACCCAGATTATAAAAACATTCTGTTCTCATACTGTTTCATTTTTAACAATAACCTAAATGGAAAAAGAGTATAGGAGTTAAGGCCAGAAACTCTATAGCCAAACTGACTACGTTCATATCCCAGCTCCACTACTTATTAGCAATGTATGTTGTTTAAACTGCCTAACATCTATGGGCCTCAGTTTCCACATCTATAAGTGGTGATAACAGTTACTACTTCTTTGGGTTACCGTAAGGATTAAATGCATTAGTAAATTACTACAGTGCCTGGCATACAAGACACTTAACAAGTGTGAGCTATTATCATCATATATCTGGAATTTATTCCATCAAACACTGAAATTTATCCTGGCTTACGGTGTAGAGATCCAACCTTTTTTTCCATATGGCTACCCAGTTGTCCCAATACCATTTATTGAATATTTCACCTTTTCCCCACTGACTTGAGATACCACCTTTATCAAATGCTGCATTCCCTTATGTATTTAAGAACTTCTGATCTTTTTTCCTCTTTTGTAGTTCTCGAATTGCTTTGTCTGATCACACTGGCTGTACCTACAATGTAAAATAATAATCTATCATTCAAAGTAGGCCAATTCATGTTATAATCCAATTTAGGTGGCCTGGGAGAAATTAAACATTAAGAAGTTTAAAGGTTTGAATCTTACCTTCTTACAAAGTATAAATCAACGACTAGATCACACTTAATAAAAAGGTGGAAGTTTCCTTAATACAAAAAAGGTAGAATTTATTTTTAAAGGTGGGATTAAAACTAAGATAACACCAAAATTTTGCTAACAGTGCACACTGTAAAAGGTACTAGGCTGTTCTCACTCCTCGTCTTGGTCTGAACATCAGTGGAAATCTCAACGTTTCTTCATTAAGCCTAAAATGGGCTTTTGGGTTCAAATAGATATGCTATGTCAAGGAAATAGCCATTTATTCCTGCTCTGGAATTATCTGCTCTTTAAATATTTGGTAGATAATCTTGGTGAAACTAGACAATGCTTTGAGAGGAGGTAACTCTTTCATAGCTTTATTTCTTCTATAAAAATCAACCTGCTTAAATTTTCTACCTCTTCTGGGGTCAATCTGGATTACTTATATTTTCCTAAAAATTATCATTTTCATCAAAGTTTTAAAGTTTATTTTAAAAGAGTTCAGTAGTCTCCTAACATTCTTCAAATTATCTGTTTTTATGATCTCCTCTTCTCAGGACTTATTTTGTATATTTGTACTTTCATCTTTTTCTTGAGACTACCTCATTGTTTACAAATGTCATTAGTGTAGTTCAATTTTTTTTCAAAGAGCCACCTTTTGGATTAATACATTGTTCTACTGTTTTTTTCTATTTAAAGTTCTTAAAAGAGAATACCTTCTGATGGTGCTCTACATCTGTTTTTAACATGTTAGTGCCCAAAAAAAGCACTGTAACAAAAAAATACAATGAACACTAAGAATGTAAACGCAAGAAAGCCAAGATAGAATCAAACTTGTCAAAGTTATTTTAAAGGACAGCTCCAAATCCCAAACACCTGATCCCACTGATACTCTATAAAAAGGTAAGATTCATTCCCAAACACAGATTAGCAATGTTTCCAATACGCAAAAACAAGTTCCACATGAAAGACGGCCTTTGTGTTAGTCTGTTTTCACACTGCTATAAAGAACTACCTGAGACAAGGTAACTTATAAAGAAGAGAGGTTTAATTAGCTCACAGTTTCACAGCCTGTACAGAAAGCATGGCCAGGGAGGCCTCAGGAAACTTACAATCATGGCAGAAGAGGAAGCTGGCACATCTCCACACAAAGGAGCAGGAGAGAACGAGAGAGCGCAAAGGGGCAAGCTACACACTTTTAAATAATCAGATCTCGTGAGAATTCATTCACTCTCACGAGAACAGCAAGGGGAAAGTCCACCCCCCGCATGTTTCAATCACCTCTCACCAGGCCCCTCCTCCAACAGGTGGGAATTACAATTCGAAATGAGATTTACGTGAGGACACAAAACCAAACCATATTGGACTTTTACAATAATTACAATAATTCACCGGAAATAAGATCAGTTCTGACTGTAAGGAACCCACATCTTAACAAAATGGAAGGCACTCTGAGGTTTTAATTATGAGCCTTCTACCTGCAGCCTATTTTGAACAATACAATACCAATACACTTCAACAAGTATGAATTCCCCTTGTCCCTCATTCCCAAGTTCTCAGAGTATTGCTTGGTGGTCAGGCACTGAAGCACAATGAGACCATCTCCACATACAGGGCAAGACACATTGCCGTGTGCCCTACCAGCCAGCCAGCACTGCCCAGATGCCCCCTAACCTGAACACAGCAGGCTGCAAATGAGGCAGTCCAGGGCAGGTTCAGTTTTCACCACTCACCCAAGTAGGCCTGTTCATGTTTTCATCCATTTTAGGTAGCCTGGGATAAATTAAACACTGAAAAACTTTGAAGGTTTGACTCTTTCCTTCTTGCAAGGTGGAAATCTTGGTCACAGTGTGTAAAAGGGTGGAATTGTCCTTAAGAATATAAAAATGGTAGGATGAACGCTAAGATGGTAATCCTTAACACCTCAAGTATTTGGTAATGGTACACACCTGATACTAGGCTTATCTAAACGCACTAAAGAAACAGGCCTTCTGCAGTCAAAAGGTGATGCTTTTGTCACGCAACTTTTGAGGGTCAGGGTACAAATAAGAACAGACATGGATGGAGGTAATATAGAGAAGGGAGGAGTTGTTAAACAGGATCCAAGTTGCAGTGGAGGTGAATTCCACATTCAGAACAATACTAAATCCTTAAGTTTCAAGTTTACAGCTACTGAAACCCACTGAAGAGGTAACACTGCCCATTTCTGGAGCCAGTCAGGGCTTTCAGCAACCTCTCAAGGCTCAGAAGTGGAGACTGGAACGTCCACAATCTAAATTTCACACACTTTTTGTGGAAAAAGTTACAATAGATGAACAATAAGGACATATGCATTGTAGGCTTGGCCCTACACCAAAAAAAAAAAAAAAAAGTTTACTGGCCCAGATACAGAGATGTGTTGGTGTACCAAAAACACTCACAGCTATATGGAGACAGCAGAGCCTGGAAAAGAACCAGGTCCTGAGGTTTTGCAGTTAAAAGTTATGATGGGGATAAGAAAAAAATTGTTGGCTCATTTCTGAAATGTTTGCTCATCTTTTACCAAAAATGTCATTTACATATTAGGAAACTGATTGGGAAGACTTTGGTTAAGATAAAGCCAAAGTAAATTTTGGTCCATCTTGACCTTGAACCAGTTTGGAAATCTGAACAAGAGTTTTTGGATTATTTGGGGTTTTTTTTTTTTTTTTTTTTTTTGGTGTATGGGAGGGCATAGCAAAGACACGGCAGTGTGTGAACGGGAAGTATAGCACAAGCTGAGGAAGTCTGGCATTTGAAAAGTATCGCCTTTAAACATGCACGTATAAATTCCTGCCTGTAAAAGAAAGAAAAAATTTTAAGATGCATTTATAAGTTTTAGATAATCTGGTTATATTTTATAAATCTATATATAAGTATAGATGTTTACTAATCTAGATTTGTTTCAAAACTCAATCTCTGCATTTGAATCAAAAATAAACTTTTACGGCTGAGTAGCAGGTGAAATGATGGGGAAACCAGGAAACAGAAACTGCTAATTCGATTAATAATAAGCCAGTCACACGATTTCTAAACTGCCTCTAATCCAAAAAACCTCTACCTTTTCTAATCTCATACTGATTATTCTACGAGATGACAAACTCTCAATATGACCTCCTCCTATCCTCAACAATTCTTGAAGGAAAAGAAAAAGAAACTTCTAAGGAAATTTTTTAAATGCTGAATTTCTCTGGCATTGAGCCATGTGTAGATTAAACATCACTTAATCCTCCAACAGCTCTAAGGCAGTGGTTTACAAGCTACAGCGTACATTACAATCACCTGGAGGACTTGTTTTAGAGATTGTTGGGCTCCACCCCCAGAGTCTCCGATTCAGTAATGGGGGAACGCCCACCCAGGTGGTGATGCTGCTGCTGCTGCGGCAGGTGGGGGCACTCTGAGAAGCGCTGCACTAAGGTAATATTAACGTGTGGCCCTCGTTCTGGGAAACGCGTGCTGTCTGCAGCAGAAATTGCCAAGATTTTGAAAACTTTTATAGCAGTTTACCATTACATGGCATCGAAGCACGTGAACATTTTTCTAGTATTTCACCCTTATTGTATTTTCCCAAAGTACTGATGTGAGAACGACTAGAAAGTTGTCCAAGTTTGTGGAGCATCGCTTTAAGCTGACCCAGCATACGGCAGCCCCTGCCCCTGGGGACAGCGGGGCCGACCTAGGGCACGAGGGGTGACTAGGGGTGACTCAGCCAGAACACTGGCCTGAGACGCAGTTCCACACTTAAGGTTTTCATCGTCTCGTCTCATTCCGGCATTTCCCGGGACAACACTCGCACCAGCCCCGCTGCAGGTGCCCTGGGTCCCGGCGGCCGGCGCAGAGGAGACAAGAAAGGAGGGCGCAGGCACAGCGCCGCGGGCGCCCGCGAGCAAGGCCAGACCCCAGCGGCACATTTCCTGCCCAAAACTTGGGGCCGCGACGGTATGCACTCCGGGTAAGTGAGACCGATGCACTAGATTCCTTCAGAATGCCCAGTTTGGCTCCAGAAGATGACGAGCCAAACAAAGACAAAGGGACGTCAGTGGACCCCAGCGTCTCCCCGGCCACTGCCGGCGCCCCTTCGCGCCTGCGCAGACCCCCACCCCGCGACCCGCCCGAGGCCAGCCCACGGCTTCCTTCCGGGCAGCGGGCGCGCTGCCGCCGGGCAAAGGCGCGCATGCGCAGCGTCGCCGCCCGCGCCTTCCGTGTGGCCAGTGCTTACCCGCTACAGGGGTCTGTTCCTTCCGGCCCGGCAAGGCCTCCTGGGGGCTGACGATGTTCGAGGCCGAGTTGCCCATCCTCGGGACGGGAAAGAGGCTGTGGAGGAGGAGGAGCTGGCAAGCCCTCCGGGTGGCCGAGAGCATGGGAGGGCGCCAGCCGAAGGGTGGTCCCGGGGGACGGCGCTACCGGCAGCGGAGCCGCAGCCGGAACGGCAGAGAGTGGGGTCCGCGGCCGGAACCGGGGGGCGGCAGGGGCGCGGGCGGGCGGGCGCGGGGCGCTGCTGGCGGGGCTGGAGGCCGCCCGTAATCGAGGTTGCCCAAACCCGGGGCCGTACCGGCTGTCACCGGGGGCGTGTTCCTTCCCTGGACAGGGGGTGTGGCCCGGCGAGTTCCTGAGGTTCTCTCGGGACGAAGTTCTCGGACAGAGAACAAGTGCGCTCCTGTCGTACGAAGTACGTGAAGCTGCAGAGGCCAAAAAACACGCCGAGCCCTTGGGGATGCGGTTTGATTTTAAAGTTGCTGCCGTGTCGCCCCGACTTCGCAGTTTAGCAGTGCCCAGTAAGATAGAAGAGGACCTGCCTTGCAGCCAGCTAGACTGTCAGTTTTTATTGGAGACATTGTCATGACGGCCATCAGAAGGGTTGCTATTCGTCCAAAGTGAAAACTAAGCACAGTTCTCAAAATGCGCGGAATAGGGAAGATGAATTCAATATTAAGTTATGTATTTACAAACATATTTAAGCCCATTTTGCAGCGGCCAAAATACGGGAGCAAGGCACCAACAGCACCATTAAGGCAGTGTAGGTGGACTTAATGGTGGTGTTGTATTATTCTTGTTTCTCAAATCATAGGAGATGACATTTGTTCCTGTGACATTCTCAAACTAAATGTAAAGTGGTTGGAGCGAGGTGAGTGACTTGGGAGTTCATCTGTGTGAGATTTTGGCTTAACACATGTTCTGCCAAAATGGGCAGGTCGTCTCAGATGAGGGAGGGAACTTCAGATTAGCACCCACAGAAAGGAGGCTTTCACCCAGCTTCTTGCATGGATTTAGTTACCACTTTGTTTTCATGTGGTCTGGACTGTAAGGAGGGCAGGAGGCTTAGCAGTGCTATAGTGTAGAATGAGGTGTGTTGCCAGGCATACAACACTAAAAAGGCTCTAGCTTTGATTTTGTAATTTGTATTTCCCCTGGACAAAATGATACCTAAACTGTTTGTTATTGCTATGAGGCTATACCAAGTCGGTTCCACAGGCCTTTCATGAAAACACCCCCAGGAGTCCCTTCTAGGCTTGCGAAGGCCTGGTCACTATTAAGGGTCTGAAAAAATAGTCATTCTGTCAAAGACAATATTTTGTGTTTTTCAGTTACTTCTTTTTGATACATACTGATTTGTCTGTGTTTTGTGGTTGATTGTATGAAGTTTCACATGCTAGAAATACTCTGCAACTAAGAGCTGAAGAATGTTTAGTGTGAAGAAATAACTTACTTGGCATGATGGCTCACTCCTGTAATCCCAACACTTTGAGAGGCTGAGGCAGGAGGATTGCTGGAGGCCAGGAGTTTGAGACGCCATCTTTACCAAAAAAAAAAAAAAAAAAGGTATTTAAGTAGTTGGGCATGGTGGTGTGGTAGCGCACACCTGTGGTCCCAACTACTTGGGAGGCTGCACCAGGAGGAACGCTGGAGCCAGAGAGGTAGAGGCTGCAGTGAGCTATGATCACACTGCTGTGCTCCAGCCCGGGCAACAGAGCAAGACCTTGTCTCAAAAAAAAAAAATTAATTTTGATGTTAAATGAAAAAGTAAAACAAATGCAGTGTGCGTGTATACATGTAGTATATATGAAAATGCATGTACTCCCAGTTGCACAGCCACTGAACAATTCGAAAAAAATGCAATTTTTTTTGTTCAGAATAGTGGGATTCTACTGCTTTTCATTGTCTTTAAACTGTTTTAAGTGTTCTGTATTGTTACAACGTTCTCGAGTATTCCAATGGCTGTTACTTTTATAATTATAAAAGAATAAGCATTTTTAAAGAACAGATATATCTTATTTCAAAAACAAGGGTTTTTCGTTTACCAGAATAGCTGCAAGAAAAGTTATATTAGTTTCTTTGGTGTTTTGAGGAAAGAATTGAACATTTTTGCCTTCAGTGGTGCCTTTTTCACCACTAGGACTTCCTTTTCTTCAGACATTCCCCCTAATCCAGCGGTCCCCCACCTTTTTGGCACCGTGGACGAGTTTCGTGGAAGACAGTTTTTTTCCACAGATGGGGAAGGGGAGATGGGGGATGGTTTCGGGGTGAAACTGTTCCACCTCAGATCATCAGGCATTAGTTAGCTTCTCATGAGGTGTGTGCAGCCTAGATCCCTCACATGCACAGTTCACGATAGGGTTTGTCCTCTGATGAGAATCTAATGTCGCTGTTGATCTGACAGCCACATCTAACTTGGGAAGGTGGGAGATGAGGTTCTCTTGCGGAGTGACTATAGATACAACTAATACTTGGATATTTGGCAGTTCTAATAATAAAACAGGAATGTTCTTTGGACAACTGTGACACAATCTACTCCTCTGGCCCCTCAAATATCCATGGATACCCTTGTGACACATAGAACACACCCTGTTTGAAGAGAGAAAACCCAGCATTCTAAGCAGTTACTGCATCCAGCTCAGCGTCCATGATCTAAAGATGTAACAGTCCCTTACAAGTCTGATATAACTCCTCATGGTCCAATGACCTACAGAGTAAATTATGTTATTTATTCCCCTTTCTCTTCCCCACACAGCCAGTATGCAGTGGTGAAGTAGGGCACGAAAACTAATTTGGAAGAAGAGTGAGGACAAAATAGTAGTTCTTTGTCTAAGCGAATGTGAAGAGCAGATTAGACTACAAAGGTAATGAAGTAAATTCTTGGTTAGACCCCAGTTCTGTTTTCCAGGAGGAACTCTGGTTTGTTGCATCCAAAGGTACTGTCTTTACCCATTGGGAGGTTCTTACCCATGATCTATGATTCCATCTGAAGGGCATGCTAAAGAGTGTGCTCCATGAGAGGCTACACATCTTTTTATATCCAGTTTCTTACTGGTGCGCTTTTGAGGGACTGTGGGTTACTTTAGTAGGGTCAGATAGACACAGGCATTGGCAAGCTAGGCTTAATAGCTTCTTTGTCAATTCAATTTTTAAAAGATACCGAATGGATTTCTTATCTGTTTGTTCCTTGTATAGTTCCTTTTACAAATAACCACAGATAGAGATCTCAATTAGTCATATTTCTTATGCCTAACTACTCTTCATTTTTATTTACGAGACTCTCTCATATCTCCTGTACCTACTAACTTAGTGGCTATATGCTTGCACCCAGCAAAAACAGCAGTCATGGTTAGGAAGGCAGTGCCCTTAATATGACCTCTATTGCTTGTCTGGGTTCCACTGTCCAGCAGAGAACACTTTGCTGATGGCCTTTGAGAAGTGCCTTGGGTCACAGTTTTATCTTACACTGTCAGAAGTGTAATAGCTTTTGGCTTTATCAGAACTAGAAGGCTTGAAATCACCACTCAGTCAATTTGTATTGCAGACTACAGGCAGAGAACTCCATCTTAGTATGACTTTATTTCCTTCCAGCTCTGTTAACAAAATGACTAGTTTTTACCTGAGTTCATCTTTCTCAAAGTACTTTGCTAAAGAGACAGGAAGAAGGCAGTACTGTCTCACTGACCCAGAGATTCACTCCCAACCATTTTCCCTGCTACTACAGATTCAAAGAGCAGGTAGTCTGCCTGCTAAGGTACTGAGTTGACAATTTTATCAAATGTCTTGTGGCGGGGGAAAAAAAAAAGGAGGGGCTTGGTCACCAGCTTTTCACCTGTAATACCTGTGCTGCCTGTCAGTTAATTAATACCACATAATTTAGGTTAATGTCATGGTCTCTACAGAAAATCTGGAGCTAATACTGGTTTAGCAACATTGCAGCTACAAAATCTATATGCAAAAATCGTATTTCTATAAGACAAAATAATGGAAATCAAAATTTTAAAAATACTACTTATTTATTAACATCAAAAATATTTAAAATTTGTATCTGACTGAAGATATGTTAGACCTGCACATCAAAACCGCAAAACATTGCTAAGAGAAATGTAAAAGACCTAAATAAATGTGGAGCTATACCATGTAGGTGGATCCGAAGCCTCAGTATTGTTAAATGCCAGTGCTCTCCAAAATGACCTATAGATTCAACACTGTCTCAATGAAAATTCCAGCAGGTTTTTTAGTAGAAATTGGCAAGCTTATTCTAAAACTCAGATGCAAATGCAGAGGACCTACTACAGCCAAAAACTGAGAAGTCCAGTTCCAGTCCAAAATCACGGCTGACCATGGCAATTGTAAAGGCTTTGCCTAGCAGACCTTAGAGGGGAAAGCTGCCCTACTCACACCAGATGTAGAGCACAGGCAGTGAACTGCAGTCTCTGAAGGAAGTTGCAGTCAAGGACTCAGGCCTTACCCCAGGCCAGCCATGCTTATCATTATATCTGCATTTTGAGCCCAGAAACCTTCATTTGGAGGCCTCTGTATTGGGGGACAGGGTGCAGGAGAGTTGTTAAGACATTTCTCCACTTTGAGTCAGTACTCATAGGTCTTCCCATCCTCCCTCCCTCCACCTCCATAGGACAGCAGGAGGCTACCTGAGTTCAAGATTTGCTATAAAGCTATGATATCCAGGAAAGTGTGGTGTTGACCACAAGAGACATAGGTTAATGGAACAAAACAGTTAAAAAAAAAAAAAAAAAAAACCTTGCACACACATGGTCAGTTTATTTTCAACCAAGGTGCAAAGGCAGTTCAGTGGCTTCTAAACTTCAAAACTCTTCTGTTGTTTCTAAACTGCCCAGTCTGTGGGACTCTTTTATAGCAGCCTGATAGACTGAGACAGTGAGAAATGGAGCTTTTATTGTGTGTAAGCCACTAGGGTTTTGAGTGGCTCAATGGTTCTTAGACATCGGCATACACCAGAATCACATGGAGGGTTTATTAAAACAGATTGCCTGGTCCCATCCTAGAGTTTCTGATCAAGTAGTTTGAGTTAGCCCTGAAACTTTGCATTTCTGACAAATTCCTAGGTGATGCTGACGCTGCTGGTCCAGGCAGCAAACTTTGAGATTTATTGTTCTGGTGGAACCCACACCCAATATCCTGGCCCTCAATAAACATGCCTCTAGAGCCCCAGAATCTGTGATTGTTCTCAGCTGCCTTCACCCATTCCGGATTGCACACTGAATCCAAAACTAAAACTTAGCTCAGTGTTGAAGCTATCATTGCTGAATATAAAGAAGTTTGGAACATAACCAGAAACCATGGGAAGAGCTAGGAAATACAGGATATTCAACAGCACCTGATAGAATCTGTTGGACCCTCAAAATCTAAATTCTAGAACCTGAATAAAAACTTCTCTTTGCGATAGTCTATGATTTTCAGAAATTACAACTAAAACCTTTAACATTTTTTTTTGAAATCTACATCACATTAAGCTCTGATTATTATTATTTTTTTTTTAGTCATTGCTCTTCATAGACCAACCATGTTACTGAATCAGATCAAAAGCTGTGGAGAGGGTAAAGCACAAAACAAAAACCCTCACAGGGGAATCTTAACATTTTGAGGGGTAGCAGTGCTCCGCAGTCAGTACACACAGGAGGTGACAAGCAGACTATCTGGAAACCAAAAAATATCAAAGATGCTGTAGGAGAATGTACAGGAAAACTTTCAAGTGTATAAGTTGAAAATGATGCAGAAATGTAGAGGCTATATGACATGTCTTTGCATATTTAGTACCATTAATTGAAAATTTAGCACATTCCAAGAGAACGTGTTCTTAATCAAACTTCAAAACTGACCCATCAAAGTCAATAGGGCAAAGCACCAAATACCTGTGGATGTACTCCTGGGAACTAAAACCAAAATACTTTTGGAGGTTGCAAAGCTGCTGTACTGTGCCAATGTCCTTTCTTATACATGTACATATGTGATGACGGCTTGAGTCAGCTGCAGGGCAGGGGGCTCAATGAGAGCTTTGTAAAGACAGCTCTTCACTTCAGCTCATTAGCTTTGGTAATAGGCAAGTTTGTTTCCCATTATAATTTGATCATTCTTGTGATTAATTCAATGCCAGTTCTTAAAGAACTCTTTTATTTCTGTATATGAAGCTGATGTTTACCTTGGAAATGTTGCAAAATACATATAAGAAAGAAATAAAATATATTTTGAAAATTAGAAAAAAAAAGCCCAAGTCCTTTGGAAGTGTCCAGTGAGAGACAGCTCTGCACTTGTTTCTTGTGTGCCTGGTGAGCTTGCCTCAGCTGTCACCAGTGTCCCTGCACTGCCCCCATCAGAGCACCTGGCACTGCTGACTCCATGCTGTGGCCATTCCCTGGGGTTCAGGGTCCCCCTGCTTTAATCAGACTCCCCCACAGGTAGCCTGGTGCATTTTCTCTCTGAGCGTCTCCCCCCGCCCCAAGGAATTCAGGATCACAACCCCCAGACTGGGTGAGAAAATAATTTAGGGACAGGGTTCAGCACTGCACAGACTGGCATAGAGGTAGTAGTAAGTACTTAATTCCTTTTTCACTCCCTTGCCTACTACTAATGACTCCCCAGTACCCCAATCAATACTCTTTCAGCACTTCCCTGCTGTTTGGTGAGTACCCTGCCCACCTCAGAAGATGGGGCAGCCCTTGACAACCTTCCTCACCCTTGTTAGAGAGGGTGTCTCTTTCTCTGTCTTCCTCCACCGCAGGCCGGATTAGACTCCCCCAATAAATGACTTCCTATCACCATGCATTTTTCCTTCAGAGCTCTCATCAGAAACATCACTGGGGGGCCAGGCGCGGTGGCTCACACCTGTAATCCCAACACTTTGGGAGGCCGAGGCAGGTGGATCACAAGGTCAAGAGATAGAGACCATGCTGGCCAACATGGTGAAATCCCGTCTCTACTAAAAATACAAAAACTAGCTGGGTGTGGTGGTGTGCACCTGTGGTCCCAGCTACTTGGAAGGCTGAGGCAGGAGAATCGCTTGAACCCAGGAGGCGGAGGTTGCAGTGAGCCAAGATTGTGCCACTGCACTCCAGCCTGGCAACAGAGTAAGACTCGGTCTCAAAAAAAAAGGAAAAAGAAAAAAGAAACATCACTGGGGGTAATAATATCAGCACCAACCTCACAGGTTTTTTCTTTTTGTTTTTTTATTGGCGAGGATTAAATAACATGGGGTAAGTGCCTAGAATAGTGCTGGACACATAGGAAGCCCTCAGTGCATGTTAGCTAGGATTATAATACACAATTATTTGTGTGATTGTTTGAAATCGATCTCCTCCTCTGGACAGTAAGCTCCATGCCAGAAGGAATTGTGTCCATATTTTGCTTATTATTATATCCCAATAGTAAGCTTTCATTCACTGCTGGCTGAGTGGGTGCATGAATCACTAAAGGCCCTAAGTCTTCCTCATCCATTCTCCAGGATGTCTAGTGGCCTCTATGCAAATTGGGTTCCTAGTCTCTTATTCTGTTATCTAAGTGTTCTCTGATTAGTATATGAACTAAACTCCTTCATACATACACACCTTTCAGACTTACATCACAGAGACCTCCCCCCTGTACACCCCCACAAAGGACACAGGTAGAATTTAGTTTTGTAAATACTGTTATTTGTCAACCTTATCTTTTCTAACTACTTACTAAACATTTATGACCGTGAAACATGGTAATCCAAGTGAATACACTTAACATACTGCCTAATAACAGTTATGGTGATGATGATTGTCTTTATTATAAAGACATGACAAGCCAAGAGCACTGGACTTCCATTGTAGGACATAAAAAACATTTGTTGAGTAAATGAACAAATGGGGAGGTGAATGAGTATCCAAGAGGTGGCCTGGATTGTAATCTAGTTTTAGATTAACCAGTTCTGTGACCTTTGACAAGTTATTTTGTGTCTCTTTATTTTTCTCTTCTGTGAAATTCAGGGGGCAGCGCGGAAAAAATCAGAAATTCTCTAAATTCCTTGGTTCACCAGCTATTTTATTTTATTTTATTTTATTTTATTTTATTTTATTTTATTTTATTTTATTTTATTTTATCTTAGAGAAAGAGTCTCACTACATTGCCCAGGCTGGTCTCAAACTCCAGGCCTCAAGAAACCCTACGGCCTTGGCCTCCCAAAGTGCTGACATTTCAGATATGGGCTACCGTGCCTGGCGTGAATCACCAACTTTTTAAGCTGAGAGGGCATTTGGTAGATCTGTCAGTTAATAGGTTGTTCATCAACTTCACCCAGAGTCTAAAGGTGTATTGCAAAGTCATCCAGCTTTGATAAATTAGACTGATTCTTAATGCAGAAAACGATACCCCTAGGCACATAGTAGACTCTCAGTAAGTTGTGGGTTGAATGAATGAAGCAGTGAATCGTATGGGATTATCTCATTTAAAACTGCTTTATGTTGATTCGTTTAAAACTTAATTATCAGATAACTTATTTCACTGATATTTATCAATGATAATTCTGTTAACTACCTGTACGAAAATAACTCAGTCCCTTAATCTTATCTTTCTTGGGGACATGTTTGCCTCCAGAGTACATGGACAGTAGACTTTTTTCCTTCAACATGTAACTTTAACAAAATGCAGTTATTTTAGGTCTTATTAAGTGTGCATGCACACACGTGTGTGTGTGTGTGTGTGTGTGTAAAAGAGAATAGAAAAAGCCTGAAAGAATATATCCAGGCTGTTAACAGCAGTTGTCTCTGATGGTAGAAATATAGATAACTTTCACTTTTTTCTTAATTTTTTCTTTTATAATCATTTATTTTTCAATTCAGAAAAAAATAATAGTTTCATAATTCACTTATGAAATAGCCTGGACTCAGGACATATAAGCCAGCTAATTAAATTTTTTGCTTTCTAATTTTAAAAATAGTATCATTCTTTGAGAACACTAAGTATAAAGAGGAAAACATCAACGACCTTCTATTGCAGTAGATCAGATCTCCCGTCCCACCCCTTCCAGATGTATGGAGGGTACCCCTAGCTTCCTGCTCATTTCCAGGGATGAAAAGCACGGTCCAGTTTGGTCTATACTTAGAGACTTCACTCGGGTCTACTTTAATACTCACTCCGTTCCCCACTCCCAGCCCAGCATGGATCCCGCTTCCCTCCTGAAAGACACAAATTGGGAGGAGATCTACTTTTCCTTCTTTCTTCTCCCTGGGATTAAGCTCTTTTAGGATTGCAGCCTGGGAAGGGGGATGGAAGAAATGGAACAGGCCTTTCCTTAACCGGCCTGCCAGCGTGCTTCCTTGTGCGTTGCTCTGCTGGCTTCTCAGGTTCACAGCCACTGGCATGGGAGCCCTGCATATGGGGTGTGTGAACCCTCAAGCGAGCCTCCCCATGCATGGCACCTTGACATGGGACCTCCACCACCAGGAAACCTCCTCCAAAGGTTCTGCAGCTTCTGCTCCAGAGGCACAGTCCACAGTGTCTGGCTGCTCAGAACCCCTTGCCCCAGGAATCCTGAGCTCATGAGCATTACAGAGGCAAGGTAAATTGAGCTAAGCTACTGTAGCTTCCAGTCCTTTAGTTCCAGGGGAGCTTATACCTGCTCACCTTGCCAAGCAGTGGGACCACTCCTCCTTCGTCTCCATTCTCCTTTTCCCTGCTAAGAAAAGCACAGAGCAGACCTACAGGGTACGGGGTTTCAGTAGAAATTTCCGTGGGGAATAATGCTGATTCCTCATTCTTGCAGACCTACCCCATCTGTGGGCAATTCTAGGCCCTTTAGCTTTGGAGGAGTGGGCAGACCATTTGAGATTCCAATGCATCTCCTGCTCCCCAGCCATCAGCCTTTTCCTTATACACACTGGAGAGATTTGACTTCTTGATAGACTCTGAGCAGTTAGACCCCAGTTGTTTGAAGATCTCTTTTGACTTGAGGTAGCTGATGTCTCTCTGCCCTAAGCTTTGGGTCCTTTTTGCCAACTTTAGGGAAACAGGTGAAATTTCCCTCAACCTAGTTATATAAATATCATTCAGATTGATGGGCAACAAAATTAAAGCAAATAATCCAGCTAAGCGTGGTGACTCATGCCTGTAATGCAATGATTTGGGAAGCTGAGATGGGAGGATTGCTTGAGGCCAGGAGTTCAAGATCAACCAGGGCAACATAGCAAGATTCCACCTCTACAAAAAATAAAGTTGGCCAGGCATGGTGGTGCACACCTGTAGTCCCAGCTACTCAGGAGGCTGAGGTGGGATGGTTGCTTGAGCCAGAAGTTTGAGGCTACAGTGAGCCATGATTGTGCCACTGCATGCCAGCCTAGGCAACAAAGCGAAACCCTTGTCTCTAAAAAAAAAAAAAAAAAAAAAACCCAAAATGTCAGCAGTGGTTATCTAATGAGATTGAGAGTAATTTTTATTTTTCCCATTTTTTTTTTACTTTCAAATTTTCTCTTTTTTAAAATTATTTATATATAATAGTTCTACATATTTTGGGGGTACATGTGTATTTTGATACTTGTATACAATCAAATCGGGGTATTACTTTGTAATAATCAAATCAGGGCAATTGGGCTATCTATCACCTCAGACATTTTTCTTTGTGTTGGAAATGTTAAAATTATTCTCTTCTATTTTAAAATATATTCTAAAATTTTCTAGAGTGAACATGTAATCAAAAAGTAAACAATTTTTTTTTTTGAGACAAAATCTTGCTCTGTTGTGCAGACTGAACTGCATTGATCCAGTTTCAGCTTATTGCAATCTCTGCCTCCAGGACTCAAGTGATCCTCCCACCTCATCTCCCCGAGTAGCTGAGACTACAAGTGTGTGCCACCATGCCCAGATAATTTTATTTTTTGTAGAGATGAGGGTCTCACTATGTTGTCCAGGCTGGTCTCAAACTCCTGGGGTCAAGCGATCCTCCCCCCTCAGCCTCCCAAAGTGCTGGGATTATAGGCATGAGCCACAGTGCCCAGATGTAAACAGTTTTATTTAACAAAAAATAATTAGTGTACACATGAGCTGTAGGTTGGTAAAAAGAAAAAACAATTAGGCTATGTTAACCTGTACAACTTTTTAATTATAATCTCAAATACTGGGTTACTCCATTAAGCTAGATTTTGTCTCCTTTAATTTATTCATGCCTCGAAAAGAAAGATAAAATTTCTGCTTTATCAAAGAAAACTTTCTTTTTACACCTTCAGAAGAAATTAGTGCTTTTAAAAGTTAATTATCCAATTTTAGTTTATGTTGAAAAGAGGGCTGGTACTCTATTGAGTTTCTTTTCTTAAATTCTCATTAGCAAATAAATATTTTTGAATTGCTAGCTAGTAATTATAAAATGTGTTATGCCCTCCACATTGTGGAGGAAGCTTTTCTGCATTCATTTATACTGACTTTAACTTGTTTTTTTGTTTGTTTGTTTGGTTTTGTTGTTGTTGTTGTTGTTGTTTTTTGGAGATGGAGTCTGGCTCTGTAGCCCAGGCTAGACTGCAGTGGTATGATCCCACCTGTCTGCAACCTCCACCTTCTGGGATCAAGCAATTCTCCTGCCTCAGCCCGGCAAGTAGCTGGGATTACAGGCACGTGCCACCATGCCCGGCTAATTTTTGTATTTTTAGTAGAGATGGGGTTTCACCATTTTGGTCAGGCTGGTCTCGAACTCCTGACCTCAAGTGATCCGCCCGCCTCAGCCTCCCAAAGTGCTGGGCCTACAGGTATGAGCTACCATGCCCAGCCTACTTTAATCTTTATTCAGAGGTTTCTGATATTGAATATTTCTAAAGGCCTCTTTAGTATATATTTTTTAAAGCAAGCACTACAGCTTGACTTAATTTTTTAACTTACTAAAAAGGCTAACAAGGTTTGCTACCTCAGTATTAACAGAATTCAAAATCAGAATCTCTAAATCATGGCTCTATCTTTGAGCTAGGGTACCCACCCCTAGTATATGTGTCAAATAAATGAGTGCAAATACCTTTAACTAGGTTTACATTTCACTCTTTACATTCCAAAATAATAAACATAGGCATATTCCAAAAATTTCTCCCAGTACAGAGCATCTAGAGTAAAAAAACAAAAGAGCCACTTGAATATATCCTGCCAGTGGGGTATATCATTCACATCTTTTTCTACATAGCTTTATTTTTAAATCACCTCATTAAAACTTTCAAATCTAATCTGATAATTTCGACTCTGGTTTTCATGTGTAAATGCCATCTAAAATACATTTTGATTCATAAACACTATAGCTGTTTAGGTTTGCTTTGTTTTATTTCACCTTTTACCCGTTCTGCCTGCAGATAATATGCAGACATTTTCTAGGTCACAATTATTTTTTCATCAGAACTTCTCCTTGAAATGGTAACCAGCGCCAGTGCACACAAAGAGGAAACAAATTCATCTTTACTTCCAGGCTACCATACGTTTTTCTGTGCTTAGTAAGCTGTGTTTCGTGCCTCATATGCTTCTGTAAGCCTCTCATAAGGTTTAATTTAACTCAATAAATATTTGTGGAATTGAATTGAATTTCAGTAATTATTCCATAATCTTAAAGCATGTAGATACGGGAAGGTAGAAGGATAATACACCGTTTAGTGTTTGCCCTTTGAAGGTTGCCAAACCTCTACAAGCCTATTGCTGAAGTCAGGTGATACTGATAAGTGGGTTTTGTTAGTTATGTGGGGCTCACTAGAGAGGCGTTTAGTTCCTTTCCAATCACTGCTTTTTTTGGTCCCAGATTTCCAAGCTAAAAACCTCAATTGGAAATAAATTCATTTCCTTAAGCCATCTGGTGGCTTTTACTTGTAACTACAACATCGACTAGTGGCCAATCATAGAATTATCATATATGCCGAATACACGTGGGTTCTGTCATTTTCTCACCGTGTCTCCTACAAGATGTGTTGCGATGAAGTGATACCCAAGTAATGTGTAGATATTAGAAATCCAAGAGAAATCTTTATGGTTCTAACCTCGGGGCTACTTTAATATCAAGAGCAACATAGTAAAGGCTGTCGATGGTGGGGTAAGAAAAATCACATTAATTTATTATAATTATAAAATACAATTCTTGTTAAACATCCTTTAACATGCCAGGCAGTGTACCTAGATTTGGGGGCTATAAAAATTAATATGCAAGAGCCCGTGTTCTCAGGGAATACCGGCAAAATGATAACAGGGTAAGTATTATAATAGACCTGTCAAGGCAGAGATGGGGAAACCCTTGACTTTTACCCCAGATTGAAAACCAGAGAATGGCCACTAGTTCCCAGTGAGGTTTGCAACATACCCAAAAATAAAGTCAAAACTCTTTTTTGGAATCAGCTCACATGATGATGCAGCTGTAAGTGGTAGGTAAGTCGGTATCCTACCTTCTGCAAAAGCCAGGAATAGTCACATCTTTGTGTGATGCATAATCCTCAAGGTCATGTTACTCCAAGTTGGATCACAGCTGGGGAACCGGGGGCCCCAAGGTCAGTAGAGAAGCTCCCAGGTGCCTATCCAGCTTAGCCAAAGGTTACCTCCAGCCTGGCTGTTGGAGGAAGTAGTACAGCAAAGAGAATAAAGAGCCTGCTTGCTTGCCTGGCTGCACATGTGCCCATTCTACATCTACCAGCACGCTGAATGACAAAGTGTTAGTAGACAAAGAGAAGGAAGAGTGCATTTTGTCTTGGAAGGGCAGAGAAGGCTCCTGAGAGGCTGTGATGTTTGAGCTGAAGGTGAAAAATGGACAGGAATTCACCGGATAGGTACGGGCAAGGGCATTCTATTTAACGGAGACACATGCAAGTGTAAAGTATAAAAAAAGCAAGGCTGATTTGGGGACCTGTGGGTAATTCTGCATGTACAGAAAGGATGTTGTGAATGCAAAGTGATGGAAGCTACAGCTGAGAAGGTGGGCAAGAGCCCGCTCAGGATGAGATGTGCATGGCAAGCCCAGGGGATGGGCCTTTTGCCCTGCTGATAATGGGGCCACTGAAGGATTTTAAATAGGGCAATTATATAAAATCACTTACATTTTAGGGGAACTGTCCTGAAAGCAAGATTGATATCAGGGCTGAGCGCAGTGGCTCCCATCTGTAATCCCAGAACTTTGGGAGACCGAGGAGGCCAGATCACTTGAGGTCAGGAGTTCAAGACCAGCCTAACCAACATGGTGAAACCCCGTCTCTACTAAAAATACAAAAAAAAATTAGCGGGGCACAGTGGCACATGCCTGTGATCCCAGCTACTTGGGAGGCCGAGGCACGAGAAATGGTTGAACCGAGAAGGCGGAGGTTGCAGTGAGCACTCCAGCCTGGGCAATAGAGTGAGACTCCATCTCAAAACAAAACAAAACAAAAAGATATCAGGTTAAAAGGATGGACAACAGGAACTAGAAGGTCAGTTAGGTGGCTAGTAATATATTCCAGACAAGACATTACAAGGGTTTGCAGATGAAACTAGTGGTAATAAAGATGGAGAAGTGGGCATGGGATTGAGAAATATTGAGCAAGTATAATACACAGGTCCTTGTGACTTGGATATAAAAGCTTACACATACAGAGGAGTTTAGGATAATTCACAGGTTTCTGGCTTATAAAGGTGGGGGCAGGTGTCCCTGAGATTCGCTGAGTGTCTCACTGAGATAGACCACAGAGGAGGGAAAGCAGCTAGGAAGCAGCAAACACAACAAATTTGGTTTTGGAAGCATTCACGTTTGGGTTCCTATGGGGTGGGATTGATATTCCTTAGGCAGCAGGCTGTTCAGGTCTGAAACACAGTGGGAGGTCAGGGCAGAAGATGTAAATTTGAAATCCATCAGCATCAATGCTATGGCGAGGAAGAGATCATTCCTGACCAAGATGTTACGATACCCACACTTGGAAGCCATGTGTTAAATAAATGTCAAATGGATAAATATGCATTCTTATATACACCCAAGAATATACAGATAAACTGGCTGGAGGGCCAGGAAGAAACCTGCCTAGCATTTTCTGTAGAGCCTGGAAATGAAGTTGGGGTGGGGTGAGTGGAGGCCCAGAGAGGGTAAAGATCTGGTGTCACAAAGACATTATGGATAGTTATAAAAATAAATATTTTCTGAGTGTGTATCTAGCTGCATTTATTTCTCGTAACTGAAGGTATAGTGCTGTGTCATCCTTGTCCAGAGCTAGGCATCACTCCTTATCTTCAGCCTTGATTGAAGCACAGAGCCCTGGACCCGACCATGTCAATGGGATAGAAAGTGAAGCGGGACAAGGGCGCTCGCAGGTGTGGAGCTATGAAAAATGTGATCTCAGACAGGGTGGAAATTCCAATCACAGTCACCCTGGGGAAATACCAGCATTATTCATCTACTGGAACTTTAAATTAAAAGGCTACCTAATTCTTCAGGGAAGGGGATTGTTTCCCCTTACGTCAATAAGTCCATTTTCTCCTTCTCCTTTCCTATTACATTTTAGAAGAAATTCATTCCAGTTAATATGAAAATGAGAAGCCACAAATTAGGAAGGATGTGTATGGGAGCAGCTCTGATGATTAACCAAGTCTGTCCGTTACTCTGGGTATCAATAATACACTTATTTTTCTGTCATTTAAATGCTCGGTATCCATCTGCTCTTGGAACCAATCTGAACATCCTAGCATTATAAAGCATGCACTAATGGAAAGATACTGAGCTCCTTTATTAATGTTAGAAGCTCCGTGTCACTTTCATGGAATCGGTAAGGACCATTCTGAAGGACAGTATGGCGTCCACAAAGGAAGAGTATTCGAATGAAACTTACCCTTGTAGGAAAAAAATCTCAGCCCAATCAGAAGCCAGCTATGGTTCACTTTTTCTTATTGAGATGTCCGAAAGTAAAATAAAGATATTCCTATTTCACCTCATTTCTGCTCAAATATTATTGTCTTTACCTAAATAAAAGATGGGATTTCCCTAAATGAAACCGAGCGCTTTCTATAAAATATTTTGACATCTAATGAAGTAAACATTCCTTTGTTAATATTCTTTTTCAAAATTATTTTGGTCCTTCCTCCCTGTTCATTCTTGTTGATAGATTTTTGAGTGAGTTTGTCAATTTCCCCCCAAAATCCTTTGGGGTTTTGACTGGAATCATCTTGTAGCTATGTCATAAGCTGGAGAAAATGGACATCTTTAGTCTTCCTATTGGTGAATGTGCTATGTGTCTCTACTTGTTCAAGTCTTTTTTTTCCCCTGCCTCAATGAATTTTAGCATTTTGTTTATGTAGGTCTGCATGTTTCTTAAGTTCACTCTGTTTTTTTTTAACAGCTTGCTGTACTTACAATGTGTCCAAAAGTACAAGCCAGAGTGTCATATTTATCAGGACACTGAAGGAATGCAAATTGTTCCACTATGGTCTTTTGAGAGATCACATAAAACAGAGGAAAATGTAGTCGTCGTCTATTGTTATGAAGAAATGGCTCATCTTATAAATTATATTTTGGTTGCTTTATGGAAATACCTACCAAATCACAGTGTGACTGCAGCAAATGTGGTTTTTTGGAAGAGCGCAGCCTGTCCAATCAATCTAATTTCCTCAAGAGCAGGATAGCTGTCTTTTAGATAAAGGCAAAGAATTATATGTGAAATATCTGAGTTTCAGCAAGTCTTTATTCTAATGAATACGATTCTGCCACAAAGAATGGAGTCAACATAGTCTGGTGCTGACTGCATTGCTGATGGAGAAGTTGCACTTGAAAAGAGGCTGTCTTTTCAACTCTGTGTTTATTTGTATTAAATTAAAAGAAAACCAGCCTTTAGGGCAAACACACATCTTACAGGAGAACTCAAGTAGCTTTTTTTTCTAGAGTTGCTGTTGGTCATAGCAAAAAGTAGCTTAATTCTCTCCATCTTTTAGCTTGGAAAACATTTGCCTGAATGCCCAACCTACAGTCGTAGAGACTAGACACAACAATATTGCTTGAGAACAAAGAGGGAACCATTAATGTATCACTTCATGATCCTCTGAATTTTGCTATTCCCGTTCCTACCTGTTTATTTAGCATTTTATTAACACAGGGCAACCAACGCCCAAAGAAGTGATGAGGGAAGGAACAGGGGCCAAGAAAGTTATTAACGGATAAGATGAAGACCCTCACAACATACTAATCCTCCCTCTAGTTTTAAAAGATTTGAAGATATAACCAATGTAGAAAGGAACAGAAACTATTGAGGATGTAGAACAACTGGAATTCTCATACATTGTTGGGAATGCAAAATAGTACAACCACTTTGGAAAACAGTTTGCAATTATCTTATAAAGTTAAATATACATTTATCATACCACCCAACAATCCCACTGGTGGGTATTTACCCAGGACTGGCTGTATAATTTGTGTGCCCAGTGTAAAATGAAAATGAGGGGCTCCTTCTTCAACAATTACTAAGAATTTCAAGACAGTGATATTAAACCAAGCACAGGGTCTTTCTGAGTTGAGCCCTATGTGTAATGCACACATTACACACTCAAGAAGCCAGTCCTATATCTACCCAACAGAAATGATAACATTTACCCACACAAAGATATTTTTTTCACAACAGGACTTCACTCTGTTGCCCAGGCTGGAAAGCACTGGTGCAATCATGGCTCACTGCAGCCTCGACCTCCCTGGGCTCAAGTGATCCTCCCGCCTCAACCTCCTGAGTAACTGGGACAACAGGCACACACTACAATGACCTGCTAATTTTTGTATTTTTTGTAGAGACGGGGTTTTGCCATGTTGGCCAGGCTGGTCTCAAACTCCTGGGCTCGAGTGATCCTCCCGCCTCGGCCTCGCAAAGTGCTGGCGTTACAGGCATGAGCCACCATGCCCAGCAACACAAAGATTTTTATGTGATTGTATGTTATGGTCTGAATGTTTGTGTCCCCTCAAAATTCATGTATTGAAATCCTAACCCAAAAGGTGATGGTATTAGCAGGTGGGTGGGGACTTTGGGAGGTGATTAGGTCATGTGGATAGGGTTCTCATGAACAGAACTCTTAGAAGAGATCCCTCGCCTCTTCTGCCATGAGAAGTTACAGTCAGAAGATGGCTATCTGTGAGGAAGCAGGCTTTCCCCAGACACCACATCTGCTGGCACGTTGATCTCGGACTTTCCAGCCTCTGGAACTGTGAGAAATACATTTCTGTTATTTATAAGCCACGCAGTCTATGGTATTTTGTTATAGCAGCTTGAACAGACTGAGACAGAAATTGGTACTGAGAAATGCGATACTATTGTAACAAATTCCTAGAAATGTAGAAGTAGCTTTGGACCTGGAGAATGGGAGAGTTTTTAGGTACATGCTGGAAAAAGCCCACATTGCCATGAAGAGACCTTTAAATGTGATTTTGGTAAAGCTGTGGAAGAGGAGAGCTGTAGGGAGAGCCTCAATCTTCATAGAGGCACCTGAGTAATCCTAGGCAGAATGTTGAGTAGAAATGTGGACACTAAAGTCCATTCTGATGAGATCTGTATTAGTAAGTCTTCATGTTGCCGATAAAGACATACCCAAGACTGGGAAGAAAAAGAGGTTTAATGGACTCACAGTTCCATGTGGCTAGGGAGGACTCACAATCATGGCAGGAGGCAAAAGGCACTTCTTACATGGTGGCAGTAAGAGAGAGAATCATGGTGGAAGGCAAAAGGCATAATTCTTACATGGCAGCACAAGAGAGAGAATGATGGCCAAGCGAAATGGGTTTCCCCTTATTAAACCATTAGATCTCACGAGACTTATTCACTACCACGAGAACAGTATGCGAGAAACCACCCCATGATTCAATTATCTCCCACCGGGTCTCTCCCACAAGACATGGAAATTATGGAAGCACAATTCAAGATGAGATTTGGGTGGAGACACAGAGCCAAACCATATCAAGGTCTCAGATGGAAACGGAGAACATGTTATTGGAAACTGGAGGAAAAGCAATCTTTGTTATAGAGAGGTAAGGAATTTGGTGGAATTGTGTTCATGTCCTAGTGTTTTGTGGAAGGTGGAACTTGTGAGCAATAAAATTGGATAGTTGGCTGATGAAATTTCTTTTTGGGATGGAGGTGGTGATGGAAATGTTCTATATCTTTATTGTGGTGGTGATTACATGGGTTTATACATTTTTCAAAACTTAAGAGTATAATACAACTTCCAAGCTTACAATCAGCTAAAAAGGAAAGAAAAAAAAGTACTAAGCCAGCAAAAGTAAAAACATGGAGAGGGAAAAAAATGAATGGTAAATATCAAAGAAGGTATGAAGTCATGTACATCATGTGATCTGACTCTTTTATTTAAATTTCGTTCTTTCAATATCTTTAGGAGTACACGTGGTTTCTAGTTATATGGATGAATCATACAGTGGTGAAGTCTGGGGTTTTAGTGAAATCATCACCCAAGTCGTATAAGTTATATCCAATAGGTAGTGTTTTCATTCCTCATCTCCACTTCTACCCTTCCCCCTTCTGAGTCTCCAGTGTCCATTATACCACTGTCTGGCTTTGTATACCCATAGCTTAACTCCCACTTACAAGTGAGAACATACAGTATTTGGTTTTTCATTCCTGAGTTATTTCACTCAGAATAATAGTCTCTAGTTCCGTCCAAGTTACTGCAGAAGACATTATTTTGCCTTTTTTTTATAGCTGAGTAGTATTCTATGGAATTTATACCACATTTTATTTACTTACAGGTTGATGGGCACTTAGGCTGATTCCATATTTTTGCAATTGTGAATTGTGCTGCAATAAACATAAAGATGCTAGTGTCTTTTTGATATAATGATTTTTTTTTCCCTTTGAGTACTTACCCTGTAGTGGGATTTCTGGATTGAATGGTTCTTTGAGAAACCTCCATACTGTTTTCCATAGAGGTTGTACTAATTTACATTCCCACCAGCAGTGTATAAGTGTTCCATTTTCACCACATCCATGCCATCTATTGTTTTTTGACTTTTCAATAGTGTCCATTCTGGCTGGGGCAAGGTAGTATCTCACTGTGGTTCTAACTAGCATTTCCCTAGTGATTCGTGATGTTGAACATTTTAAAAACGTTTTTTGTCCATTTGTACATCTTCTTTTGAGAAATGCCTGTTCATGTCATTTGCCCACTCTCACCTCACCCCCCTTTTTTTTTGAGACAGGGTCTTACTCCGTTACTCAGGCTACAGTGCAGTGGCACAATCATGGCTCATTGCAACCTTGACCTCCTGGGCTCAAGTGACCCTCACACTTCAGCCTCCCAAGTCACTGGGACCACAAGCACATGCCAGCATGTCCAGTCATTTTTAATTTTTTTGTGGACATAGTGTCTGCCTGTATTCCGCAGGCTGGCCTTGAATTCCTGGGCTAAAGCAATCCTCCCACCTTGGCTTCCCAAACTGCTGGGATTACAGGCGTGAGCCACTGTACCCAGCCTGCCTACTTTTTAACAAGATTATTTGTTTTATTCTTTCTGATCTGAGTTCCTTGTAGATTCTGGATACTAGTCCTTCGTTGGTTGCATAGTTTGCAAATACTTTCTCCAACTGTATAGGTTGTCTGTTTACTCTGATTATTTCTTTTGGCTGTGTAGAAGCTTTTTAGTTTAATTAGGACCTATTTGTCTATTTTTGTTTTTGTTGCATTTGCTTTTGGGGTCTTCGTCATAAATTATTTGCCTGCCAATGTCTAGAAGAGCTTTTTTCCTAGGTTTTCTTCTAGAATTTTAAAATAATTTCAGGTCTTAGATTTAAGTCTTTAGTCCATCTTGGGTTGATTTTTTTTTATATAATGAGAGATAGGAATCCATTTTTATTCTTCTACATGTGGCTATACAATTTTCCCAGCGGCGTCATTGAATACAGTCCTCTCCCCAGGTTTTTTTTTTGTTTTTTTTTTTTTATGATTTGTCAAAGATCACTTGGTTGTAAACATTTGGCTTTATTTCTGGTTCTCTATTCTGTTCCATTGATCTATGTATCAACTTTTATACCAGTACCATGCTCTTAGGTTGCTATAGCCTTATAGTATAATTTAAAGTTCAGCAATGTGATGCCTCCAGACTTGTTCTTTTTGCTTAGGATTGCTTTGGCTATTTGGGCACTTTCTTGGTATCATATGAATTTTAGCATTGTTTTTTTCTAATTCCATGAGGAATGACATTGGTATTTGGATAGAAATTGCATTGAATGTGTAGACTGCTTTGGGTAGCATGGTCATTTTCACAATATGAACATGTGATCTCTTTCAGCAGTGTTTTGTAGTTCTCTTTGTAGAAATCCTTCACCTCACCAGGTGGAGTGGCTCATGCCTGTAATCCCAGTCTTTGGGGGGCCTAGGGGGCAGACTGCTTGAGCCTAGGAGTTCTAGATCAGCCTGGGAAACATGGCAAAACCCTGTCTCTACAAAAAATACAAAAATTATCCAGGTGTGGTGGTGCACGCCTATAGTCCCAGCTACTCAGGAGGCTGAGGTGGGAGGATAGCTTGAGCCGAGGAGGTGGAGGTTGCAGTCAGCTGAAATCATGCCATTGCACTCCAGCCTGGGTGACAGAGCCAGACACTGTCTCAGAAAGAAAGAAAAAGAGAGAAATGAAGGGAAGGGGAAGGGGAAGGGAAGAAGGAAGAAAAGAAGGAAGGAAGGGAAGGGAAGGAAGGAAGGGGAGGGAAGAAGGGAAGGAAGGGAGGGAAGGAGAGAGGGACAGAGGGAAGAAAAATGAAATCCTTCACCTCCTTGGTTAAATATGTTTTTAAGTATTTTGTTTTATTTTTGCAGCTATTGTAAAAGGGATTGAGTTCTTGATTTGATTATCAGCTTGGTGGTTTTAGTAGTGCTACTGATTTGTGTATACTGATTTTATAATCTGAGACTTTACTGAATTTGTTTATCAAATGTAGGAGTCTTTTGGAGGAGACTTGAGGATTTTCTAAGATTATGTCATCGGCAAGCAGAGACAGTTTGAATTCGTCTTTTCCAATTTGGATGCCCTTTATTACTTTCTCTTGCCTGATTGCTCTGGCTGGGACTTCCCTCATGAAATTTCTAGGTAAAATGTTGAAAATGCTGCTTGATTTCTCTTAACTGCTTATAGTAAAATACAACAAGAGATAAACTATGTAAACATGGATTTTTTTTTTAATCAAAAGGAGAGCAAAACATTAAATTTTGGAAAATTCTCAGCCTATTCATATTGAAAGGTATGAGAAAGCATGTTCAAGAGAAAGCAGGAGTGTAGCCAAGTGACTTTTTGATGAGGAAATTAGTATAGATCTGGTATCCCAAAGGAAACCAGGTGCTATTCATGAAGACAATGACTGAATGACCCAAAAAGTATTTTGGAGTTATTGGTGCTGCCCCTTGCATCACAGACCCAGAACACAAGTGCCTGGGGTTCAGAACAATTTCAAGGCTCTGCTCCCTGCATACTACTCAGCGTTCCTTGGCTGCCCCAGGTGTGGCTCCAGTGGGCCCAAGTGTGGCTTAGCCTGTGGTAGCTATCCCTGCAGAAAGTACAGACAGGAAACCATGGCAGCCTCAGTAAGGCACCATCTCTATCAGAACACAGGGTGCATGAGGCATGGGTCATGGCTATTTTCACCTAGATTTTGAAAGAAAAAGCTATTCAGAGTATTGAGTACCCAACCCAGACCACCATGAGGGTGTGCCACATCACAGTCCCCACTAAGGCAATGCTCTGCGGGTGGGGAGGGGGGCATCGCTGTGACCCCAGACCGGTTGAGTTACTAGCATACAATTCCAGCCCAGAAAAGCCACAGATGGGAGGCTCCAACTCCTAACAGCTGTGGTCGGAGCTGTGTCCAGCAAAGCCATGGGGACAGGGCCTCCAGGAGACTTGGTGGCCCACCCCCTGCCCAGCAAACCTCCAGAGATGGAACCCTTCAACCCAGTGGGCCTAGAGGGCAGACGCTTGAGTCAAAGAAGATTGTTTCTGAGCCTTAAGGTTTTGAACTTGCTTGGAACATATTAGCCCTTCTTTTCTATTTCTCCCTTTTGGGATGAGAATGTCTATCCTGTGCCTGTCCCACTGTTGTGTTTTGGAAGCACATAACATGTTTGCTTTCGTGGGTTCACAGCTGCAGAGCAACTTGCCTGTAAATGAGTTGTACCTTGAGTCCTACCTATATCTGGATTAGATGATGTTTAAATGAGACTCTGGACTTCAGAGGTTTCAGTTGATGCTGGAATGAGTTAAGACTTTGGAGGCTATTAGGGTGAATGTATTGTGCATGTGAGAAGAGTGTGAATTTTGGTGGGCCAGGGATGGAATGCTATGGTCTATGGTTCCCTGAGTAATGCAGATATGTGTCTGCATTACTTGTTTGTGTTTCCCCAAAATTCATATGTTGAAATCCTAACCACCAAGGTGATGGCATTAGGAAATGGGGGGCTACTGAGAGGTGAATAGGTCATGAGGGCAGAACTCTCATGAGGGAGATCAATGCCCTTGTGAAATAGATCCAAGGGGGCACTCCCACCTTGTGAGGATATAGCGAGAAGGCACCATCTATGAATCAGAAAGTGGCTCCTCACCAGACAGCAAATCTGCTAGCACCTTGATCTTGGACTTTCCAGCCTCCAGAACTGTGAGAAATAAATGTCTGCTGTTGATAAGCCACCCAGTCTCTGGCATTTGTTATAGAAGCCCAAATAAACTGAGACAATGTGTACATCTGCATTACTCGTAGAACTGAAAACTGGAAGCAACCCAAATATGCATCAACTGATAAATGGATTAATACATTGTGTTACGTTTGTAAAACGAACTACTACTTAGCAATAAAAAGGAACAAAATATTAAATCATACAGCAGGGATAAGTCTCAAACCCTTCTACTAAATAAGTGGGACACGAAGACTCAATACTGTATTATTCTAATTATATGATATTCTACAAACAGCAAAACTTTAAGTAACAGAAAGCAGGTCAGTGGTTGCCTTGAGCCAGAGGTTAGGAAAGGAGCTTGGAGAAAACATTTTTGAGTAATAAAAATGCTCAATATCTTGGGGAATGTTATTGTATGGAAATTACACTTCAATGAACCTAGAAAAAAATTAAATAGAAACAGAAAGCTAAGTAGACATATATAAAATATAAGTCACATTAATCCAAAACACTTAAAAATAGGTGTATTATGTTGTATGGCATTTTGGCGTAACTAGAGCAATAGGAACATACACATCTGTGAACTGGATTCTTTTTTCAGTCAGCACACATTTTTATCATTGTCGTCTCCTCACTTTATTGCAAGTACAGTCAGCATCAATGTTGAGAACTTTTTCTCCTAGGAGGTACGGGATTTGGCTCTGATACGGTGTTGCCTCCACAGTTGCCCAGAATCTAGCCTCCATCTGCTACAGGAAAGGGGTCCCAATCCAGACCCTAAGAGAAGGTTCTTGGATCTTACGCAAGAAAGAATTTAGGGCAAGTCCACTGTGCAAAGCAAAAGCAAGTTTATTAAGAAGGTAAGGGAATAAAAGAATGGCTACTCCATAGACAGAGCAGCCCTGAGGACTGCTGGTTGCCCATTTCTATGGTTATTTCTTAATAATATGCTAATCAAGGGGTGGATTATTCATGCCTCCCCTTTTTAGACCATATAGGGTAACTTCCCGACGTTGCCATGGCATTTGTAAGCTGTCATGGCACTGCTGGGAATGTAGCAGTGAGGACGACCAGAGGTCACTCTCATCACCATCTTGGTTTTGGTGGGTTTTGGCCGGCTTCTTTACTGCAAACTGTTTTATCAGCAAGGTCTTTATGACCTGCATTTTGTGCTGACCTCCTATCTCATCCTGTGACTTAGAATGCCTTAACCGTCTGGGAATGCAGCCCAGTAGGTCTCAGCCTCATTTTACTCAGTTCCTGTTCAAGATGGAGTTGCTCTGGTTCAAATGCCTCTGACACTTCTGCAACTGCCTAGGCTGCCTTCTTTCCTGAGATGTCCACAGCAGCAGAGTCAGCTTCCCCCTGCTTCCTGTCTGTGGTATCCTGAGTGTCCGGGGACTTGAGACCCCAGAAACTTGGGACCAGGACGCTGCATGAGTGGTCTCCCCAGAAATTGCAAGTACCATTATCCAGCTTCAGTGGCATGGGGTAGGGGAAGAGGGAACTTCCAGGAAAGGCCCCGTCTGCATTCCTGGAATCAGAGAATCTAGAGATGTTGAAAAAGGAGCAACTGTTCCGAAGCTCAGACAGGAACAGGGAATGAGGCAGGGGAGGCTTTAGACAGAGGGCTGCGCAGCCATCCTAAGCCCAAGTGAGAGGGGCTCTGGGCCCTAGAGTTGTCACACTTGCTTGCCCCTCTCCCTGACAGCAGGTGTCTGGGCTCCAGGCACCGAAGGTGCAGCACCTCACAGCCTCCACACAGGCAATGGGTGGAGACCATCCCTCCTCACCTAACTCCATGCATCCCAGTAGGCTTAAGTCAGGAGTAACTTCATGCTTTTCTGATGATCATCAAAGTGTGACTTTAGAAATAATGACCAATCTCCTGAATTAAAATAAAGGACATTCTTCTTTGTTTGCAGATGCTTTAAATTCCTTCAAGAGAGTTTTACTTTCAAATGTCTGGAATGAATAATTAAGCTAAATTCCTTTACCCTAAAGAGTAATCAACAGTTCTAAATGATTCTTCCTGGTTCCAATTGGAAGAGGAGGTACTAAAATGTGTGTGTGGTGTGGGGAAAATGACAGAGAGATAAGGCTGGAAGACAAACTTGATAAACACCATAACTTTTCAAAAGTAGCACAATTTGCTGTCCACCAGACAAAAAGACTGCTCAATGCAATATTTCTGCTGCATGTGCCAAGGCCAGGTTCAAATGTGGGATCAGAGTTCATCAAGACTGTCAGAACACGATAGAAGGCAAGAAATCCCTAGCACCTGATTTCACTGGTGCAAACACAGGCCCAAGAGTGAGGAAGGATCCTAGGCTTTGCCATCTCAACCTCCAGGCTCTTTTCACCACATGCTATTATTACCAGAAACCATCCTGATCTAGACCCCAAGAGAGGGTTCTTAGATTTCACGCAAGAAAGAATTTGGGGCAAGTCCATAAAGTAAAGTGAAAGCAAGTTTACTAGAAACGTAAAGAAACAAGAGATTGGCTACTCCATAGGCAGAGAGCAGCAGCAGGGGCTGCTTGATTGAGCATACTTATGGTTATTTCCTGATTATATGCTAAACAAGGGGTGGATTATTCATGAGTTTTCTGGGAAAGGGGCAGGGATTTCCTGGAACTGAGGGTTCTTCCCCCTTTTAGATCATATAAGGGTAATTTCCAGGCATTGCTATGGCATTTGTAAACTGTCACGGTACTGGTGGGAGTGTCTTTTAGCAGCTAGTGCATCATAATTAATGTATAAAGAGCAATGAGGACGACCAGAGGTCACTTTTGTCACCATCTTGGTTTTGGTGGGTTTTTGCCGGCTTCTTTATCGCATCCTGTTTTATCAGCAGGGTCTTTATGACCTGTATCTTGTGCCGACCTCCTATCTCATCCTGTGACTAAGAATGCCTAACCTCCCAGGAGTGCAGCCCAGCAGGTCTCAGCCTTATATTACCCAGCCCCTATTCAAGATGGAGTTGCTCTGGTTCAAATGCCTCTGACAGTACGATGGATTCCAGTAGTGCTGTTCGGCTCAGCAAACAATATCCCAAAATGAAGGCCTGAGAAGCAGCCTCAGGAGCAAAAGTTTTTCTGACTTTGTCCTTCTCTCCTGTCTCTCAGTCCCGCTCTCCCTCAAGGCTAGCCGCAGAAACTAGAATCCCTCCTCCCCAAGGCTAGTCTTAGAAATTAGAAACCCTTTTCCTCAAAGCCAGCTATAAAACCTAAAAGTATTACTCTGCCTTTCCCTCTGCCTTTCTATGTAAAAACTGGCCGTAAAGAAATGATCTGACCTACACTGTTTGACGGTAGGTCATAAGGCCCCTGTTGCAGAAAGGGTCTCGCCTCATACCCAGAAGGAAGGATCGCTGTGCAGAGGGGCCGGGAGAATCTAGACAGACACGGCTGTCCATACTTTGTTGAACCTGAGAATAAAAATGGACAATCTCCCTTGTACCTCTGGGTCTTCAGTCTGGAGGCTCCATATATACACGTTAAATAAATTTGTGTGCATTTTCTCCAGTTAATCTGTGTTTTACACGCTGATTCTTCAGTGAACCTTCCAAGGCCCCAGGGGAACTTTCCCATTGGCCCGTGCAGTCCATGCTTAGGGGACTGAAGGCGCTGTAGATAACTGCCTCATCTCCCTGTTACGGCTGGAACTGTGTTCTCCAAAAGAATATGCAGGAGTCCTCATCCCCAGTGCCTGAGAACGTGGCCTTGTTTGGCAATATGGTTGCTGCAAACATAATTAGTCAAGATGAGGTCACACTGGAGCAGGGTGGGCCTTTTTACCGGTATGAGTGGTAACCTCCTAGGAGGATGATGTGAGGAAATGGCGGGGAGAAGGCCATGTGAGGAGGGAAGCAGAGACTGGAGTTGTACAGCTGCAAGCCAACGAGTGTTGAGGATTGCTGGTTACCCCTGAAGTAGGAGAGAGGCAAGAAGGATTCTACCGACTCTAAGGTTCTGGAAGACAGAAGCAGTGCCTGGCTCATTTTTCCCCTACAGTGGCTGTCTTATAGAGTAAGGGACCAGAGGAAGCCAGCCCTTTCTTTAGTCATAAGAGCCCCAGACAAAGTGAAGCCCTTTCTTTAGTCACTGACAGAGCAGGAGCATCGCCATCTTGGACAAGCACCGCCATTCTAAAGTTCACCTTGATCAAAAACCGCCTAAATCCAAAGGGCATCAGCCTAATGGCTAAGGTCAGCATTACCATAAACCACAAATAACATCTCCAACCAGAAACATTCCAAACTCCTCCCCGATCAGAAACATGTCAGCCCCAAGATAACCTCCCCTCTGACCAGAGACATTACAACCACATCATAAACTTCTCCACACACAGAAACATTCAAAGCTTGTCATAAGCCCCCTCACCATAAAACCAATATATACTCTTAGTCTGTAAGAGAACATGCTCGTGACTGAGATGGGCCAGAAGCCCCTCTCAGGTTTATTTTGGAGAAATAAACCTGTTCTTTAACTGTTGAGCTGCTTTTCGTGTTTCTTTCCTCTTTCTTTAACTCTTACAGTCACAAAGGCTGCAGAGCTGTCCCCTAGCCCTGTGTTGGCTGGGCAACTCCTTTGACACACAAATGGGAGATGGGAAATGGGGCTAATACCCTGGAGACATAAGGACTCTTTTGCTCCCCATCCTGTCTGCATGGTATTCTTGAAGCCTGCTTGGGAGCTTCACTGGGGCCTGTGTTGCTGTTGATGGCCTTGACGTTTCTCAGCCCCACTCTTCTGTATGGCAATCCTCTGAGCAAACCTCTACCCTGTCTCTGCCACAGACTATTAGAGGGAGCTTCCTGTGCTTCTATCATCCCCTGAGACTACCCAGACAGAGGAGAGTCTTATTTATTTATCTGTCTCACTTATTTCCAAACCCCCAATACCCAGTGTTTGTCACATAACAGGATTCTGTGCAAGTACTAAACTGAACAGACCTGGCTTTTTTTTTTTTTTTTTTTTTTGAGACAGAGTCTTGCTCTGTTGCCCAGGCTGGAGATCAGTGTTGTGATCTCGGCTCACTGCAACTGCTACCTCCTGGGCTCAAGTGATTCTCCTGCCTCAGGCTCCTGAGTAGCTGGGATTACAGGCGTGCGCCACCATGCCTAGCTAATTTTTGTATTTTTAGTAGAGACAGGGTTTCACCATGTTGGCTAGGCTGGTCTCAAACTCCTGACCTCAGGTGATCCACCCGCCTCACCCTCCCAAAGTGCTGGAATTACAGGAATGAGCCACCCCGCCCAGCCAAGACCTGGCTATTTTAAAGTTTAGCTACAGGCTAAGAAAAAAAAAATTTTTTTAACTCTATCAAACAGGTTCAAGAAAATTCCTGAATAATCGTTAGCATTCCATTTCTTAGCCAGAACAACACAGTGGCTCAAAGAAGATGTGTGTGTACATTTTGTGTTTTATAGGCACACAGCTCTAATAGAGAGGCTGGAAAGCTTGCCCTACTCATTTCTTCACAGTTTATTATGTGGAAAAACATAAGCCTTCTGTTTTCCTGGGTTGTTAACTTGGCACCTCATTTCATGTAGAGAACTTGCATTAAAAGACACTACCTCTGTGAGTTAATCAGCCATTTAAAGAACAAAACTACTTGACAGGATGAGGGACTCTCAGGGCTCATCCTCCATGAAGAATGACATCAGAGGCCAGGGGAGGGGAGAGATTTATGACCTGGGTGCCCAATCACTGAATCATCAAAACGATCTAATAAAGTTGGTTGGTCTACGACCCACTCCAGAGATGATGGAATTGAGACTTTAAGAGGTTAAGTAACGAGTCCAACATCATGGAGCCCAATGGCTCTGATTCAAAAGAGGGGATTTTTTTTTCCCGAAGTAATTTATTTTATTTTGACACGTAAAAATTTTATATATTTATTGCGTACGTATTCTGACATGTAAACATTGTGTAATGGCTAAATGGAGCTACTTAACGTATGCATTGCCTCACATACTTATCTTTTTGTAGTGAGGACCTTTAAAAAGCCAGAGATTTTTACTTATTTATTTATTTCGAAGAGATCTCCATCCAGCCCAGGCTGGAGTGCAATGGCACAATCATGGCTCACTGTAGCCTCAACCTCCCAGGCTCAAGCAATCCTCCCACCTCAGCCTCCCGAGTAGCTGGGACCACAGGTGTGCCACCACGCCTGGCTGATTTTATTTGTTTATTTATTTATTTGAGACAGAATCTCGCTCTGTCACCCAGGCTGAAGTACAGTGGCACAATCTCAGTTCACTGCAACCTCCACCTCCTGGGTTCATGCAATTCTCCTGTCTCAGCCTCCCAAGTAGCTGGGACTACAGGCCTCCGCCACCACACCCAGCTAAGTTTTTGTATTTTTAGTAGAGATGGGGTTTCACTATGTTGGCCAGGCTGGTCTCTAACTCCTGACCTCAAGTGATCTGCCCACTTCGGCCTCCCAAATTGCAGGGATTACAGGCCTGAGCCACCACACCAGGCCTAATTAAAAAAAAAAAATTTTTTTTAAGAGATGGGGGTCTCTGTATGTTATGTACTTGCCTGGTCTCGAACTCCTGAGCTCAAGCAATTTTCCCTTCTCAGCCTCCCAAAGTGCTGAGATTACAGGCATGAGCCACTGCACCTGGCTTGGTTGGGTATTTATTGCAGAGTTGTACACAGTCAACTGGCTGACTGGGATCCATATCCTAAGAGAATCTTTTTTCTTATGACCTGTATTTTTTTCACTACACTAAAAGTCCGTGTTTGTTGTAGAAAAACTAGAAATTGCTGACAAACAGAAATAATGCTTAAATCACACATAATTCCACCACCTAGAGATAAATACTGTTAATATTTGGAGTGAGCATTCATTCAGATGTCACTATGTATTTATCTATTTTTCACACAAATAGGATCACATTATACATGCAACGTTATAACATGGTTTATGAACTAAGCAGTATCATGAACATCTTTATGTCAACAAATGTACAGTGCAATTTTCATCAAATGATGCATAGTAGGCCATTAAAAAAAAAACATATTTAACCAATCCTGCACTGTTGAACCTTCAAGTTGTTTCAAAATTGTCTTTGCTGTTAGAAACAATACTATGACAAGCTTACCCAGGAGGAATGTGTTCACAGAGAAGAGGACAAGCAGGGACACAGTGGCCCTGAAGACAAGGACAGGCCCCTGGGGACGAAATGAAGCCCAAAGGACAAATCGAAAGCAGGATGGTGACTGTCAGGGGCTGGGAAAGGCAGAAATGGGGATTGCTGTTCAGTGGGTATGGAGCTTCAGTCCTGCGAAATGCAGATGTTCTAGAGATCTGCTGTGCAACACTGTGTATAAATTATAGTTACCAATAGCATACTGTATACTTAAAAGATTGTTGAGAGGACATCTCATGTGATGTGTTTCTCACCACAATAACATGAATATAATCGAAAACAAAAACAAAAACAAAAAAGACCAAAACAACAACAAAACAAAACAAAACAAAACAAAAAAACCAAGCAACCAGAGAAGGAGAACTACCACCAGGAAGGAAGGAGGGGTGTTAACAGAAGTCCATGGAAGAGAGAATTTCACAAAGGGGACAGAACACCGAGCACTGCAGTATTTGCTACCACACTAATAAATAGTCGTCCATGGAGTCAGTTGGATGCTCTACAAAATCCATAAATGCAACGTCATGAAATTGTCTCCCAAAGGCCTTGGATTTTCCCACCACAAAATGCAGCCCAATGGAGTTGGCAGGCAGGAGGTCAACTCTGGAGCCTGAAGCTGCTTTCTGGAAACAAGTCGTTACTGACTCCTTGGTGCATGTTGGCACATGCCAATGAGCATAAGTGCTGTGTGTCACGAGCAATCTGGTGTCAGAGATGGGGTTGGCCCCTAGATAACAGAGACCTGTGTCCTGCCCAGAGCATGCACAACTACAGGACCAGCCACACACAAATTGGCCAAAACCTTCTCTGCCCTGTGGCTATCCTTTATCCTTTATTTATTTATTATTGGCTGCATTTCTGCATTTCTTTTTTTAGGTAAGTTTTTACTTCTCCTCTGACATATTTAATGTTATCCATTAAAAACTATTGATTGATTCAGTCCATCACCTACAAATATTAGCAGATACAATTTTAAAAATTCCTTCAAAATGTGCACAGGCACAAACCTGATATTACCCATTGTGAACTTAGGCCTCTTAAAATTAGCCTGCATCTTTGACAACGTCGCTGATTCTATGTAAAAATTAATGTGCTTATGTAAGGGTATGTCCTGTTCCATATCAGGTGAGACCTTCCAGACTTCTTAGGTGGGGCCCAAGATGGTGACTGCAAATGTTATTTGGCTAGGGTAACCAACTTAGCCCCAGGTTTGCCCAGGAGTTGCCTGGTTTTAGCACTGAAAGTCCCTTGTCCCGGGAAACCCCTCAGTCCTGGACAAACCAGAAAGTCGGATGGTCTGTCAGTCACCACGCACTTGGCACCAGTCAGTTCAGGTAGCTCTCTCTACCCAACTCTATCTTGAGGCCTTATTTTTGTTCTAGAGTTCATAATTCATTGATTGTGAATGAGTCTCTACCTCTGAAGAAATTACATGCACTTTGTTAACAGTTAATATTGGGCCAGGCACAGTGGCTTATGCCTGTAATCCTAGCACTTTGAGGGGCCAAGGCAGGAGAATCACTTGAGCCCAGGAGTTCAAGACCAGCCTGGGCAACAATATAAAGACCCTGTCTCTACAAAAATACAAAAATAGCTGAATGTGGTGGTACATGCCTACAGTCCCAGCTACTCAGGAGGTTGAGGCAGGAAGATCACTTGAGCCTGGGAGTTCAAGGCTGCAGTGAGCTAATTTTGTGCCACCACAGTCCAACCTGGAGGACAGAGCAAAACCCTGTCCATAAAAAATAAACAAATAAAGTAAAGGTGCTTGTGGATATTAGAAGGCAGGAGAAGAGGAAAGCTTTCTGCTGCTGGCTCTGACTCTTGGTGGTAGTTACTGACGAAGCTGGCAATGGAAAGGGGCAGCTGGGAGCCAGCAGCCTGAGCAGACAGCACCTCTTTCAGCAGTCCCTGCCCAGAGTGAGGCAGTACCTCTTCCATGGATCTGGAACCAACTGCAGCAAGCACAGGCTCGGGGACTGAGCTCAAGGGCACTAACAGCTTCTGATTTTCAAGGATGACAGCTTCTTCCTTTTGGATCCTCCAGTCCCATTTCCTTCCTTTTACTCTTCCAACCTTCTTAATATCTTTGTTTATTTTTACTTTTTATGTATGTGTATATGTATTTATTTTTGAGATGGAGTCTCGCTCTGTCGCCCAGACTGCAGTGCACAACTGTGCGATCTTGGCTTACTGCAACATCTGCCTCTCAGGTTTAAGTGGTTGTTATGCCTCAGCCTCCTGAGTAGCTGGGACTACAGGCAGGCACCAGCAAGCCTGGCTAACTTTTGTATTTTTAGTAGAGATGGGGTTTCGCCATGTTGGCCAGGCTGGTCTCAAACTCCTGACCTCAAGTGATCTGCCTGCCTCAGCCTCCAAAGTGCTGGGATTACAGGCATGAGCCACCACACCCAGCCAATATCTTTGAAACCAATTTCTTGTATTAAAGTCCCTCTGTTTGAAATACCTAGAGTGGTTTCAGTTTTCCTAACTAGACCCTTAGTGGTTCAACCATTTTTTTCTTTTCTTTTCACAATTTTCAATCCTGAAAAAAATTTAAACATATATTTTCCACCAACGTTTTGTCCCATTTGTGATCTCTCTCTTTCTCTCTCTCTCTCCTTTCTCTCTTTAGCTGTTTCTCCATATAGTCACAGTTTTGCTGAGCCATTTGAAAGTGAACTGTAGATATCTTGGCACTTCCCTCCTAAATTACTCTTAAGAGAATAAGAATAAAAAAAAATTCATACTAACTCTAACACCATTCACATATTTAAAATGAACAATAATCAGATAGTATTACCCAATATTCATTTTGTATTCAAACTTATCCAATTTTTCCAAATATGTCTCTTACAGTTTTTTTCCTAATACAAGATTCATGCATTGTGTCAGGTTATGTTGGTTCAACCAATTTTGAATACAATTTGGCATTATCTTATGAAATTCTTGCTCATATGCACGAGGAAACATGTAGAAAATGTTCACAGCAACATTGTTCTTAAGAGAAAAAACTTTGGAAGTGCGTGTAGGAAATGGAAAGAGTCAAGGATGCTTTCTCTGGGTCTGGCTTGGCGGCTGGGAGGACAGCGGTGCTTTTGCTGCCGGCCCTACAGTGGTGCACTAGCTTTCTGCTTTCCTAATGCTCCCAGATGCTGTCTGCACCTGCTCAAAATTCTCTCTACCTGCTTTCTGCCTCAAAAACATTAAGAGCATTTTTATTGCTCAGTGATTTCTGACTCTTCCTTTCACAAAACCACGAAATGTAGGAAATGCTGTGGAGGTAATTCCCCTCCAACACCAAAGGACTCTATTACTGGTCCTCATTCTGCACAATCTCTGAGCGTCCTCAGATGGTGTAATGGCTTTTAATTCCAAATGCTGCCTGAAAGACTCTGCCATCATACAGAAGTCATTTTTCCTATAATTATGCCCTGTCTCCTACTATGAAACTTCCCTCACTCCCTGTCCCTAGCCCCTTCGCTTGCTGCAGTGAGAGTTAAAAGCAGCCACCTGTTTTTAACTACTTTCCTTTCTGTGGGGTTTAACTACTTTCCTTTCTGCCTTCTTACATATGTGGGTTACATGTGCAGTGGTGAGATATTTGCTCAGTAGTTAGTTCTCTCTGCTTGCCTACAGTATCATGCATTTGAATGGCTTGGGCCATCTGCTACTGAATACCCTGGCTTATGTATCACCTCTGCAGATTATTTGACTCTTCAGGTTGATGAAGCCTGAAGGATGGGAGGGTGAGGAATAACATAATGATGAATGCCTTATGAGGAATTGCTTAAGGAAATTATACCAGAGGCAAGCTTTCCACATGACATCTCAACCATTGTCTGAGGTGATCACACTGTCATTCCTGAAACAGTTCTCCATTATCTTGTTTACATTATGTACAGCATATCTGATAGTAGTTCTAATGAAGTCAGAGGATAGACACTATGTCAACTGCCCTGAAACTGACTCTTATAACCAAAAGACTAAACAAAGCTGTAGAATGTGGTAGACTGTTTGACATAATCCTTGATGGGCACTAATGCTTTCTTAAGAAGTTACATGAGAATCTTGATCAAGTGTCTTCAAGTATTTTACAGTCTTATCCTAAAAGTCTTTCCAGACTATCATAGACTTCTTGTAATGATGCAAAGTGCTGCTAGTCTCATCACAAATCTTTGAAGGAAGCAGTAAATCCTTCTCTGGACATGGAAGATGTAAAAATGGAATCTTCTAGCATTTCTATACCCACCACATTTGAAACCACAGAGATGGTCTCCAAAAGTGATAGCCACTTGCTGAATAAATTCTTCCATTAGCACATGGAGAAAAGAGCCAAGGATCACTGTTATTCATTATGTGTGATATGTTCTTTTCAGCTTCCTGAGTCTCATTTTGCTATGGGGACACCTGTTTCCTCGAGCTAAATCGGACTGGGGATGATGAGTGACCACATTCATAGTAATATTATTTTCATCACCTCTTTCTCTTACCGTCTACTATAAAACCTCAAATTCCTTTCAAAACGTCCTCAGCTATTTCTAGGAATTGCCAGAAGACACTTCATATATGCTAATGAATAAATTCTCCATGCTATGGTCTGAAGATTTGTATTCCTCCAAAATGTAGATGTTGAAATCCTAACCTGAAAGGTAATAACAGTAGGAAGTGGGGCCTTTGGGAGGTAACCAGTTCATTAGGGTAGAGTCCTCATGAAAGATTAGTGCCCTTATAAGAAGAGACCCCAGGACCGGGCATGGCGGCTCATGCCTGTAATCCCAGCACTTTGGGAGGCCGAGGCAGGTGTTCAAGGAGCCCTGAGCTCAGGAGTTCAAGACCAGCCTGGCCAACATGGTGAAACCCCATCTCTACTGAAAATACAAAAATTAGCTGGATGTGGTGGTGGGCACCTGTAGTCCAAGCTACTCAGGAGGCTAAGGCAGGAGAATTGCTTGAACCTGGGAGGGAAAGGTTGCAGTGAGCTAAGATCATGCCACTGTGCTTCCAACCTGGGTGACAGAGCAAGACTCTGTCAAAAAAACAAAAACAAAAACAAAGAAACAAACAAACCTCCAGAGACATCTCTCTGAACTTCTGCCCCATGTGAGGTTACAGTGAGAGAACAGCCATCTCTAATGAACCAAGTCCTCACCAGACACCAAATCCACTGATGCCTTGATCTTGGACTTCCCAGCCTCCAGAACTGTGAGAAAGAAATGTCTGTTGTTTATAAGCCACCTAGTCTATGGTATTTTTTTATAGCAGCCTGAGTAGACTAAGACAATGTGTATATATGCTTGCCAGGGGCTGGCTAGGGGAGTTGGGAGGATGAGAAGTTGTTATTTAATTGGTACAGAGTTTCAGTATTGCAAATGAAAAGAGTTCTGGAAATGATGGTGGTGATGGTTGTACAATGGTGTGAATATACTTAATGTCACTGAACACTTAAAAGTTGTTTAAGTGGTATGTTTTAGGTTATGTATGTTTAATTACAGTAAAAAATATTTAAATAAAATAATAAAATATGTGTAACAAGGTTAGTCCAAAAACAAACAAACAAAATCCCTGGGCCTCTGGATAGGTCTGCTTTCCAGAAAGGACTCAATTTAGGCTCAAGTTAGATCTCCAACAGCACCTGCATTCAAGATATTCAAGGTGGGGCTAGCCATCACTGCAGTGATAAAGGGCTATTTTATGGAAGGCCCATTTTCTTCTACCAGTATTTCCACACAGGGATTCCTTCCCAGCATTTCTCAGAAAATTTATATTTCTCTTAATCCCAAGAAAAATCAATCAAGAAGGCAAGAAAATGGGAAAATATGATTCTCCTGTGAGAATTAATGCTTCACAATCACCAGACGGTGGTATCACAATCATCAGACGGTGGTATCACAGTCATCAGATGGTGCTATCAGTTTGAAGGAATTCATGGACACCTAGCTAAAAGCAATAGCAGGAAGTGCTGGCAAGTGGAGCCCAGAACAAGGTGGGCACACAGGAGGTGGGTGGCCGCAGCATCATCCGTCTTGCTTACAGCTGCCCTGGCATAAGTGAGTGTTCTTGGGGCCAGTGTGCTTCTAACAGAAAATCATTGTACAAATAAAATAAATAGTACTAAGTTTTATGCACAGAATACATTATATGAGTCCTCTAAGTGACGTTTCAAGAGGTAACAAGTTTTGAAAGTAAAATAGATACTTCAGTCCATCCTGCTGCATGCTAGTAAGATCAGGGTAAGATCTCCTTGCTAGTAAACTTACTCCTTGCTAGTAAACTTACTAGTAAACTTGCTAGTAAATTTACTAGTAACCAAATGTTACAGTATTTGAATACTACCTAGTAACATTTACTGGTGTTTTCCAGTATTTGAATATTCTCCGTAGACTATAATTTCTTACAAATATTTTACCAGAAAAAAATGCAAAGAGAATATGACATGAATGCTGTCATGGAATGCGTCAATATAAAACTAGAAATTGATCTTAAAGCTGTCAGCATAAGCAGTATTGATTTCAATAGCAAAATCAAAGTCAGGAAAAGAAAACAAAATATTTTTATCTTAAAAAAAAGGAAATGAGGCTGAGCATGGTGGCTCACACTTGTAATGCCAGCACTTTGGGAGGCCGAGGCAGGCAGATCACTTGAGGTCAGGAGTTTGAGACTACCCGGCCAACATGGTGAAACCCCATCTCTACTAGAAATGAAAACATTAACTGGGCATGGTGGGGCACACTTGTAATCCCAGCTACCTGGGAGGCTGAGTCTTGAGAATCACTTGAACCCAGGAGGTGGAGGTTGCAGTGCCAAGACTGCACCACTGCACTCCAGCCTGGGCAATGGAGTGGGACTCCATCTCAAAAATAAAAAAAATAAAAAAGGAAGTGAGCTTAAATGGAGCTGCATGAACCCTAAGATCCAACTTGAAACTGTTTTTGCATGCACTTTTCACAATGCAACCCATGTCGACACAAAGTGAAAGAAATCTTTCTACATCTAAAATGTTTGTCAGGAAACAGAGAGCCCAACTATTGGATGAGGCAGTGAATGTTTGGTGTTCTTTAAATTTTCCATTGGAGAATGGCAACTTTTAAATATTGAATATTGGTAGTATCTTTCCATTTTTAGAGTCATTTTTATTTGACATTTATTTGGTGCTAATGGTCCCTTCTTTAGTAGTATTTCCTATTATCAAATGTTTATATCAAGTAAACAACACTTTTACCTGTTATTTAAATATATAATATTTTCATGATGTATCAGTTAATATAAACTAAGCATATATTACATAGCATAGACTTCTCTATATGGAAAACCCTTGTATAACTCTATTTCAAGTAGAGTAACAATTTATTACTATCGTCAGTCATGATTTTTAAATTCATAAATAAAGTATTATAAAACTTACAGAATAAGTTATGATTTGAAGAATTCCTGGGGATTGCCAGGGATTCCAATTGCTCATTCTTGAATACTGAATATTAATATCTGTCAGGAATTTGGAAATGCTATTTCCTGCCCATTTATTAATGACAATACATCATAGAGCTTGCACAAAAGTCTAACTCAGTTCAGCTGAACTTCATTTGCCTATGGGTAAATAGGTAGGCTCTGATCTTACTACACACTGCGTATCTAAGGGATTCACTGGATTGAGAAATTACTTGCTGGAAACTAGGCTTTGCAGAAAATTCTTTCAAGTGGTCAAATATTCATACTACTTAGTAATTTTACAAAATAATTAGACATTGTATTTCAACATTTGAGATGTTGAAGATGATAAAAAATTTTTATGAATTTTTTCTGAATGGTTCAAGAAGTTTTATTGCTGGACCTCCTCCATTATGAAATGGCCTCATAGATAACAACGTGGAATCTTCTAGAAGGAGAAAATACATTCTTTGTGACAGATAAAGTTCACAGTTTAAGAAATAATCTCGTTTAACTTCTAAACACATTTGCTCATGAAAATTAAAATAAAAAGTTATTTGGGCCTGCAGATGAGTCCACTTGAATCCATATGAGTCTAGGAGTGCTACCGAGTTGATATTTATCAATGTTTACTGCAATTTGTCATGGCTTTATTGCCCTGCCCTTGCTAGCAATAACTTGAGAAAAATGATTGAATGCTCTATAATAAATATTGAAGAATAATACTTATCTATGTGCTATTATTCAAATTTATTGCCACCTCTATAATTAGGACAAAACTTCTATAATGGGTAAAATATTGTCTTATTCCTGATTCCCTAGAAAGCAGAGCCTGAGGCAAGGATTGAGTCTTGATGCTTCACTTGGCAGGAGCAGTCCCAGAGTAGTGAGAGTGAAAGAGGAAGGAAATGAATCCAAGAAGGAAGGAAAGCAATGCAAGCTCTTGCATGCTACAGTACTGGCCAGGCCTCACAACGAGCTGTGATGACACTCATGGAGCCACACATGTCTAGACAGGCTATACAGAGAAGCTGTGGCTTGGGACCAGCTATGGGAGGAAGTAAGAAGCAAGAATTTCTTTACCCATCTCCTTCCCATATCCTAGTTCCATTTGCCAAAGTTTGCCCCATGGAGACATTTCTGGGTTGCATCATGTGGCTGCTCTAGAAATATAGTCCCATGCCCCACCCTGTGGCATCTCACCCAAGTTCTTAAAGAAGGGGAAAGGCCAGAAGTTTGGGGATAGAGACTGGTTTGTCTGGCTGCGCAATGCCCCCTCTGACTGGTGATCTCCAGGCAGTAGAGCTGTGCAATGCCAAGGAGAGGAGGAAGGCCAGAGCAGCAGCCAACACAGAACAGGCATCATCAGAATCCAGAAGACATGTGTGATGTGCTGGCTCCAAGGATCTCATGTCAGAATGTCAAAGATTGTTTTTGGGTGTTATAGGATGAATAGGGTCCCCTTAAAATGCATGTGTTTAAGCCCTAACTCCCACTACCTTGGAATGGGACTGTATTTGGAGATAGGACCTTTAAAGAGGTAATTAAAGTGAAACAAAATCATTCGGGTGGATCCAAACCAATATGACCGGGTCCTTATAAGAAGAGGCGATTAGGTCACAGATACACACAGAGGGAGGATTGTGTGAGAAGGAAGAAGACAGCTATCTACATGGCAAAGACAGAGGCCTCGGGAGAAATTAACCCTACCAACAGGCTGATCTTGGACTTCCAGCCTCCAGAACCGTAAGATAATAGATAGCTGTCATTTAAACCAACCAAGCTGTTACCCTGTTATGGCAGTCCTCGCTGACTAATAAACAGGGATAGATCAGAAAACAAGAAAACCAAATCCTGCTCTGACTCCCTTTCAGGTTTTTCGCTCATTTGCATTCCCTTGAGGTCCGTTTCTAGAGCAGCCAAATTATTAGTTCTTTGAATCCACCAGAATGAGTGTGGACCTTCTTAATTTCTTTTAATCGAAATGAGAGTCTACAATAAAGCACGAGATGTTTTGCTAGTAGAATACAGCAATACAGTCAAATAGGCATGATATATTTCAATGAATAATTTATGTATTGCACTGGTATTAGCTCAACAATGCTTTTACTACCACTTTCTGGGACATAGCAACAATTATTAATATATTAACACACTGATTATTGAGACGGTGGAGCAACTTCAAGTCATTAAAAGAAATTTAAAAATAATAGAAGTTATAATATATTCTACCAAAAAAAAAAAAACGAGAATATGCAGAATCCACAGTGATACAAAGAAAAAAATGAGGAAAGCAAAATTGGCTGAAATACCAAACCTTTACATGGCTGTGATGAATGTCAACTTTATACAATTATTGGTTTATTCAGTTCTGTTGCTGCTTCAGGAATCAGAAAAAATCATGTGAATGGAACAAAATATATCTAAAACGATCAAAAATGAGAGACCAAGGGAAGTTCCTGTGCTGTGAACAAGAAAATAGCAAACCAAAGTACTGTTTTATTTATGCATTTTATCAGAGGATTTACTAGTGCCCTACAAACACTCTTTAATTAGACTCATTTACATGATAGCAAGATAAATGAGTATTGTTCTATGCTGCTTTATGTTACTTCTTCTCCCCTTTCTCTGCCCATTAGCTGTCTCTTTTTCATCTGGAAAGTCCTGGGCTTTTTCTCATGCCTCATGTTTTACATTATCTTAATTGCATTTTATTGTTTCTCCATTTAGACAACCTATTTTGAATAATATCAACATTCCTTTGAGTGCCCTTGTAGGAGTCATGGAGTTAGTAGAGAAGGGAAAGAGAAAGCCAGCCCCTGTCCTCAAAGTATTTACTATCTAGAATGAACAAGCACATAGAGGTTAGGGCCAAGTCTATTTAGTTTGCTTACAGTTTCTGCTTACAGAGTCCTGGTGCCAGGTATAAAATGTGAAGGCATTTGGCTCCTCCACTCTGCGCCTTTTCCCTATGCCTCCACCATGTCAAGCTCCCCTTCAACTGTAAAACGAATAAGTAAATTGTGGTATATTTATACAATGGGAAATCATAAAGGAATAAGAATGAAGAATTTACAACTACACTCAACAACACAGATGAATCTCACACACACAAAGTTGAACAAAAGATACCAGACATTAAAGGGTGCATACTGCGTAACTCATGCTTAATGCACAGAGTGCACAAAAGCAGGCAGGGCTAAGCTCTCTTGGTAGAAGTCAGCAAAGTGGCTACTCTGGGAGTTGGGTAGGGAGAACAGTGCCTTGTTAGGAGCATGAGGTGAGTGGGCCTGAGGTGCAGGTGACATTTTCGTTCTTCATCTGAATGCTGGTTTAAATGGGTATGTTCAGTGTGTGAAAATTCATTGAACTGTACACTTATAATATATGCATGTGTCTCTATGTATATTATACTTCAACACAGAGTTTGTAAAAATGTGATCAAAAGGTGCCCACTAAAACAAAGTTTTTGTAATATTGATAATAACCGGGCTCCCAGTTTTGCAGATTTGTCATAGAAACAGCTAAGAATAATACTTCTTCATGGCCAGCCTCGAAAGGAGACATTGTTTTGTTCAAAATGCTTACCAGGGTCTCCATAGCTAAGTTCCCTTGACATCTTGGCTGACAGAGGAATCTGCAACATAACTGATTTGCTTTTGTATCCTGCACCACTCCCAATGATAGGCTAAAAGCCACAGGAAATTAGGCTAAAATAATGAAAACAGTTGACCCCATTTTTAAAGGCAGCAAAGGGTATGTGGCTAACAAGAACTACAAGTAGGGTGCTAGCTGAATGAAGTAAAAGTATTTTTAAATTATTTCTGTTCGATGTGGGAGAAAAATGCCTTTTAAAACACACATCTTGTAGTCTAGCACCCATAAAGCAAGAGAGATCTAATGGATGCACGATCAGGTGGGAAATGAACAACTTGCAAATACAAAAGAGACTGAAAAACCCTGTGTAACACATCTACACAAAAGAAATATACATGGAATCAATTGTGGCAAATTAGCTTTTGTAAAAAAAAAAAAAAAAAAATCTCCTTAAGGAGCAACACAACCGAAAGGGAAATCAATGGAATTTTACAAAATAGAAGATGGTGTTGTATAGTTTAAGATCTATATTTAATTGGTATCATTGGAAGTGTTTGCACTTTGCTTCCACATATATCCAGAGCATGTAGTATTTTAAAACAATTCACAGGTCCAAATTGCAAAATCACAATAATAATAATGTTGTATTATATCAACCAAAGCTAAGCTTCTTAAAACCTGATTAGATACATGCTAAATCATGACATGACAGATACAGAATGAATCCATAATGTTGATTCAAACCAGGACTTAGGAAAATGGTTCAGAATATAAAATTATGGAAAACATTACAGTACATCAAAGCAAAGCAAGTTTAATTAGGCTTAGTTTGATAATTGCCGAAAACAAAGAACTTGCCTCATAGCAGGCTGGTGTAAAATCCAGCAGTAAGTCCAGTTGATTCAAATTAAAACGGCCCTATCTACCATCCCACATGAATCCTTTTATCTGAAGGCTACAGAGAACAAAGAATTACAATTCAGCTCAGAATTACAGAGGGTCGGTCGTTTTATCATCACGGTTTGCTTTGGCTAAAACCTGACTCTGTGTGTTTCACTTCTTTCTTTTTAAAATATGACATATAAGGACTTTAAGGTAAAAGCCAAGTGACTAACTAATACTAGCAAAAGCCAGCAGGTAGGTGTATTTCTTCAGAATATTTACCTCCGAAGGATCCATTTCCAGTTTTCCCCACACAGGAGTCATAGGGGAACAAAATTCATAGTCTTGCAACCAGATTCTCCTCAGTAGTACTGATTTTCTAGATTGGAAATGTAGAAACTGACCTCTCTGAAGAATGATACAATCTCTTCCAAATTTAAATAGATTAGGAACATCCTACTATTAATTGCGGCAAAGTGTTATTGCTATGCTAATTTTTCAAAGTAGAAAACTATAAGAGGAAATCTAGAAGCCAGGAAAAAAGAGGTGAAGAGAGAGTGTTATCAGATCTTACTCCCACCACCACCCCAACCCCATGCCCCTCTCCCCTACCCACCACTGCCTCCCACCCCCACCCCGCCCTGTCCAGAACCTCATCATACATCACCAAGACTGCCGCCAATGTCCCCTCAGTGCTTCCTGACTTTGGGCTCCTCCAGCCACCTACTTTCTTTTTTTTTTTTGAGACGGAGTCTTGCTCTGTTGCCCAGGCTGTAGTTTAGTGGCACAATCTCAGCTCACTGCAACCTCTGCCTCCCAGGTTCAAGCAATTCTCCCGTCTCAGCCTCCTGAGTAGCTGGGACTACAGGTGCCTGCCCACCACCAAACCTGGCTAATTTTTGTATTTTTAGTAGAGATGGGGTTTCATTGTATTGGTCAGCCTGGTCTTGAACTCCTGACCTCAGGCAGCCACCTACTTTCAACACTCTTGCCTGAACTGTAGTTCTGAAAAATAAATATGATCGTATCATCTGCTCACTTATAAAATGTCACTGAAATTTTTTAAATTCAATACTAATATGAAAAACATTCAACCTCACTAATAATAAAAATGCTAATTAGAATAGCAAGTATCATTTTTTGTTTATGAAATGGACACAAATGTCAAAAAAATGATTAGTGCTGACAAGGGAGTTATGGAAGAGGCACATTTATAAATATCGCTAGTGAAAGCACCAATTAGAACAGGCTTTTTGAAAATCAATTTGACCATATAATATTATGAGCATTCAAAAGACTGTTATACGCTTTGACCCTACTTCTAAGAATTTATCCTAAAAAGTAATCAAAGATATGAACAAAGATTTATGTAGAAGAATAATCATGGCCGGTTAAAGTTGTGACCATTAGACTCTGCTAAGGATGGCAATTTTAACCTGCCATGATTCATTAAGAAAATGTGGCCATAAGGCCACCCCAAGACAGATGGGGCATCCTAGGGCAGAACTCTGAGGACAAGAAGTTCAACAGCTAGCACTGTTTGTGCATACGTTCATTCACCGGTCTCCAGGGCAAGAGAGAAGATGAAGCTGAGGGTTAAGGTCAGGGTACAGGAGTAGATGAGAAGGAGCAAGTTGTCCTGATTTGTTGCTGACACTGCATTCAAAAATGTACTGACTTTCAAATTATACATACCCATAATAAAGAATTGAAGTAATATAGAAAATACAAAATAAAGATTTAGAATTTAGCCTGAAGACCACCACATAAAGTTTTGTTTGTTTGTTTGTTTGTTTGTTTGAGACAGGGTCTAGCTCTTTCACCCAGGCTGGAGTGCAGTGGCACAATCTAAGCTCACCACAACCTCCACCTCCTGGGCTCAAGCAATCCTCTCACCTCAGCCTTCCAGGCTTCCAGATAGTTGGGACTACAGGCATGTGCCACCATGTCCGGCTAATTTTTGTATTTTTTTGTAGAGCCAGGGGTTTGCCATTTTGCCTAGGTTGGTCTCAAACTCTTGGGCTTAAGGGATCTTCCCTCCTTGACCTCCAAAAGTGTTGGGATTACAGGCGTGAGCCACCACGCTCAGTGAAATAAATTATTATTCATATTAAAGTGCACTTCATTCCAGGCAGTTCTCCATGCATATGTAGACTAGCTGGAGAAATACCTTTATAAAAATAGGATTATAATATGACTTCTATTTTTATTAAAAAGTATTACATTTAATTTTACTTTAACAGAAGGAATAGCAAATAAAGTGAAACTAAAGAAATTGCTGAAGTCTAGATAAATATTTTTTCACCACCAGAGGTAATATTTAATAAAATATCTCTCCAAGGTTAAGGTAAAAAAATATTGGAGTCATTTAGTTTAAGATATGTACATGCTTTAATCTTAGACAGTATCAATACTGTCTGTAATTAAAGATAAGGAACTAGCAGTCTTATATTTCCTTTTACCTTCTCATTTTTTGTAAGCTCTATTATTCTTCTTTTAATTGGAAGTGTATATAATAATATTGACGTTCTGCTCTATTATTATAATTCTTACAATCGTTTGGTCTTAGTTCTGTGTTTAAATTTATTGTTTAGAGAAGCATATATATGTAGTAAGGCTTTTTTAAGAAGCAAGAGAATGCTAGACACAAGAGTCAAGAGAATCATGTTTTCCATTTGAGGATGTAAAGTGATGAGGGCAAGAAGGACAGATAGTTCACTCCAAATGCACTGGGCAGAATGTTCACAATTGTTCATGTGTTTATTTCCAATCTGTTTTTATACACACATTAGCAAAACTGGAAGCTTGGTAACTATTGATACCTTCAAAGTGCTGAGAGTAAAACAACTGTCAACCTAGAATTATATACCCAGCAAAACTATCTTTCAAGAATGAGAGTACAATAAAGACACTTTCAAATAAACAAAAATGAGATACTTTCTAGCAGCAGTCCTCTGTTAAAGAGACTTCTAAAATATAAATTTTAGGAATAAGGAAAATGACACTAGCGGGGAAGTCTGAGATGAAAGAAAAAAAGGAAAAAAAAGAAATTGATATACACGGAGGTGAACCTAAGCTAATAATTTCTATTAAAAATGAGTGAACACTTCCCAACTTATCTATGAGGTCTGGTATGACCTTGATATCTATGTCAGATAATGGCAATATTAAAAAGAAAATTATATTCCTATCAATATCCCAATGCCATTTTTACAGAAATAGAAAAATCTATTCTAAAAGTGACGCGAATCTCCAATGACCCTGAATAACCAAAGTAATTTTGAAAAAGAGCAAAGTTGGAGATCTCACTCTTCCTGATTCCAAAATAGAGCTACCTTAATCAAAATAGTATGTTACTGGCGTAAAGATAGGCATATAGAACAATGGAATAGAATCGAAAGACCTGAAATAAACCCTCATGTGTGTGGCCAAACAATTTTTGACAAGGGTGCCAAGACCACTCAGTGGGAAAAGAATAGTTTCTTCAACAAATGGCATTGGGAACCCTGGATATCCACATGCAATAGAATGAAGTTGGACCCTTACCATACACCATGTACAAAAATCAACTCAAAATAGATTAAAAGTAAGATCTAAAACTATAAAACTCCCAGAAAAAAACATGGGAGAATAAAGAAAATAAAACATAAGGGAAAAGCTTCATGACATTGGATCTAGCAATGATTTCTTGAATATGACACGAAAAGCACATGCAATAAAAGCAAATATAGACAAATGGGACTACCCTAAACTTAAAAGCTTCTACACATCACAGGAAACAATCAACAGAATATCTGTCTATATACAGAATGGGAGAAAATATTTTCAAATCATATATCTGATAAGGGATTAATATCCAGAATATATGAAGATCTCCTACAACTGAACAACAAATAAATAATCCTATTTAAACATGGGTAAAGGATTTTAGTAGATAATTCTCCAAATGGCCAATGAATAAATGAAAAGATGTTCAACATCACTAATCATTAGAGAGATGCAAATTAAAACCATAATGAGATATCATCTCACATTCATTAGGATGGTCCCCATAAAAAAAAAAACAGAAAATAATGAGTGTTGGTAAGGATGTGGAGAAATTGGAACACTCATGCAGTGTTGGTGAGAATGTAAAATGCTGTAGCCACTATGAAAAACAATATGGAGGCTCCTCAAAAAATAAAAAATAGAATTACCACATGATCCAGCAATCCCACTACTGGGTGCAAAGCCAAAATAACTGAAAGTATGATCTCAAAGAAGAATTTGCACACCTGTGTTCATTGCAGCATTAGTCACAATAGCCAAAAGGTAGAAGCAACCCAAATATCCATTGGCAGATGAAAGAACAAAGAAAATGTGGTCTAGCCATACAATAGAATATTATTGTGTCTTTAAAAGGACAGAAATCCTGACACATGCTATAACATGGATGAACCATAGGACATTATGCTAAGTGAAACAAGCATAATATGAAGTACCTAAAGTAGTTGAATTCATGGAAACAGAAAATAGAATGGTTGTTTTCTAGGAACTAAGAGGAGGACAAAAACGGAGTTGTTGTTCAATGGATAGAAAGTTTCAGTTTTGCAAGATGAAAACAGTTCTGGAGATCATTGCAAAAAATATGAATATACTTCATACTACTGAACTGTACACTTTAAAATGCTAAAATTTTATGCGTGTGTGGTTTTTTTTTTGTTTTTTTTTTTTTTGAGACAGAGTCTTGCTCTGTCATCCAGGCTGGAGTACAGTGACATGGTCTTGGCTCACTGCAAGCTCCACCTCCCATGTTCATGCCATTCTCCTGCCTCAGCCTCCCAAGTAGCTGGGACTACTGGCACCTGCCACCACGCCCAACTAATTTTTTTGTATTTTTAGTAGAGACGGGGTTTCACCTTGTTAGCCAGGATGGTCTTGATCTCCTGACCTCGTGATCCACCCACCTCAGCCTCCCAAAGTGTTGGGATTACAGGCGTGAGCCACCACGCCCGGCCTATGTGTTTTTTAAAATGAAAAATTCTCCCAGGAATACAAAGACACTTAACTTAGGAAATCTAAAAACATAATCCCCACGTTACAAAATTAAAGGGGAAAAGTCACATAATCACCTCGTAGATGTAAAAACAGAGTTTGATAAAATGTAACCTGCTTATTACCTCTCTAACTTATTATCAGTCTGCTTATTACCTCTCTAACTCCATCTCCTGCTAGTCTTTCCCTGATTTCTTCGGTTTCAGGCATGCTAGTCCCCTTGCTATTTCTTAAGTCATGCACATTCTCACCTCCATCTTTGCACCTGCTATCCCTCTGTCTGGAATGCTTTCCTGACACATATGTGCCTAGCCTGCTTCCCTGGCTACTTCAAGCATTTGCTCTAATAGTGCCTTCTCAAGGCCTTCCCTTGCCACCCTATTTGAAACTGCATCTCCCAGCCCCAGCACCTCCGCCCCCTTCCCTTGCCTCAGTTTTCTCCATAGCATTTATCACCTGCTAGTACACTACATTTATTTATTGTGTTTTCCTCCACTATACTGCAAGCTTCATGAGGGCAGGACTTTCTGTCTGTTTTGTTTGGAGAGGAATCGCTGGTGCTTAGACAGATGCACTAGATAAGTACTCAATAAATATTTATTGCATGAATGCATAAAAGATAAATTCTTTTGGAAGAACAGAAACAGAACAGACTTGATTTTCTGGATAAAGGATATCATTACTAAAATCCTTCAGCAAACATCATGGCTAATGATGAAATGTTAAATACTTTCTCTTGAAAATTATGAGTAAGTTAAAAATGCCCAATATCCCTGCTTCTATTACAGGTTTTACTAGGGAGTTCTAGCCACTATAGGCAAATGAAGGAGAAAATGGGATTAGGGGAAACAAATTTCTCTTTATTCAGAGATATGATTATTCACATACAAAACCCTTTAAAGTTATAGATTATTTAAATAAATTATTAGAATTAATAAGAGGGTAGAATAAAAGATGAATGTAAAAATCAATCATATTTTTATATAACAGAAAGATGATTTAAGAAAAAACACCATTCACGATGACAGAAATGCGTCTATGAAATCATCAAAAGGCAACAACTTTATAGAGAAAAATTTAATGAAAATTGCTCAACTAAATGTAGAGACATACCATGTTTATGATTAGGGAGACTCACTATTGCAAATTGACATATATATTTAATGCAATTCCAATCAAAATCCCAACAGTGATTTTTGATATATTTGATAACCCAATTCTAAAATTTATGTGGAAGAGCAGAATCCCAAAAATAACCAAGACGCTCTTGAAGATGCTTAAGATGCTGAGCTAGCCCAAACAATATTGTCACCAAGCACAAAGCTAAAGTAATGAAAACAGTGTGGTACTGGCATTGGTGTAGACAATTTAAAAATGAAATAGAAAAAATGTTAGCAGCAAAGCTTATCATAGGGTATGTAGATTCTTGAAATACAATAGCCATGGCATGGTGGATCAACCGGGTCGGGAAAAAAATATAATTGAATCTCAATGTCACATACTATATATGACATTCAATTCCTGATTATTTTATTTTTATTTTTTAATTTTTTTTGGAGACAAGAGTCTCATTCTGTTGCCCAGGGTGAAGTGCAGTGGTGCAATCTTGGCTCACTGCAACCTCCACCTCCCAGGTTCAAACGTTTCTCCTGCCTTAGCCTCCTGAGTAGCTGGGATTACAGGCACCTGCCATCATACCCGGCTAATTTTTGTATTTTTAGTAGAGACAGGGTTTCACCATGTTGCCCAGGCTGGTCTTGGGCATAGTGGCAGGCGCCTATAATGCCAGCTACTCAGGAGCCTGAGGCACAAGAATTGCTTGAACCCAGGAGGCGGAGGTTGCAGTGAGCCAAGATTGCACTAATGCACTCCAGCCTGGGTGACACAGCAAGACTCTGTCTCAATAAATAAATAAAATGCTGATAGTAATAATTTTTGTTTGTTTGTTTCACTTATTTTTATTTTTTAGTGTTGTTAATTTCATTGGGTATTGTGGGAGGGTGATTCTATGATCCAGTTTCACTTGGCCTTCTTTACTTAAATGTCTTCCATAGCCCCAGTATTAACATTCTGATGCTGGGTCACACATCTCTAGAACCTGCTAATACTTATTAGTGTTTTTAACCCAAGAAACTGTATTAGAGACAAATTTCTCTATCACATATTGTCAGGTTGAGACCAAAATAGAACGAATTGAGAAAAGAAATATATGCATTTACTTAAGTCTATTCTTAACAACAATATGGAACGTTGGAACGTTGCCTTTGGAGCTCCCCTGAGGAGTCCACACAATCCACTTTATAATAGCTCTTAAGGATCATTATTTAAAGTCCTCTGTTGATCTGGCCCAACCCTAAGTGTCCTTGTTTTATAAGCATGTGGAGTTATGAGATTTTGAATTAATCAATTAGTGTTCACTGGGTACCTACTATGTGCTCAACTCTGCACCCAGTGCTATGGGAGAGGCTCTGTTCTCAGTGCCGTGAGGGACTAGCTAAAAGTATTCGACAGTCTCTGACCTTCCAGAATCTACCAGTTGGGGAGATAAGATGTATTCGCCCAAAACATTGTATAACAGTTCAAAACAGGAGATAAATACTCCACTCTGGGCTCAGACTCTGTCTAAAGGTTTGATTAGACTGATTAAATCCATTGGGAAGGCCCTGAGAGGTCATTTTGTCCAACTTCCCACATTGAAGCACTCATGATAAATGTCTATTTGTTGAGCAGCCATTGCCGGTCATTAACTGATAACTGCAACTGACACTTTAAAAATGGGAAATTATTGGGCTCTTTGTGTGTGAAAGGTTTTTGAACTACCTATTAAGCCAACCAGTTTTCCCTCAGAAGCTTATAAAACTGTCATTTTGAGTCACACTGAGCCAGCTACAGGGTCGTTGATTGCTACCCTGGTGCAGGGGGACAAAAGTTAACTTATGTTGAGCAAGAGGTTGGCTGCAACGAGCCCCACTACCCTTCTATCTTCCCTAAAACTTAACATGTACCTGTCTTCCATGAATCAAAGTCGATATTTTTCAACATAAATTTCAGCGTATGTGACAATGCAGTGTAAAAAAAAAGGTGGAACCAGCCCTGGGTTCAGAATCTAGCTCTGCATTTTCTAGCTCTGTGACCTTGTTCCTCAAGTTTCTTATATGCAAAATGGAGCTAGGAAGACCTGGAGGTTGTCCTGGGGATTCACGTAGTAGTGTGGGGAGACCACAGGGCACTGAGCAGTACTCGGTAACTATTAATGCTCTTGCCTTCTTTTGTTTTTGTTTGTTTGTTTATTTTTAAAGACAGAGTCTTGCTCTGTCTCCCAGACTGGAGTGCAGTGGTGCAATCATAATCATAATTCACTGCAGCCCTGAACTCCTGGGCTCAAGCGTTCCTCCTGCCTCAGCCTCCTGAGTAGCTAGGACTATAGGCAGACACCACCATGCCCAGCTAATTTGTTGCTCTGGCTGGTCTTGAACTCCTGGATTCAAGCAATCCTCCCTACTCGACCTTCCAAAGCACTGGTATTCCAGTTAAGAGCCACTGCACCCCACTTACTCCCTTCTTTTTGTGAGAATTTTTTTACATCTATAGGCATAATGGGGCCCACAAATTTTAGAATTCATTCATTCAGTATTCATTCTAGGATTTCATTCATTAAGTATTTCTAAAACCTTTGCTGAATCCATGATATTGTAGCGGTATAGAGGGTAGAGAGAGACAGAGTGATGAGATTAATGAGGTCTTTATGAAGGATGTAAAAAACCAGAGCTGAAGCTTAACGAATATTCAGGCTTTCGGTAGGCTGCAAAGAAAGGAGAGAACAAGGTTGAGCTGGGGCCTCCATGAGCAAAGTTGAGAAGTGGGAATGAATGTGCCATTCCCTAGCGTATTAGTCTGTTTTCGTGCTGCTGATAAAGACATACTTGAGACTGGGTAATTTACAAAGAAAAAGAGGTTTAATAGACTCACAGTTCTACGTGGCTAGGGAGGCCTCACAATCATGGCAGAGGGCAGAAATCACATCTTCCATGGCGGCAGGCAAGAGAGAATGAGAGCAAAGTGAAAGGGGAAACCCCTTATAAAACCGTCAGATCTCATGAGACTTATTCATTACCACGAGAACAGTATGGGGGAAACCACCCCCATGATTCAATGATCTCCCACTGCGTCTCTCCCACAACATTTGGGAATTATGGGAGTTACAATTTAAGGTGAGATTTGGGTGGGCACAGCCAAACCCCATCACATGGTTTAAGGAGGTGGACGATCTTACTCTAGCAAGAAGCTGTATGACAGATGCACATGACAGCAATAACTGAAGCACACCCTAAGAATGACCCTATGCTCTAACAAGAGTGTGTGTTCAGAGTTCCCAGCTAAGGAATCTGGGAGTGGCCAACCTGGAGATTCACTGTCTCTACGAAAGGCAACCGAACCCCTGTTCCATTCCTTGGAAGGCAGGCCATGTAGGGGATGGAGGCCTTTTTTGGGGGTGGGTTAAATGTAGGTTGCTAGGTAAAACGTGCTGAGTTAAAATTGCTACATATATGCTTTCTTTCTTTCTTTTTTTTTTTTTTTGAGACGGAGTCTCGCTCTGTCGCCCAGGCTGGAGTGCAGTGGCACCATCTCCGCTCACTGCAAGCTCCGCCTCCCGGGTTCACGCCATTCTCCTGCCTCAGCCTCCAGAGTAGCTGGGACTACAGGCGCCCACCACCACGCCCGGGTGATTTTTTTTTCGTATTTTTAGTAGAGACGGGGTTTCACCATGTTAGCCAGGATTGTCATGATCTCCTGACCTCATGATCTTCCTATCTCGGCCTCCCAAAATGCTAGGATTTCAGGCATGAGCCACCGCGCCCGGCCTGTATATATGCTTTCTACAAGAAGTAGCACTTCTCCTATCCAGCCTGCCACACTGGACAGCCCGTTTGTGAGTCCTCAATAAACCTCATGTCTCATGCTGGCTCCAGGTCTCTTCTTCGGCCTATTGGAGTCAATAGGGGTTGACAGAAGCAAGGCAAAGGAATAATCATTTTTGAGAACGTGCTGTGTGCCAAGCACCTTTGCAGGCTCATTTAGGTAAATTATTGCACACAGTCCTCCCAACAAGTCTATGAAGTGGATATATGTATCCATTCCACAATTATTTATTGAGCGGCTATAACTTTATTTGCAAGAAATTAGAAGTTAAACTTGCTAGAGGCCATGCAGTCGACAAGTAGTAGAACTAGAATCCACACCCAGAGCTGCCTGCACCAAGCTTATGCTTCCTCCATCTACAAGTTGCCAACTCCATATGAGGAATAGTGTATAGATAATTAGAGTGTATATTAGGGTTCTCCAGAGAGACAGAACCAACAGAACCAACAGGAGATACATATATCTAGAGAGAGAGAGAGAAAGAGAGATGATAAGATATTGGCTCACATGATTATAGAGGCCAAGAAGTCCCATGATCTGCCATCTGCAGCTGGAGACCCAGCAAAGTCAGTGGTGCAGTTTGAAGCCCTCCTGAGAGCCAAAGACCTAATTCTGTAGACTCCAGTCCAAGTCTGAGGGCCTGAGAACTAGGAGTGCCAAAGGCAAGAAGAAATGAACGTTCCAGCTCACGCAGTCAGAGAATGAATTTTACCTTCCTTATTCTTTTTGTTCCAAGCCTTCAACAAACTGGATGATGTTCAGGCACTGGGAAGGGCTAAGTGCTTTCCTCAGTCTACCAATTTAAATGCTGACCTCTTTTGGAAACACCCCAACAGACACACCCAGAAAGAATTTTAACCAGATGTTTGGGCATCCCATGGGACAGTAAAGGTGACACAGAAAATTAACCATCACAGGGTATATTACAGTGGACTAGAAACCCAGATAGATGAGTCTATAATTTTTGCTGCAGACAGAAGCCACTGAATGTCCAGGTAAATAGTAGGTGGTTATTCCAGTCCCCTCTTAATTGAATTATAAGCGCAGTAGCTAGCCATGTACATGTACCTCATAGACCGATGATTATAAAAATGGTAAGATATAGTTGCCATTCATCCAGATTATAGGTGACATGGCAGTGGAATGCCCAATCCTATACTGCATCCCGTATTGGCAGAAAGAGAAATGTTTTATAAAGCACATTATTGGGCTGATTGATGAAACTGGAATAAGGATAGAAATTTGATGAAAAGTATTCTATCAATGTGAAATTTGCTGAACTTGATTACTACGTTATGGTAAAATAATAGAATAGCCCTATTCTTAGGAAATAAACACTGAAATATTAATGGATAAGGGCTGAATTGAATGCCACTCATTCTCAAATGGTTCAGAAAAATTTTATGAATATATGTATACATACATAGAGAGAGAGAGACTATTCCTATACTTGCAACTTCTCTACAAATTTTCAGTTATTTCCAAATAAAAAATTTCAAAAAGAATGATATGATATTTATGGCCACTTTTATTTTTAAGATTTAGGAATTAGTGCCTTGGTCAAATATCTAAGGCCTAAGGATGAATTACTTTTTGAAATAAAAATCTAGTATAATACTTTTTTCTTCTTTAAAAAAAATCAAATGTGTTCAGGATGCAGAAAGAAAGAGGAATTTAATTAGCACCTAGTGTGTTCTAGGCCCTTTACCAAATGTTCTCAATCTTCCAAACACGCCTTCAAAGTGGATTTAATCCCCATTTTGGAAATCATGAAACTAGGTTCAAAGGACTCAAAGTTTCTAAGGTAAGTGGTGAAACTGCATTTGAATCCAGGTTTATTGAACATTCATAATGTCAAGTTGAATGCTCATCACTAAATATAAGGTATGAGAATATCACAATCATCTGATTATTCATAGGTAAAGTGAAAGTGCATTTGTATAAAACATATTACCTTTGATATTGAACAAATGCTGGACAATATCCACCCTTTTCCTGGGGTCATAGTTAGGATTATTTGCCATTGTTTTACAAGGTGTCCCTTCTGAAGCTTTGATGAATGAGGTAAATCACCAACTAAAGCAGCTGAGTCACAAAGCCAAGGGAGTTCTAGCTCCAGCAGAAACTCCCAGCAGGAACCTCACCTGCTAACGGGTGGCTCACCCACCCATTAGATCCCAACCATCACTCTGCATCACACACACGTGCACATGCACACGTATGCACGTGCACGCATACACAACACCCTCCATGTGTACTGCACTTAGTCCCTTACTCCCTGTATTCATCAGGGCTTTCCAGAAAACTGAACCAATAGAATATCTATAGATGTATAGAAAGACTTATTATGAGGGCTTGGCTCACACAATCACCGAAGCCAAAAAGTGTCATAATTTGCCATGTGCAAGCTGGAGGCCCAAGAAAGCCAGTGGTGTCCTTCCAGTCCAAGCCCAAAGGCTGAGAACCAGGAAACTGACAGTGTAAGTCCCAGTCTGAGGTGAAAACCCCCAAACCAGGAGTGCTGATGGCCAGGGGCAGGAGGAGATGGACGTCCCAGGTCCAGAAGAGAAAGTGATTTCCTCCTTCCTCTGCCTTTTTGTTCTATTTGAGCCCACAACAGACTGGATGCTGCCCACCCATATTGGTGAGGGTGGGTCTTCTTTACTCCATCTACTGAGTAAAATGGTAATGTCTTCCAGAAGCACCCTCAACAGACATGCCTAGAAACAATGTGTTACCAGCTATCTAGGCATCCCTTGGCCCAGTCGACTTGACACATAGAAGTCAACCAACACACACCCTACCCACCCAAACCTATACACTCCCAGCTGGAGACACTGTCCTTCCCACCCCATCAGCACCTGTTATCGAGGGCCACAGGAGCTCAGTCCATAGTGACTCAGGACCACCCAGTGTCCCATCTCCACAGGTAATTTCACCCAACAATGCACTTCACCGATTCCATTTCCTTTGTCGCTTTCTCCACTGTGATTCCAAACAGACTTAAATGATGTTAAACCAGGCTAAGAGTGTGTTTGGAGGGAAGATAGAATAGAATTGAATGTAAGAAGTGTCAGTTATCACAGACTTGAGTTCATCTTTTCCCTGCCACGGTGGCATTTGAAATTTTTCTATTACTCATTTAGATTCCAATCTCTGAGCTTCCCTCTTCTTTCTTCCAGCTTCTAAGTCAAAGAGATTTTTCTCAGCAAAATAACCCTTCAGTTACTACCAGGGACAGACTGGTATGTGGGCTAGAACAGATGTACAAGACAAGCTTTACAGGCATTTTAAAGGGTTCAGTGTCAAGATAAAATTTATCTAATACGGCATTTCCTCTGAAGTGCAATTTATTATCCCTTAGATGTTGAACCCCTTATAAATATTAGATTTCCTTTTTTCACAAACCCTGTGTGTTATTTTACCCTTGGTTCAGGACGGGCTTTGAAATTAGATTGACTTGTTTCATTTCTGTCTGTCAATTCCCTTTCTTTACTTCCAATTCTATTTTTTTTCCCTTTGCCTTGAAATGCAATGTATCTTCTAACACTTTGAAAAACAATGTTGATTAGAATTTGCCACTTTTGTGGAAGCTGTTTGTTCCAAAGTGCCTTTCAGCCCATCCACATTCATGAAGTGCCTCCTGGTGAACCCACATCCTAGGAAAACTGATGGTGACCGCAGAGTCACCGTGTGTGTGCCCGCGTGTGACAGTATCTCTGATATCATGAGGCCTTTGCTGTGGCTAAGGGAAGAAACCCAGTTCCTTCTAAAGTTATGAAGACCAACGATCATAGAATATTAGAGCTCAAAGCTGTCATCCTTGTCAGCTGATTCTACGGTAGCAACACCAAGGAAAAGAGTCGTGGTCACAGAGCGTGATCCCAGAAAAGGATGATGGGGTCTTGACCCCCAGAGGACGCCAGGTCATATCACAGTAGCATGTCCAAACAGGTTGACCCAGCCAGGACCTCCTGTGGTAGGAATTAGAAACCCCAGCTCATTACCCACGGATGTCAGAGATCAGGGGGAGATGCATGAAGGCGCAGTGGCTGAGAAAAGCACACCAGAGGGTAGTTGAAGCAAATGCTGGAAATGTGCGCATGGCCTCCGCGGCTTGTGTTCTCTTTACAATGCCTTGGAAGGGGCAGAATTCAGAGACCTTCAGCCTGATTCGCGTGCTCCTCGTGAGGCATTCTGTGGCTTCCCCAAATGAAATTAATCACTGGCTCCAGATACTCCGGCAGCACTTTGTTGCCTTATTTACAGCCCTTGAAATAATGGATGTGGAAGTGCTTTGTAAGCTGAAAAGCACTGTACAAATGTCAGATGTTGGGAGTTTGGCAGGGGAGCAATAGATAATGCATCTCTTCCATTCCTGAGTCAGGGAGCGATTGAGAGCGAGGCACCGGAGCTAGCCAGACGGAGGGCGACAGTCAGGCTGATGACGGATAGCAGCTGGCTCAGATCACAGCCCCCCTGAACTCGCCCACACTTCGCCCAGAATTCAACGGATCCACCCAGCCAAGGCCAATTGCACGCACACTGGAGACAGGCTGAGGAAGGAGTCCAAGCCCCTGGGGGTCCTGGGCGGGGAAGCAGAGCGAAGCCAGAAAGACAGAGGGAAACAGGAAGGATGAGCACAGAGGGCTTCCTGTGCTTCATGCTGTACACATAGTGGGCCTGGGCTGATGCCGAGGACATAGAGATAAATGAGGCCTCAGGGAGCTTATCATCTAGTAGACATTGTTAACAGTCTAAATGGGATAGCCATAGAAGCATGAGGAAGGGTGAAATTCATCCAGCCTGGGTGAGCTGGGGAAGGTTTCACAGAGCGGCTGATAATTGAATTGGCTTTTGGAGTATGAGTAAAAGCTCACCCGATGTAGAAGAGAAGGGAAAGGAAGCAGCAGGACAAACAGGAAAGCTCACACCCTTGCTGGAGTGAAATAGACATGAATAAATGAACACACAAAGGCATGTGAATATACAAAAATATATACCATCCTATCTGAGTTTTCTATACACCAAGATTGAAGTTCAAATTCAGAGTAATATCCATGCTTTTGGGGCCTGACGTGGTGGCTCATGCCTGTAATTCTAGCGCTTTGGGAGGCTGAGGCAGGAGGATTGTTTGAGGCCAGGAGTTGGAGGCTGTGGTAAGCTGTGATCGAGCCACTACACACTCCAGCCTGGGTGATAAAGCAAGACTCTGTCTCAAAAAAAAAAAAAAAAAAAGAAAGAGAAGAAAAAGAAAAAAAGCCGTGCTTTTTATCTTAAGAAAAAGCCAAACAGTTTTGTTTTCTAATCCTACTTTACCATATTTCATGAGACTTTTGGAATTTGCTTTACTGCACAACTCAATCGGAAATAGAAAATAAGAAGAGATACTGTTCCTACTCCTGTTTCTTGGAACATTAGACATTGACATAATAAACAGTAACACTTATTAAAATCTCCTTTCATCTCCTTTCTGTCCTGTTTACTTCTCTCACAGTCTAAATCTGATCAGAACCTCCCTCCTTAACAAGCCCCCTCCGAAACAAATAAAACCTTCTTCAGGTAGGGGAGGGTAATGCCTCCACCTTAATCACTGTGTCCTAACTTAGATGGTTGCAACACATCTGAGATATGTGATATAGATGAGCTATGTAGATGAGAATATGAATTCCCATTCAATACATAGAAAATTTGTGGTTATTCGAGAATAAAATCCACATCCAAACATATTTCCCCCAGGTCTCGGATATTGAAAAGCAAAACATGTGGGCTGCTTTCCTCCAAGTTTAAGTTTTTAGAATCCTCTTACATGCATTTGTCAGAGTTATATTTTTGAGCATCTTCCTTGGTCCTAGGGAATGGAATTGCATCCATCTGTTATCTCAACTTGAGCTTTCCCAAAGCCTAAGGACGGTCCTTGCCTGTAAACTCCAAGATGTCATTTTCTCTGTTTCCATCACACCCACTTCATCAGTCGCTTTCCCTAATTCTCAGGGAGCCCCAGAGCATGTGCCCTTCCCCACCTTGCCTTACTCAGCCGCTCCTGGACTGTCTGTCCAACCTCATGACTCAGCCGGGCTTCACACCAGCGCCCTCAGCAAACAAACACCAATTGGAACTCTTGACCAGAATATTTCTAAATGTCAGCTTGTCCTCACCCTCCACGCAGCTGTTGCTTCTGTTCCCAGGAGCCCATTATTCCACATGGTTATGACTCAGGGCACTGAATCGCTTAAGAAAAAGAAAGTATCTGTAACAAAATGACAAGGAATTGATATATTTAACATAGTGAAAGATAACACACAAAAAAACCATGAAGACCCTCCATCAATAAGTGGATAAACGATTCCCCAAAATTAACTATAAATGATTAACAAACTCCGGTGAAATGTTCACCCTTCCAAGTAATCAAAGCAATATAAATGGAAACAATGATAAGATAAAATTTGATAACAGAGGTATTTAAAAGATAATAAACAATGCTGTCAAGGCTTAGGAAGACAGATATTCTCACACACTTCTGCTAAAGTGGAATAATCTTTGATGAAAGCAATTTCAGTGTATACACTTCCAATTTTAAGAGTCTAACATAAGGATAAAATAAGAATAAAAATATATACACAAGGATACTCATCGTTATTTGTATTAGCAAAAAAAAAAAGTGATAGCCTTAACATCTATTTTTAGACAAATGGTTGAATAAGTTCTTACTGATTATGCTGATAAAGATTTTAATGCATAAGAAAATACATATTTATGCATGTGTCATATAATTATGGAAATACAGGTAGATAAGCAGAGAAAAAAATGAAAGGGAATACACTAACATATTAACAATTATTTGAGTTTAAATGACGAAACTATGGGTGATCTTTTACCTTAAGTTTCTTATGTTGTTCAAATTTTCTCTAATAAGAATGTGTTATGTCTATAGTAAAGTGCAGACATTTTTTTAAAATTATACTTTAAGTTTTAGGGTACATGTGCACAACGTGCAGGTTAGTTACATATGTATACATGTGCCATGTTGGTGTGCTGAACCCAGTAACTCGTCATTTAACATTAGGTATATCTCCGAATGCTATCCCTGCCCCCTCCCCCCACCCCACAACAGGCCCAGGTGTGTGATGTTCCCCTTCCTGTGTCCATGTGTTCTCATTGTTCAATTCCCACCTATGAGTGAGAACATGCGGTGCTTGGTTTTTTGTCCTTGCGATAGTTTGCTGAGAATGATGGTTTCCAGCTTCATCCATGTCCCTACAAAGGACATGAACTCATCCTTTTTTATGGCTGCATAGTATTCCATGGTGTATATGTGCCACATTTTCTTAATCCAGTCTATCATTGTTGGACATTTGGGTTGGTTCCAAGTCTTTGCTATCGTGAATAGTGCCGCAATAAACATACGTGTGCATGTGTCTTTATAGCAGCATGATTTATAATCCTCTGGGTATATACCCAGTAATGGGATGGCTGGGTCAAATGGTATTTCTAGTTCTAGATCCCTGAGGAATCGCCACACTGACTTCCACAATGGTTGAACTAGTTTACAGTCCCACCAACAGTGTAAAAGTGTTCCTATTTCTCCACATGCTCTCCAACACCTGTTGTTGCCTGACTTTTTAATGATCGCCATTCTAACTGGTGTGAGATGGTATCTCATTGTGGTTTTGATTTGCATTTCTCTGATGGCCAGTGATGATGAGCATTTTTTCGTGTGTCTTTTGGCTGCATAAATGTCTTCTTATGAGAAGTGTCTGTTCATATCCTTTGCCCACTTTTTGATGGGGTTGTTTGTTTTTTTCTTGTAAATTTGTTGGAGTTCATTGTAGATTCTGGATATTAGCCCTTTGTCACATGAGTACATTGCAAAAATTTTCTCCCATTCTGTAGGTTGCCTGTTCACTCTGATGGTAGTTTCTTTTGCTGTGCAGAAGCTCTTGAGTTTAATTAGATCCCATTTGTCAATTTTGGCTTTTGTTGCTGTTGCTTTTGGTGTTTTAGACATGAAGTCCTTGCCCATGTCTATGTCCTGAATGGTATTGCCTAGGTTTTCTTCTATAGTTTTTATGGTTTTTCTTCTGTGGTTTTTATGGTTTTAGGTCTAACATTTCAGTCTTTAATCCATCTTGAATTAATTTTTGTCTAAGGTGTAAGGAAGGGATCCAGTTTCAGCTTGCTACATATGACTAGCCAGTTTTCCCAGCACCATTTATTAAATAGGGAATCCTTTCCCCATTTCTTGTTTTTGTCAGGTTTGTCAAAGATCAGATGGTTGTAGATATGCGGCATTATTTCTGAGGGCTCTGTTCTGTTCCATTGGTCTCTATCTGTGTTTTGGTACCAATACCATACTGTTTTGGTTACTGTAGCCTTGTAGTATAGTTTGAATTCAGGTAGTGTGATGCCTCCAGCTTTGTTCTTTTGGCTTAGGATTGACTTGGCAATGCAGGCTCTTTTTTGGTTCCATATGAACTTTAAAGTAGTTGTTTCCAATTCTGTGAAAAAAGTCATTGGTAGCTTGTTGGGGATGGCATTGAATCTATCAATTACCTTAGGTAGTATGGCCATTTTCATGACATTGAGTCTTCCTACCCATGCGCGTGGAATGTTCTTCCATTTGTTTGTATCCTCTTTTATTTCATTGAGCAGTGTTTTGTAGTTCTCCTTGAAGAGGACCTTCACGTCCCTTATAAGTTGGATTCCTAGGTATTTTATTCTCTTTGAAGCAATTGTGAATGGGAATTCACTCATGATTTGGCTCTCTGTTTGTCTGTTATTGGTGTATAAGAATGCTTGTGATTTTTGCACATTGGTTTTGTATCCTGAGACTTTGCTGAAGTTGCCTATCAGCTTAAGGAGATTTTGGGCTGAGACAATGGGGTTTTCTAGATATACAATCATGCCATCTGAAAACAGGGACAATTTGACTTCCTCTTTTCCTAATTGAATACCTTTATTTCCTTCTCCTGCCTGATTGCCCTGGCCAGAACTTCCAACACTATGTTGAATAGGAGTGGTGAGAGAGGGCATCCCTGTCTTGTGCCAGTTTTCAAAGGGAATGCTTCCAGTTTTTGTCCATTCAGTATGATATTGGCTGTGGGTTTGTCACAGATAGCTCTGATTATTTTGAGATACGTCCCATCAATACCTAATTTATTGAGAGTTTTTAGCATGAAGTGTTGTTGAATTTTGTCAAAGGCCTTTTCTGCATCTATTGAGATAATCATATGGTTTTTGTAGTTAGTTCTGTTTATATGCTGGATTACGTTTATTGATTTTCATATGTTGAATCAGCCTTGCATCCGGGGATGAAGCCCACTTGATCATGGTGGATAAGCTTTTTGATGTGCTGCTGGATTCGGTTTGCAAGTATTTTATTGAGGATTTTTGCATCGATGTTCATCAGGGATATTGGTCGAAAATTCTCTTTTTTTGTTGTGTCTCTGCCAGGCTTTGGTATCAGGATAATGCTGGCCTCATAAAATGAGTTAGGGAGGATTCCCTCTTTTTCTATTGATTGGAATAGTTTCAGAAGGAATGGTACCAGCTCCTCCTTGTACCTCTGGTAGAATTCGGCTGTGAATCCATCTGGTTCTCTACTTGCTTTGGTTGGTAAGCTGTTAATTATTGCCTCAATTTCAGAGCCTGTTATTGGTCTATTCAGAGATTCAACTTCTTCCTGTTTTAGACTTGGGAGGGTGTATGTGTCGAGGAATTTATCCATTTCTTGTAGATTTTCTAGTTTATTTGCATAGAGGTGTTTATAGTATTCTCTGATGGTAGTTCTTATTTCCGTGGGATCGGTGGTGATATCCCCTTTATCATTTTTTATTGCGTCTATTTGATTCTTCTCTCTTTTCTTCTTTATTAGTCTTGCTAGCAGTCTATCAATTTTGTTGATCTTTTCAAAAAACCAGCTCCTGGATTCATTGATTTTTTGAAGGGTTTTTTGTGTCTCTATTTCCTTCAGTTCTGCTCTGATCTTAGTTATTTCTTGCCTTCTGCTAGTTTTTGAATGTGTTTGCTCTTGCTTCTCTAGTTCTTTTAATTGTGATGTTAGGGTGTCAATTTTAGATCTTTCCTGCTTTCTCTTGTGGGCATTTAGTGCTATAAATTTCCCTCTACACGTTGCTTTGAATGTGTCCCAGAGATTCTGGTATGTTGTGTCTTTGTTCTTGTTGGTTTCAGAGAACATCTTTGTTTCTGCCTTCATTTTGTTACGTACCCAGTAGTCATTCAGGAGCAGGTTGTTCAGTTTCCACGTAGTTGAGTGGTTTTGAGTGAGTTTCTTAATCCTGAGTTCTAGTTTGACTGCACTGTGGTCTGAGAGACAGTTTGTTATAATTTCTGTTCTTTTACATTTGCTGAGGAGTGCTTTACTTCCAACTATGTGGTCAATTTTGGAATAACTGTAGTGTGGAGCTGAGAAGAATGTATATTCTGTTGATTTGGGGTGGAGAGTTCTGTAGATGTCTATTAGGTCAGCTTGGTGCAGAGCTGAGTTCAATTCCTGGGTATCCTTGTTAACTTTCTGTCTCGTTGATCTGTCTAATGTTGACAGTGGGGTGTTAAAGTATCGCATTATTTTGTGGGAGTCTAAGTCTCTTTCTAGGTCTCTAACAACTTGCTTTATGAATCTGGGTGCTCCTGTATTGGGTGCATATATATTTAGGATAGTTAGCTCTTCTCATTGAATTGATCCCCGACATTTTTTAAAGGTATTTGTATTGGAAATCAAAAGTCCTGCTTACTAGTCCAAGTTTTAAAAGAGTTATCAAGCTTTGTGTAATTCATGTAATCTTTCTGAGCCTAATTTTTCTATTCCAAAAGTGTGGTGGCTTTGTAATGTGTCAACTTGAGAAGAGGGAACTGGTTCCTAAAATTCATTTGCTTGTGAATTCCCAGCTGGGGCAGGTCTCGGAGATTGGGAGGGTAGAGGTAAGGCTGCAGCCATGTGGTTCTCACTCTCAGCAGGCAGGTGCAGGGGATTAGGCAGCTCCCACATGTTGTCACTCACCTGCTGGCTCAGTTGGATCCGGTGAGACAGCAATCAGTCCTCAAGCTGCTTCCCCTTCTCTCACATCCCCATTCGTCTTCTCCAAGTCCTGAACCAAGCGTATATTTACTTCTGTGATCAAGAGTGCCAGCTCCTCCTGCAGGACACCCACACCATCAAGGCCAAGGGCAACAAGAACTGACACAGGTTCAATCCATCCTTAAGGACTCCAACTTGTGCCTCTGGTTCCGTCTCATCCTGACTCTCCCCCAATTTACATATATCTTCCTTGTCCACCCTGCAGGACTCAAACCCCAGGATCAAGTACTAAGAAAACAGCCAGAGAGAGACTTTTCCAATCACCTCCCACAACTGGGTAAGGTCAAATCCTTATAATACATAATAAATAAGCGCATACCTAGCGGCCATGCTTCTCCAATTGAACCATGACTGATATAAGAAAGACGTGGGACTTATTTATTCAAGTCCATGTTTCCATCCAGCCCTGAATTAAGACATGGGGATTTATTTATTAAAGTGTAAGTTTCGTTCCAACCCTAAACTAGAGCATTTTAAAGTAAACTCAAAGTCTCTCTACATCCGTAATCAATAGAAAATCCAGAGACACATCCACTCTACACAAAATTAACAACTGCTGGTTGGACAGTTCAGGGGGAGGTGCCAAGCACACATGGGTATCACCCCTCCTCCCGAAATCCCATGAAAAAGATGACAAGAAGAATTTGAAAGGTATAAACACATAAGAGTCAAGAGAATGGCAGGAGAGCTAACAGTAGGTAAAGAGTTTTAATGGACTGCTAGAAGACATAAAGCAGATGGAAGAATGATGACAAATAAAGGGAAAAGAAGGAAAGTCAGCCTGGAATATAAACGAAGGGGCTGCACGACCTGAAAAAACTCTACTCTGTACTCTGAGATAGCAGGTTACATGAGGCAGTGGTGTGAGAAGTGGTGCTGAGGAGTAATTGAAGGCCTGCAGATGGAGCATGTAGACAGCCCAACCTCCAACTCTTCCCTACCACAGCGCACAAATCTGCCGTAACCGGGAACTTCTCCTACCAAAAATTGAGGACAGTTGATTTTCTCTTTCACTTCTTTTTATTGTGATAAAATACACATAACATAAAATTCATATTCTTAACTATTTTTAAATGTGCAGTTCAGTCGTGCAGGTCAGTGTTTTTGGGTTTGTTGTTGTTGTTGTTTTTGAGACAGGGCCTTGCTCTGTCTCCCAGTGCATTGGCACAATCATAGCTCACTGTAGCTTCCACCTCCCAGCTAAAGCAATCCTCCCATCTCAGCCTCCCAAGTAGCTGGGACTCCAGGTGTGCATCACCACGCCTGACTAATTTTTTTTTTCTTTTTTTTTGGAGATGGGATCTCACTATGTTGTCCAAGCTGGTCTCAAACTCCTGGCCTCAAGCAATCTCCCCTCCTCAGCCTCCCAAAGTGCTGGGATTGCATGAGTCACTGTACCTGACCCCAGTTCAGTGTTTTAAAATATACTCATAATGGTTTTTTGCAGGTTTTTTTTCTTTTTCTTTTATTTATTTTTTATTTTTTTTTTTGAGATGGGGTCTCTCTGTCACCCAGGCTGAAGTGCAGTGGCAGGATTACAGCTCACTATAGCCTCAAGTGATCCTCCCATCTCAGCGTCCCAAGTAGCTAGGACTACAAATGCATGCCACCACACCCAGACAATACATTCGTAATGTTGTGGCAACCGTCACCACCATCCATTTCCTTAACTCATTTAGTCTTGTAAGACCAAAACTCTATATCCTTTAAACAATAACTTCCCATTCCGCCCTCTCTCCAGCCCCTAGCAACCACCATGCTACTTTCTGTCTCTGTGATTTTGACCACTCTAAGTAATCTCATCTAAGTGGAATCATACAGTATTTGTCTTTTTGTGACTGGCTTCTTTCACTGAGCATCAGGTTCTTAAGGTTCATCCATGTTATAGCATATTGCAGAAGTTTCTTCCTTTTTAAGGCTGAATAATATTTCATTGTATGTATAGCTCACACTTTGCTTATTCATTCATCCATCGATGGACAGTTGGGTTGCTCCCACATTTTAGCTATTATAAATAATGCTGTTATTAACATGTGTATGCAAATATCTCTTCAAGATCCTGCTTTCAATTCTTTTGAGTATATACCCAGTGGTGGAATTGCAGGATCATATGGTAATTCTATGTTTAGCCTTTTGAGGAACCACAATGCTGATTTTCATCATGGCTGCACCATTTTATATTCCCACCAACAGCACACAAGCATTCCAATTTCTTCACATCCTTGCTGACATTTATTATTTTTTATAGTAACCATCATAATGGATAGAGATGTTCTTAATTTTTTAAAAAATAAAGATATTTAAGAATTTTTTTAAAAAGTTATTCTCAACTTTAAAAACCATCTGGGGAAAATTAGAGGACCTAATAAGGAGTGTAACCAGAGTCAAGCCCTGCATCCAATTCCATGTAGAGGTGCCCCAGCATAACAGCCTGTTCCCCACCTGTCCCATTAAAAAGGCTGACAGTCAGCAACCCAGGTTCTAGACACAGAGCTCTCAATTCAGTCTCTTTATTGCTTTGGTTTTACACATAGACAATGCACCTAATATTTGCAATGTAAAATTAAAAATCAAGCAGTAACCCCCTCCCCCAAAAAACAGAGCACAGATAATTCAGGATACAGAAGATTACTGAAAACACAAGCAAAACAAAATCTGTAAAACCCAGAATTATATTCTATGAATAAATGAGCCATGAGGGAATAAGAAAGAGCTCTTTGAATTAAAAAATGTGGCTACACAATTGCAGAAATTTAAAGAATGCAATGGAAGGATTGAAAGATAAATTTGGGAGTATCTCTTAGTGTATAAGAAAAAAAGATTTTAAAATATGAAAGAAACTTTAAGAGCAAGGGATCAATACGTGTAGTCCAACATCAGATTAACAAGGATTTTGGAAAGAAATGCAGAGAGGAAGAAACTAGCTAGGAAATAATAAGAGAGAATATACCAGAGTTGAAGAAGGACACAAGTTATTAGATTAAACAGAGATTCCTCTAAGTAAAGGCTCGAAGGATGAAAAAAGACTTCTACCTAGATATGGCATTATGAAATTTCAGAATACTAGGGATAAAGAGATAGTAAACATATGCAGAAAAAAAGAAAAGAAAAAAAAAAGGTTTCTTCCTAAAAGAGAACAGAAGTTAGCTTGGCATCAGACTTATCAGCATCGGTGAATCAGGAACTCAAGGGAGCAAGCTCTAAAGGAAAATTATTTCCAACTTAGAATTCCATATCCAGGATGAAGGTAAAATGGACACTTCAAAGTAGGCAAGGAGTCCAAAGTTTACCTCTCATAATCCCTTTCTTAGGGAGCTACTTGAAATTAGAGCCCAGATAAAATAAGAGTATAAAACAAGAAATAAGTCATGTATTCAGGAGACCAACCAAATTCAACCCCAGAGAGCAGCGAGTAGAGATCTAGATTGGAATAGAAAGACAGAGGGTTCTGGGAATTAACAGCAACAAGAAAAGTATGATTTAAAGTTAGAAAAAGTTGAGGCTTTGATAAAGGCAAGTACTGGAGTATTAAAAATATGTATTTGAACTAAATGTTAGTCACAGTCTCCACTGAAAGGCAGAGTAGTGATAACATTAGACCTACAGAGAATAAACCCTAGTATAGTAATGTGCATATCAGTAAACAACATTTACATGCTTAGAGTAATATAAATAACACTTCCTTTTTTTTTTTTTTTTTTGAGGCGGAGTCTGACTCTGTTGCCCAGGCTGGAGTGCAGTGGCACGATCTCGGCTCACTGCAACCTCCATCACCCGGGTTCAAGTAATTCTGCTGCCTCAGCCTCCCAAGTAGCTGGGACTACAAGCACGCACCACCACGCCCGGCTAATGTTAGTATTTTTAGTAGAGATGAGGTTTCACCATATTGGTCAGGCTGTTCTCGAACTCCTGACCTGAGGTGATCCACCTGCTTCAATCTCCCAAAGTGCTGGGATTACAGGTGTGAGCCACCTCACCTGGCCTAACACTTGCTTATTGCTTATAAAATCCACATACAGAGAAATCCTAGGCAAATCTATGATGGTTACAGAATACAATGAAGCAAGTACCAACCCTGAAGTGGCAGGAAGTGGGGCGAGTCAGAAGGAAGGATGTGAGCAGAAATTGCCTTGCCTTACAGAGTGAAGAATCAGGATACAGTGGACAAAATAAGACATGAAGTGTAAGGATGTTGTTTCAGGCTGCACACGTGTCCCAGAGAAGAAGAAACCAAGCATCGTGATAGAACTCTGTTGAGCCAGGCAAAGTATGAATGGTCTGATCTTCCTCCATCATGGAAAGAAACTTATACTGATTCATCAAGAAGCAGGGATAGAAGCCTGTTTATATTGTTATTTATTTTAGAGACTATAAAAGTGACTAACCAAAAGAACCAAAACAGGGATGGTTGGGAAAAACGTGGTTATCTTTGGGCAGTGAGGCCACCTTGACTGGAAGACTGCCCAAGAGTGAAGGTGACAAAGGAACCAAGATCAGGAGACCAAGAAAAGAGGACAATCCAGATCCAACAATATCGCTAGAGTCCCTTGGTCAAGCTGAATATGGAAATGAGCTTTTCCCTATGTAAGCCAATAAAGTCTGCTTTTGAGTTGGGTTTCTGGAACTTGCCATTAAAAATGCCCAATACATGCCAACTACTCCTCCCCTTTCCCTCCCACCTCCCCTCCAGTTAAGGTCTTTGCCTTCTCATCTTTATAAACTTGCATTGCCAGATGCCTTGTGTATATATTTACATAAGAAGTTCAAAGTTCCTAGGTATGCGAGTTAATAGTGGAATTATTTAATTGATAAGTCCAAGTTTATCTAGCAGTGCTGTAAGGAAGTCCAGGTGCAGTCGCTTATGCCTGTAACCCCAACACCTTGGGAGGCCGAGGCAGGAGGATCGCTTGAGTCCAGAAGCTCAAGACCAGCCTGAGCAATATAGTGGAGACCCCGTCTTTAAAATTTTTTGTTTAATTAGCTGGGCATGATGGCAGATGCCTGCAGTTCCAACTACTCTGAAGGCTGAGACAGGAGGATCACTTGAGGCCAGGAATTGGAGGCTGTAGTAAGCTACGATTTCACCACTGCATTCTAGCCTGGATGATGGAGCAAGACCCTGTTTCTAAACAAGAATAAAAATAAACAGTAATTTTTTTTTTTTTTTTGAGACTGAGTCTCTCTTTGCTGCCTATGCTGGATTGCAGTGCTGCGATCTCAGCTCACTGCAACCTCCACCTCCCAGAGTCAAGCAATTCTCCTGCCTTAGCCTCCTGGGTAGCTGGGATTAGAGACACCCACCACCACTCCTGGCTATTTTTTATTTTTTTATTTTTTATTGTTAGTAGAGATGGGGTTTCACCATGTTGGGCCAGGCTGGTCTCGAACTCCTGACATCAAGTGATCTGCCCGCCTCGGCCTCCCAAACTGCTGGGATTACAGGTGTAAAAGATTTTTAAAAGTAAGGAGGAGGCCGAGGTGGGAGGATGGCTTGAGCCCAGGAGTTCAAGTTAGGCAACATGACAAAATCCTGTCTCTGCAAAAAATATAAAAATTAGTTGGGCATGGTGGCATGTGCCTGTAATCCCAGCTACTTGGAGGTTGAGGTGAGAGAATCACCTGAGCCCAGAAGGCCAAGGCTGCATTGAGCCATGATGAAGCCACTGTACTCCAGCCTGAGCGTCGGAGTGAGACCATGTCTCAAAAAAAAAAAAAAAAAAAAGGAGGCAATGATGATTTGAAGCGACCAGATTGTCTGCCTCAGTTGAGTTTCTGGGTTTGGAGCCTCTCTGGTAGCCACAACAAGAATATTCTTGGATTGAGCCCCAAAGTTCTGCTGGTTGAACAAAATGCATGGCTGTCTTCTTCCATTTTTAGAATCATAGAGTCCTGGAATACCAGAAATGAAAGGGTTTTAGAGATCACCTAGTGTAACACCCCCATTTTTACACATGAGAAACTGGGACCCTGGGAGCTTCCATGGTTTGCTCAGAGGACACTCTGAGGGTGAGTGGCAGAACCAAGACTGGAAGCTGGGTTTCTCCAGGCTCACAGTCCCTGGCTCCTTGTGTTGAGTCTTTGGGGAGGAGGAAGAAAAATGAGAGCAAAATGATAGGGTCAGGACTGCAGAATCAAATGAGAAGCACCAACCGAGATAGGAAGGTTTCTTGAATGACAATGACTGACACCTGGGTCTATGCAGGGGGCCTCCCTGCTCAGGACTTTCTCTGAGTGTGGCCCAGGCTAAGGAATTCTGAGGCCCTTCTGATGCTAAGACCTTGGATCTGGGAGACTAAGACATGTGGACTGGTAAATCCTTCCTGTGTCTTCTAGGTGTGCAGAAGCGCACAAGGACACCTCCCAGCTGGCGTCATTGAGGCCGGCAGCATTTTGACATGTGGGTCAGGGTTCTCTGGGTCATACTGTCATGTTTTGAACTCTTTTCTGTTGGAGAAAATTTTACTATTTTTTCAAACCCAATCAATAGTATGGTATAGTCTTGTTTAAATGTCACATAATCGCACTGAAGAAACATCTAAAGGAGAAAAAAAGAACTACCTTTAGCCTCACAACCTTCACCCTATAACTGACTTCCCTTTTGCTTTTTCTCTTCTGGCCCTTGTCCATGTGCACACATAATTTTGCTTGGTTGTAATGAGAAGACACATACAATTTTGTATTAAAGCAATAAAGTTTTAATGATGTATAGATATACAAAGAAAATAGCTATAAAGCAATATTTATGCAGGTTTGTAGGGGAAAAATCCATTTTAAAGGAGACAGTATGGAATAATAGAACATCTTAGAGTAGTCCATTTGGGATAGTGCTTATAAGACTTTAATAACATTTCTTCTCTTTCCTTTTTATATTGTTCCTTAACCAAGTCATGATGAAATAAATGTTATATATGTTCAGCTTATATTTGTGCCATTTGATTTTTAAAACAATCATGGTGCTTCACAAGAAAAAAAAATATCATAGATCTTGGTGACTTCCACCCCAGTGAGAGGCCAGTTTTCCATAGCATTTGGTTTTATGTAAGCAAAGCCTAATTTTTGTATCCTCTGTCTTGCCATGCAAAATCAGCCAACCTCAAGTAATAAGCAAACAAGCATCGACCTATTATTTACTGTGCATCTAGTGCTGGTCATTATAAGGTTCACAAAATGGTAGACCTTTGCCCACAAGGTCCTTTCAAACTCCTTGAAAAATGGAGGCAAAAGTACATTATTGAACTCTCAGTGAATTGACCTGATGTATTATATATTTAATTGTCTGTTTGTTTTCTGTCTATATTCTCCTTATACTGTAAGAAACATTTGCTATTCCTAATTCTGGAGGCTGGGAAGTCCAAGATCAAGGTGCCCGCAGATCCAGTGTCTGGTGAGGGTTGCTTCCTGGCTTGTAGACAGTTGTCTTCTCTCTGTATCCTCACAGAGCAGAGGCAGTGAGTGAGCTCTGGTTAGATCATCTCTTTATAAGGACACCGGTTCCACCATGGGGGCTCAACCCTGTGACCTCTTCCACACCCAATTACCTCCTAGAGGCCCCATCTTCAAACACCACCGCACTGGGAACTAGGGCCTCAACATGTGAATTTGGGAGGGAACATTCAGTCCAAACCACCCTCCTGCATGCCTGCCCACTGTGGCTCCCACTGTGTGGCTGACTGCCATTTTCTGTTGCACTCATGCTGGGGCTGCATCCTAGCTGCTAGCTTTCTTGCTGTCTCTCCAATTCCAGACTTTAAACGAACTGGTCTTTCTCATTGATGTACCTCCAATAGCATAAGACAGATTGTATTATGTGAGAAGAGGGGTGGTCTTTGTACCTCTTATAACACTTCCACATGGACACACTAATGAGAAGGCTAATGGATACATGAACACTCTGGCTTCCCTAAAATGCAGGCACTGATGGCACCTGTCCCTGTGATTGTGTATTCATCAGGATAATTCATAAAAAGCACAATCTACTTTCCCCAGTTTTAACAGGAAGGGATTTACAACAAGGAATCATATGCCTGGCTCACTGTATCAAAGATAGACTCTACACTGAGTGTATTAGTCCGTTCTCACACTGCTAATAAAACTTACCTGAGACTGGGTAATTTATAAAGGCAAGAGGTTTAATTGACTCAACAGTTCAGCACGGTTGGGGAGGCCTCAAGAAACTTACAATCATGGTGGAAGGTGAAGCAAACACATCCTTCTTCACATGATGTCAGGAAGGAGAAGTGCAGAGTGAAGTGTGTTGGGGGAAGCCCCTTATAAAACCATCAGATCTCATGAGATGTCACTCACTATCATAGGAACAACATGGAGGTAACTGCCCCCATGCTTAAATTACCTCCCACCAGGTCCCTCTCATGACACATGGGGATTATGCGAACAACAATTCAAGACAAGACTTGGGTGGGGACACAGCCAAACCACATCACTAAGCTACCAGAAGCAACTCCCCAAGTCACAGCACAGAACTGTACCACCAAGTTTCCTGCCACAATCAAGAAATTCCTGGTCAAATCAGGAAGCTACCACTACAACCAATGAATCCAAAGCAACACCACATTGCTGCAGTCCAGTCCCCTGCCCTTCTCGGCTCCAAATTCAAGTCTCCCCCTGGTGTAGCTGGTTGATATCATCTACATCACAACCAGAGATGTAGCTGCAAGGGAGTTCGGAAGTGTCATTCTTAGCTTCCCAGACTCTAGAATAATAGGGACTCTAGAGGACCAGAGGTTGAAATAAAGGCTAAGGGATCCCAGCCATGCTATCTTCCACACTGAGAGAGAGGGAGATACGGTTTGGAAATTTCTCCCTTTCAAATCTCATGTCATAATTTGATTTCTGCTATTGGAGGTGGGGCCTAGTGGGAAGTGTTTGGGTCATGGGGGCAGATGCTACATGTACATCTTAGTGTCATCCTCAGAGAAATGAATGAGTTCTCACTCTATTAGATCACATGAGAGCTGGTTGTTTAACAGAGCATGACACCTCCCCCCGCCTCCTGTGCCCTCTCTCGCCATGTGACATGCTGGCTCCCTTTGCCTTCTGCCAAGAGTAAAAGCTTCCCAAGGTCCTCACCAGAGGCCAAGCAGATGCCTGCAGCCTGCAGAACCATGAGTCAAATAAACCATTTTTCTTTATATATACCTCAGTTATTCCTTTATAGTAGTGCGAAACAGACTAACACAGACGGAAATGCACCAAAATTAAGGAGTGGCCTTGTGTGCTCCCTATCTACTCATTTTAGTTACAGCAATTAATCCTCTATAGGTCAACAAACATTTACTGAACCTCTACTATCAGGAACTGCGCTCTGGGCTGAGAACATCAAGATGACTCCCACACTGAGGTTGCCTCTAAGGAGCTTGCAGTCTAGTGGGAAAATCAATTTGATGAACCAGTGGTTACAACACAGAGAAGGGTTTCTAGCAGAGATTTGCACAAAGCGCCAAGGGACCCCAGATGAAGCCATGCACTCTGGATTCCTCTCCTCTGAGAGGATCAACCAGGTGTCTACTGCTTCTTTTGATGTCCCCTGCTTTTCCCCAAGTGTTTTCTCTGAATGAGCTCTGGGGTCAGAGTCAAGGCAATCAGAGTTATAAATCACATGAAAGCTGGCCGAGCTGCCTCAAGTCCTGTTTTGTTGTCATTGTTTTAACAAAGCACTGAAATGACTTTCCTCAAGCCAAAACTCTTTCAGCACGTATTGATACAGCTTTTTTCATACATGCATTTACATGTGTGTTTATGTAGTTCTGCTCGTATCTATGTGCAAGCATCATTTGCGTACATATCCAGCCCATCCTTTGTGTACATCTGTACCCTTGAATGTTTGTGGGGTCACATGTATTTGCATGGAGCTGTGATTCCACATGGGAGTGTCTGTGTGCATGGTATTTCAGCTTGCTTGTTGTTTGTAAAAACACATGAATGTAGATGAAAGTTTGAGGAAGGTCAAATAAAAATAAATAAATTCAGGGAGGCATCAAGGAAGAGAGGCGCAGGCACCACACGTAAGTGGGTCTCACAGTGAATGGTGAAAGTGGCCTTAAGGGCATCTTGTTTTCTTTCTAGAGCTATCTTAGAAATTCTCTTGTATTATTTCCATGTAAAAGGACCCTTGAGTACAAGACTAGTCCCTGAACAGCACCCAACCCCCTGCTCATCTCCTACCTTCTATACTGTGTGTTCCTGGAGAACAGAAACGGATCTTTTTCATCTCTGGAGCCACAGTGCACAATGTCCACCACAAAAGTGGTGTTCAAGAAAGAAACCAGGAGGGAGGCAGAGAGGGAGGGAGAAAACAAGGGAGGGAGGAGGGATTGAGGGAGGAGGGAAGGGGCAGGCTGAGGGGAGGAGGAAATCAGCCCTATTCATCATGGGTGGACAATTAGCCCATGGTAATAGAACTGAGCTAATAAATTGCTGGATAAGATAGATGAGCACTAACCCACTGGAGCAAAGGGTGACCCCCTCTCCGACCCACCCTCATGTCTTCTTGGTCCGAGTAAGCTGCTCCCCTGACCCATCCGTGGACTCTTGGCCCTCGGGATGGGGGAGGCCCTTGAGTTGACCTCCATGAAGTGCATTTATCTACACAGATGCCTGGGCTGCAGTAGTGTGGGCAAAGCTCCAGCTGTGGGCTGAGCCTGGGTCTTTTCTTGAGGTCCTGCTTCTCTGAATGACTTTGGGTAAATCACTTAATCTCTCCGGGCCTCACCTGCAAGCATCCTTATCCCTTAAATGATGTATTGTGTGAGCTCTAAGGTTCTTTCCTGCCCCAGAATCCTGCGATGCCCTGCAGTGCCAGCCAATTCCTGCCTCCCCTGCCATCATGGAGGCTCTGGGTTCTGTTTGTGACAAAGGCCTTGGGAATGTGGCCCTTCCCCTCCAGCCACTGCCTCCTCCCTGGACAGTCACCAGTTCTTGGTAGCCACACAGGCCTAATATTTGAGGAAAACAGTACCACCTCCTGACAAGCAGACAGGATCAAAAACCAAGGTATCCGTACTTAAGCACAGGCAAGCACCAAATCTCAGGCCAGATACAGAGGTCGGCATTGGAGGTTGCTCCAGCAAGTCTATGCCCAATATAATTAAATCCACCCAATCCCAGGCCCAGTCCTTTCTTAGTCAAGCGTGCTCCCGGGGCTGCACAGACACCAGCAAATCCTTCCTAGGTTCCCTTGGCTACTCTGGAAGTCCTCTCCTCAATGCAGCCCCCTTTCTCTTCTCTGTCCTACTTCTCCCAATGGGTTCCCTGTTTCTCCACGTCCTTTTTACTAAGAGAGCATGAGCATGAAGGCCTCTCTTCAGGGAAGGGAAGACACTTCTCGCATTTATCCATTGCACGGACACATTAGCTGCTAGTGATTAAAGAGATCACAGGATCCACTCTCATTTTCAACTTCCCAGGGCACAGGAGAATAGAACAGAGGAGGCTGGCTGCTTCATCTGAGACTGGAAGGGGAGAAGGTGAGTGCAGATGAAGATATTTGCCTTGGGGAGGGAAGAGGGCAGGAAGTCAACTAATATTAATGTTCAAAGCACTTAAGAGCGTTCTGAGAAGGGTCCCCAGGATTAATGCATCCCATCCCTCTCCTAAAGGACTTTCCTGTCTAGTGAGGGAGACTGGCACATGAGATATAAATGGTAATTTGCATAAAGCATCCTGGAAAAAACTGCCTAATGCAGCCTACTGAGGGAGTTCCAATAACGGAGTCATTGATTCTGTCTGGAGAAGAATCAAGATAGGCATCCAAGAGGAAGTAGAACTTGAAGACTTTCAGAGGTTTCTGTCTTGTTGACTAGCAATAATAATAATATGCTACACCTTTGCTGCACCTTGTGGTTTACAAAGCAGCCTTGTGGCCTTTGTTCCATTTGATTCCATTTGTTTACGGGTATCCATGCACTTCCACAGCCATTGAGCCTGCTACGCAGCAGGCACAGCTATGGCTCCTAAGATGAAAAAGCGTAGTGTTGGCTCTCCAAGGTTTCAGAAGGGAAGCAAACAAACAATAAGAACGAGGCTAAGTATGAGTTCTGAAGGGATGCATCAAGTTATTGTGGTGACAAAAGGGAGTGTGGAGCTTAACCCAGGGTTGAGCGTGGAGAGAAAGTTTGGAGATGGAATTAAGATTAGAACGCTTTAGTGGATGCTAGGAATGAGCAGGATGTATAGGGTAACCAGAGGGTCAAGATGGAAGAGAACATTCTGAAACAGCACAAGCAAAGGCAGTGACTGAGCATAGTTAGATGAGTATAGGGAGGAGATGGGGACAGAAGAGCTAAAGATACAAGCAGGGGGGGCACAGTGGCTCACACCTGTAATGCCAACACTTTGGGAGACTGAGGCAGCCAAATTGCTGAGCCCAGGAGTTTGAGACCGGCCTGGGCGACATATCAAAACTCCGTCTCTACAAAAAATACAAAAAATTAGCCAGGCATGGTAGCTCACACCTATAGTCCCAGCTATTTGGGAGGCTGAAGTAGGAGAATCACCTAAGACCAGTTGAGGCTACTGTGAGCCAAGATCATGCCATTGCACTCCAGCATGAGTGACAGAGTGAGACCCTGTCTCAAAAAAATAAATGAAAATAAAAATAAAAAAGATACAAGCAGATGCAAGATCACCCCCCAGGGCAATCCTGGAGCACAAAGGGCAGTAGAGACAACATCAGAATTACTTGAAGAGCTTTTTTAAAATATACACATCCTGGCCAGGCATGGTGGCACACACCTGTAATCCCAGCACTTCGGGGGCTGAGGTGGGAGGATCCCTTCAGGCCCAGAGTTCGAGAACATCCTGGGCAACATAGCAAGATGCTGTCTCTACAAAAAATTTAAAAATTTCCCAGACATTGGCAGGGCATGGTGGCTCATGCCTATAATCCCAGCACTTCGGGAGGCTGAGGTGGGTGGATCATGAGGTCAAAAGATTGAGACCTTCCTGGCTAACACGGTGAAACCCAGTCTCTACTAAAAATACAAAAAATTAGCTGGGTGTGGTGGCAGGCACCTGTAGTCCCAGCTACTCGGGAGGCTGAGGCAGGAGAATCACTTGAACCCGGGAGGCAGAGGTTGTAGTGAGCCAAGATCGTTCCACTGCACTCCAGCCTGGGTGACACAGTGAGACTCTGTCTCAAAACCAAACCAAACAAAAAAATTTCCCAGTCATGGTGGTGTGTGCCTGCAGTCCCAGCTACTTGGGGCGCTGAGATGGGAGGACTGCTTGAGCCTAGGAGTTCGAGGTTGCAGTGAGCTATGATTATACCATTGCACTCTAGTCCAGACCACAGAACCAGAACCCAAGAACCTGTCTCTGAAAAAAGAAAAAAACAAAACAAAACCACACATCCCACATCCCCATCTCCCCTTCCCCAGATCCTAGGATTCCTTGGAAGGAGGTACCTGCAGTGGTCTCACAAACTCCTTTTGAAAATAAGAAATAAAACTGAGCAGTATTCTCCATGCAATTCTGATTTCTAAGCCATCCCCTTCATCCCCTGGGTTAAGATGACTGCTGAAATGCATTTCAGCGTCTCCCTATCACTCCCTAAATCAAGAAGAGGATTCTCTTCCTGTCTCCTGGCCTTCTGGTTAGAATTAACTATGCTGGGCCCAGTGCTACCCACCTGTAGCCTGAAATTTTGGGATTCATGCTCTGTTTTACATCTCCTCTACAGCAGCACCATTAACCAGGCCTCTGTTGAATGACTTCTGTTGACTCTGTGTATTAGTCTGTTTTTACATTGCTGATAAAGACATACCCATACAAGAAAATTTACAAAAGACACAGGTTTAATGGACTCACCGTTCCATGTGGCTGGGGAGGCCTCACAATCATGGTGGAAGGTGAAATGCACTACTTACATGGTGGCAGACAAGAGAACAGAACTTGTGCAGGGAAACTCCCCTTTACAAAACCATCAGATCTCGTAAGACTTATTCACTATCATGAGACTAGCATGGGAAAGACCCGCCCCCATGATTCAATTACCTCCCACTGGGTCCGTCCCACAACACATGGGAATTGTGGGAGCTACAGTTCAAGATGACATTTGGATGGGAACACAGCCAAACCGTGTCACTCTGCTAGACCCTCTGGCTCTGACCCCTGGCCTGTCTAGATTTCTGATAGCTCCCAAGCCCTGTCTACACCTGTCTATCAGTCTGTGCATTGACTCAACAGCTTGGGTTAGGGTCAGCTTAGTCTCATCCCTGGTCCTAGTCAGCCCTATCAATTGCATCACCTGTCCCAAGATGGCAGATTGAAGCTTCCCAGGTTTCACAGGGACTGCAGGATGACTGGCAAGTCTTTTCAGTGGAAGAGGGAGGGACTTCTTTCCAAACACGAGAATGAGAATATACAAAGGAATAAAAAACATAACATAACAAGTCTTAAAAGAATTTGGGACTTGAGAAACTGCAAAAAAACACAGTGTGGCTGCAGCATGTGGCACGAAGCAAGGGGCAGGGAGGATGACGCTGGGAAGCCAGCACAGAATGAGCCCTGGAAGGGCCTTATTTACAGAAGATCTGCCCGTGGGATATAAAACACTTCCATATGTGATCATTTGGGGGTTGTCAGTCAGCTTTCTAATCTCTGAATTATTGGGCTTCTGTTTTCTTAGAAAGTTTCTCAATGGTAAAGTTGTCATTTAAAATTAAGTTGGGTCCCAATAAATAATATAGTGAGTATCTAGTGACACTAAGGATAGTAGAGAGAGGTTGAACTTGAGATTTATGAAAGAAGCAAAATCAGGAGGCTGTTGTGAATCATTGAGGGGATATATTAGCCAAGGATACTTTTGATTACCAGAACATTCAACACAAACTGGCATAAGCGAAAAGGAAACTGGTTTGCTCATGTAATGGGAAAAGTGCAGCAGTAAAGTGGGCTTCAGATGTGCTTCACTGAGAGGGACCCTGGGCCCCGACTCTTTCTCTGTGATCCACTGGGCTCTGCCTCCCTCGGTGATGGGCTGTGTCCTCCTGCTGGGTTTCTTCATGGTAGTCAAAAGGCTGAACTTGTTTCAACCTCATAGTTGTGCACCACCTTCTTCAAAGCAAAAAAGAGGTTTTCCTTTCTTCAGCTATCACACAAAAGCCATTCATTTACTCTATTTGGACCAGTCAGAACCAATCTCAGGGCCAGGGGAGGGCCACACAATGAATGATGTGGACCAACCTCTAAGCCAATTTCTATGGCAAGAGAGATGAAAACATTAAAGGATTTGTTCAAGGGCCTTGGACTAATCAGGGCCCACCATGTGGGCTAGGGGTAGAGTAAACTCTGCTGCAACTGCATAGCAAATACCCAGGGAGGCAGGTGGGAGAGGAGTAATTCCACAAATTAAAATCTGGGCACTGTGAGCAAGAGGAGAGAGAAGGAATGGATATTGGGTAAGAAGCCAACCCTTGTCCATGCTAGAGGGTGAGGAAGGAAAGACTAGGGACTCTCTGGCTCTGAGACTGTGGATGTTAAACAACCTTAACAAAGCCTGGAGATACAGAAGAATTAAGTTTGGGGGCAGGCAGAGAGTTGAGGGAGAATAATAAATTTGTTATTGAATTTTAAGTGACTAAAGGACACAGGTATAAGTGGAGATGTTTGATGATCAATTCTGGATGTTTCCAGGAACCTCACACCAGGGAAACCACCACTAAATGATCCCACTGTTTATCCCAACACTGTGCCGAGTCTCTTTAGAGTTTTGAAAAACTCCACAGTTATTGATTAGCCGTTAGTGATTCCCTCCGTCCCGGCATAATTATTTCCTCTTCTTTCGTGCAACAACCTCCAAATAACTGGAAATGGGGCTGAGCAGGTGCAGATTGGAAGACAAAACACCCCTCTTAATGTGAAAAATTAATTTGTGGCTCTAATTGCTTCAAACTCCAAAGGAAAAAAGAAAATCTCCATTCTCCCAGCATTCAAAATAGAACACAGGCTTTATTTGAATAAAGAAAATAATCTGTCAAGGGAAAAATAAGGACTTATGCTGCTCAGATGTCAATCTTAACAACATTGTAAAGGAAAAGCAGGTTTAATTACAGTCAAATCTACATAGAATCACTTTTGAATGGTGTGCACAGGAGCCTAAAGGTCTAAGATTTAGACGTGACAAGATACTTCAACAAAGGCTGGTGGAAACAGCCAAGTGTCGCGGGGTGGGGTGGGGGAGGCTTGACTCTGGACTGGAGTTGTGCCATACGGAATAGAGGGGGCCAAAGAAAAATATTCTCAAGTTGCCTTTTGAATCTATTAAATCATCACAGAAAATTAAATCTAGACTCTCTTCCCCAAAGTATTTTATTTTCTAGAACACAGCCTTAATGGTTGTCCTGTATCCTTGTGAAGAACACACAAAGAAATGGCCTGGAATTTTCCAGTTTACCAATGTTAAAACAGAGGCTAAGAGAAAGGGCCCATCCGAAGCGATCCAGAAAGCCAGTGGTGACTCTGAACGTGAGGAGCTAGAGCGATACCGCATCTCAGAAGCCAGGCCTCAGAGCCATCAACCAAAAACAGAAGGCAGTTAGTGTCGCTCCACAGAACATAAGCCTACCCTTACCCATCTTTCCTAAGCCTTCCCCTCCCATTCCCCCAAAAAAAGAATTTGCAGAGAAAAGTAACCCATGTCCTCCTAGCGAAGCAATTTCTCTGCACCAGGGTCTGTAAACATTGGAGGGAGGATCTAGACAATTCAAAAGAATATATGCTTTACTAAGCTTGAAGGGACGTACCTCACAGGGCACCTGCGGGTCTGCAGCCAGATGGGTGCCCTCTGGCCCTGTGCCCAGGCCACTCTGCCCAGGCAGTGCAAATGGCCTCTCTTCAGTTCCCATCACTAGTCTAATCATGACTATCCTAGCTCCCTAAGGGGAAAAAAAAGTTTCTTTTTTTCCTTTCTCTCTCTCTCTCTCTCTTTTTTTTTTTTTTTAAGACAGAATCTCGCTCTGTTGCCCAGGCTGGAGTGCAGTGGTGCAATCTCGGCTCACTACTGCAACCTCTGCCTCCCAGGTTCAAGCGATTCTCCTGCCTCTGCCTCCTGAATAGCTGAGATTACAGGTGCCCACCACCACACCTGGCTAATTTTTGTATTTTTAGTAGAGATGGGGTTTCACCATCTTGGCCGGGCTGCTCTCGAACTCCTGACCTCACGATCCACCCGCCTCGGCCTCCTAAAGTGCTGGGATTACAGGTGTGAGCTACTGCACCTGGCCAAAAAAACACGTTTCTATGCCTTCTCTGTTCTTGTTTTCTTTCCCTTCTCTTTCTATTCATAGAAAAGCCACTGGAGGAACTCAGTTCTTGGTACTGTGTATGTCTCCCCACTCCTGTGTTACATCTCCTGAGATCTTTAGGAGCATCAAGAAAACACTGGAAAATCCAAAAAGGATAATAGAACCTATAAATATATCAAGGCAGTAAACTGGGTCTATTATCAACTCCGAAAACAAGGGCTGAGTCACACGTAGCATACGCAGACAGGAGTACTTCATGCTAGGAATGTCTTCCCTTAGGACAATGTTCAGGGACCAGAATGGGGCCTGCAGAAGTCAGAACATTCCAGCTGCTTCACAGATCATTCTCCAGGAACCCCTGAAGAGGTTCCCTAACTGAGGCTAGTATGAAGACAACAGAAACACTGGTTGCCAATCAATGACTGTGCACCATAGAATGACAGTTACACACGCTTCGTTATGCAATTAACATGAATATAATCCTACAAACAACAATAAGAAGTATGTACAGGCTTCTGATATTAACTTCCAGTCTCCCAGCATTAAGTCAGACATGACAAGGAGTTGCTTTTGTCTCATCCCGTAGGGACTCGTTTTCTTCCCACATTATCCAGTCTCTGTGATCTCTGTGTCCCAGGCTGCTCTTGTTCCCTGCCAGTCTGTGCCAGAATGGTTACTTCCTGATATCAGTGTCATTATTATTAATTGCAGAAAATACCTGCCTCTTGGCCTTGGATTTTAGAAACAGGCTGCATCTGCTGTGGTTACAGAAGAGTGCGTACTTTCCTTTCAGTGCTCTCCGCTGAATGCCCAGTTGTCAATAATTTACCATTTCAGGGCTGGCTTTTTCTTCTACATGATTGTGGCTTTGTGTCTCTCTCTGAGTACCTCTGCCTGTGAGCTCTGTGTTCCCCAAACTTCCTAAAAGAAGACTGGGGACGTTATCAGCTTGCTCCTTTTGACAGGAATAGCAATTTGCAAATCCAAATGGAAATTGTTTCTCTTCCCCAACACAGCGAAAACTCCCTCTGTTGTGTTAGAACACATTTGGTAAATGTGCCCCTGACCACAGTCAGTTCTTCTTGCAGCCTGACTCTGGTATAGCAGTGTAATTGTATGAAAGACTCAATTAAAACCATGCAAGTTTCAAGGATACATGATCCTAGATAATCAATCCTATTTTTGCCATAACATACCTTTTACTTTCTAGGAATTGGCAGAGGGTTGGTTACTGTAGGCAGAATCTGTAATTAGTAATCAAATATATTTAAATGACAGAATCTATTCCAGTAGAATGTTTTACCCCAACTTGCTTTAGATCTAGATATAATATCTAGATATGAGGAACCTGATTACAATCCTGTATGGGGTGTTTGGACCCTGGATCTATAAAACAGCACTTCTATCAAACTATATGTGACAGTCCCATATGTAAACTTAAAACAGTTGTTTCTATGAATCAGTAATTAGTATTTGTTCTCAGCTAAAACATTTTGAGGCCAGGTGTGGTGGCTCACGCCTGTAATCCCAGCACTTTGGGAGGCCAAGGCAGGCAGATCACGAGGTCAGGAGTTCGAGACCAGCCTGACCAACATGGTGAAACCCCCGTCTCTACTAAAAATACAAAAATTAGCTGGGCTTGGTGGCGTATGCCTGTAATCCCAGCTACTTAGGAGGCTGAGGCAGGAGAATCACTTGAACCTGGGAGGTGGAGGTTGCAGTGAGCCGAGATCCTGCCACTGCACTCCAGCCTGGGTGACAGAGCAAGACTCTGTCTCAAAAAAAAAAAAAAAAAAAAAAAAAAAATTGAAATGTATTTCCAGGTGGAAACAACCTAAATGTTCATATCATTGGACAATTTTTGCATGAATGGATAAACAGAATGTGGTAGGTACATACTGTGGAACATTATTCAACCTTAAAAAGGAAGGAAATTCTGAGCCATGCTATAACATGGGGAAACCTTAAGGACATTAAGTGAAATAAGCCAGTCACAAAATGACAAATACCATATGAGATACTTAGAGTAGTCAAATTTATACATAGAAAAAGTAGGCCAGGCACAGTGGCTGAATGCCTGTAATCCCAGCACTTTGGGAGGCTGAGGTGGACAGATTGCTTGAGGTCAGGAGTTCAAGGCCAGCCTGGGCAACATGGTAAAACCCCATCTTCACAAAAACACACAAAAATTAGCCAGGCATGGTGGCACATCCCTGTGGTCCCAGTTACTGAGGCTGAGGTGGGAGGATTGCTTGAGCCTGAGAGGCAGAGGTTGCAATGAGCTGACATTCTGCCACTACACTCCAGCCTGGGGGCCAGAGCGAGACCCCGTCTCAAAAAAAAATTAAAAAAGAAAGAAAGTAGAATGGTGGTTGCCAAGGGCCGGGCACGGTGGCTCACACCTGTAATTCCAGCACTTCGGGAGGCCAAAGGAGGGGGGGGGGGGTGGATCGCCTGAGGTCAGGAGTTCAAGACCAGCCTGGCCAACATAGTGAAACCCGGTCTCTACTAAGAAATTACAAAAATTAGCCAGGTGTGGTGGCGAGCACCTGTAATCCCCACTATTCAGGAGGCTGAGGCAGGAGAATCTCTTGAGTCTGGGAGGCAGAGATTGCAGTGAAGCAAGACCATGCCACTAAACTTCAGCCTGGGTGACAGAGCAAGACTCCATCTCAAAAAAAAAAAAAAAAAAAAAGAATGGTGGTTGCCAGGGGTTGAAAGGAAGGAAAGAAAATGAGTTATTGTTAAGAAATACCAAGTTTCAGTCTGGGTAGATGCAAAAAGTTCTAGAGACACTGGGGGGTGATGATTGCACAACCACATGAATGTACCTAGTGCCACTGAACTGTACACTTAGAAATGGTTAAAATGGTGGATTTTATGTTATATGTATTTACCACAAGTTTTTAAATGTGATATAAAAAAGTTCATTTCCAAGTGAGGATTTTTAATATTTCCTAAAATATCTGACTCTGTGGTTAAAATGGCTTCCAAATGACACAGATTAGTTCTCCTGTGATCTTAACAATATATACAGAATACCCATAATCTCACACACATGAGAATATGGTGACATCCAGCTGCAAAGATTTCAAAGTTCAGAGCAACAAACCACTAGGGCTTTTTCTTGGTTTTCTGGACAATGCACCTAAAAGGCTTTTCTGTTCTTCAAAATCCTAAAATGTATGTCTTGTAGTTCTACTCACAGGGGAAGTAGATAGGCTAAGAAGGCAAATGCACGGCAAATCATTCTCCATGACAAATCACAATGAACACTCTGCTTTGCTTTGCTGCTGCAGCCAATGACCCCGGAAGCAGTGTTGTTCACCATTGCACCTCCCAGGGCTCCTCCACCTGGTTCCTCCCTCACCCTGTCTGTGGCTCTCCTGCCTAGACATGTCCTGTCCACTGAACTGAATTGGAGGAAGGAAATGTTTGTCATTAGGAACCAATTACTCAAAGATACAAAGTATATATGTACATACATTTTCCTTTTTTTTTTTCATTTTTCTAACTTTTATTTTAAGTTCAGGGGTACATGTGCAGGTTTGTTACATAGGTAATAAATTTGTATCATGGGGGTTCATTGTGCAGATGATTTTGTCACCCAGGTATTAAGGCCAGTACCCATTAGTTATTTTTCCTGATCTTCTCCCTCCTCCCACCCTCCTCCCTCCTATAGGCTCCAGTGTGTGTCATTTCTATTTTCATTTTCAAAGAGAGATCTCTCTGAAGGCCTCACATTACCTGTTCCAGATAACTTTTGACAACAACAGCTTCAAATAAGGTAAATATTCATCACCACATACAAGCTGAAACGAAAATAAGTCATCAATGGAATCCTAATGAAAATAAGTCCTTAAAACAATCCTTCTTTTCTTTTTTCGGGAACTCTGTGGATGGCTATGCATTTGATTCCTTTTCTCATGTCTGACTCTGTTTCTGGGGGTGTCATGTGGCAAAAAATAAAATAAAACTAAAAATAAAAAAAATTTTAAAAAGGAGGAGGATGGGCTTTTAAGCCAGAGAGAGAGAAATCCCATTCCTGGCCCTCCTGTGTGCCAACTGAGCAGCTCTGGCTCTCTGGAGGCCCCAAGCTGTCTATCTGAAGATGGTAACACAGGCATCCATGCTGCAAGATTGTAGCAAGGATTAGAAATTATGTATGAACAGCATTTGAAGCAGTGTGCAATAATTTATGTCAATGATCGTGATGTCTGCATCTCAAAGACAGTGGCGTATGTCACACACCAATACCTTTACACTGCTCAGTGCAACCACACCTCCCTCACCATTCCCCAGGAAAAGGTGCTCTGCTCAGAGTCTCGGGAGACAGCACACCCAAGGTGGCTCAGATTCTTTCTCCTTAAACTATTGCCTGTTTTATCAGTGTGGAAAACTGGGCAAATAGTACAATCACAGTAAGAGTCTCCCCATCCGTAAATGTTGCATCAGGCCAGGTACAGTGGCTCATACCTGTAATCCCAACACTTTGGGAGGCTGAGGCAAGTGGATTGCTTGAGCTCAGGAGTTCAAGACCAGCCTGGGCAATGTGGCAAAACTCTGCCTCTACTAAAACTACAAAAAATTAGCCGGGTGTGGTGGTGCATACCTGTAGCCCCTGCTATTCAGGAGGCTGAGGTGGGAGAATAGCTTGAGCCCGGAAGGCTGAGATTGCAGTGAACTGAGGTTGCAGCAGTGCACTCCAGTCTTGCGACAGAGACCCTGTCTCTAAATAAATAAATAAATGCTGCATCAGGCCTCAATGCTTGAGACCTAAATCTGACTTATATCTGTTTTGGCCAAATTCCATGCTGATCCTCTAGAGACAGCACCCAAGCCACAGGACTGCTTAGTATTTTCTCCGCACCGCCATGGTTCCTCACTGCTGTGGTTCTCTTTCTTCTTCCCATTTCCCACTATTGTTCTGTTTCCTTTCATATAGACTATATTCCAGAAATATGAACATTAAAGCTTAAGAACAGAGTTCAGCCTGTAATATCAGCACTTTGGGAGGCCCAGTTGGGTGGATCACTTGAGGCTAGGAGTTTTAGGCGAGCCTGGACAACATGGAGAAACCTCGTCTCTACTAAAAATACAAAAATTACCTGGGCATGGTGGTGCAAGCCTGTAATCCCAGCTATTCAGGAGGCTGAGGCAGGAGAATTGCTTAAACTCAGGAGGCAGAGATTACGGTGAGCTGAGATCGCACCATTGCACTCCAGCCTGGGCAACAGAATGAGACTCCATCTAAAAAAAAAAAAAAAAGAACAGAGTTCAGTTCTTACTTAATACAAGTCATTCTTCATCAAAGGAAATGCTTTGCTTATGCATATTCAGAGAAGAATAACAAATATGGTCTGTCGTGTCTTCCAGAACTTGGTATCTTCTTCCTTTACCATTGGTGCTACCACCAAGGGACAGGAATGCATGCTAATCACAGATACTTAGTCAACTCATCTTTCTGCCTCGCCTTGCCCTATCTCAGGGAGCCTTCTCCCAGTGTCCCTGCAAGTGACCTTATCCCCTCAACCACAGCTGGTTGGATCAGGGATGACTACCTGATCCAAGCTGGGCCAATCAGATTCTTTTTTAAGAAGTGATTATTGAAATACAGGAGTTCTAGCTGGCCTCCTGGGAGTACTTAAGCTGGAAACTTATCAAGACTGGGAAGACTATATCGGGTCCACATGGAAGTAGAACTGAGAAATGGGGTCTGCAGAAAGCAAAAATGAAGCAGATAGCCAGAGAGAAGCAGATGAGAATATGCACAGGTCAGAGAGAGAGGGAGAGAGAGAATGGAGAGAAAGTCTTCCTGTCTGAGGGCTTTCTAATTGCTGGTTCCAGCCATTCATAAGACCCAGAAATGTATCCTTGGGTTCTTTGACAGACACACGTATCCTTCTGATGGCTTTCTCTTTTTGCTTAAATTAACTTGAATGGAGTTGAATGTTCCTTGAAAGCAAAGAGTCCCTGTAACAATGCTTCTTATCTTAGCTACTCACCCAATTGGGTGATGCCATCACCATTGCCACCAGCAATCACAATGGAACCCATTCCTCTTGAGGGCAGGGAGTTGGGAGCCAGCACCCCTTAGACAGCTGAGCCAAATGCCAAAAGCGCATCATACTAGCTTGTAGTAGCATTTGTTAGCCAAATGGTGTGCTGGCAAATGTCTAACAACCAACTCACCTGGAGAAAAAAAAAAAACCCAGTTTGAAAGATTTGCCAATTTCCGTGGTGTAAATAGCCCCACCATTGCCACTTCTCATGTTATATTGCTGAACACAGACTTTGGAAAAGATACTCACAGTGGACTCTTGGGGGTCAGGACAAGTGGCTATCTAGCCTACATTTTCTGATTTAGAAATACTTCCTGGCTCCCTTTTATGACTTGGTTCTTGTCATCTCACTCTTGGGTTAATGGTTTAGAGTGTTATTAGCTCTATGTCTTTTATTCTGAACCAATTTAAATCTCTTTTGGAGAAGGCATAGGAAAATCATTTTTAAAATACAGCCTCATTCTTCTCTGAGAACCATAGTTTTATGCCCTCTCAAACACTAAGAGAATAATAATAATACCTAACACTCATATAGCAATTCACAGTGTCTAAATTATCTCAATGGCATGCTATGGTGGCTAGAACATAACTTTGCCATCACACTGACCTACTTTGAATCCCTGCATAAAGGATGCATTTGGTAAATGTTAGATTTCCTTTCACACATAATAACTCATTTGCTCCAAGTATTCATCCAGCCTCAGTGTTGATCTTGTGCATGACAGCCAAAATCAGAAAAGACTCCTAAACAAAGGCTACAACTTTCTCAAGGGATCAGTTGTCCCTTTTAGAAAGGCAGAGCTGGCTCTTTAGCTGAGGCTGGAGGCAGAACACACCTGAGTCCAATTTTAAGAAACCTCACACACTCCCTTTCAGAGACCAGAAGGAAAGCTGGACCCCAATGCTGCACTTCTTCTGTTCTACTTTGAGCTGAGTTTTTGTCCTCTGGTTCTGCTTGCAAGAGACAAATGAGACAAGACTTCATGGGAATCATCTCCCTCTGTAGACTGCCAAAGATGCACATCACCCTAGCAACCGCAGAGGGAGAAATGCCCTTTGCTGGTGTGCAGTGGGGGTGTCTCAGTGGTTCTCCTGTTAGGTTTCAGCTTCAGCTCAAACCATTTCCAGTTTTACCTTTCCAGTGATTTGATAACAAACACTGGAGCATGAACCAACTTGACCCATCATTCCTTCAACTCCCCTCACTCTTGACTATCCGCTACCCCTGGTTTGGAAGAAACCTAAATGTCCCAGGCCCCATTAGTCTCTGGGTCTTTGAGAACCAAGGAGGTAACTTTCCCATGAGCAAATGGCTCCCCAAACCCTGCCTGGAGAGCTTTCAAGTCAAGACAAAGACTTTATCTCATAGCTTCTTCAGTAGGGTCTTGTGTTTTGGACAACAGTTTTGAAAATCCTTAGCAACACATTTCTTTAAGTGGAATCTCATATCAAAGTCCTAAAAGAGATTAAAAAAAAAAGTAGATCTGTTTCTTTATGGCCTTTTAAGTCTTTTTTTCAGATCTCAAAAAAATTAGAAGTTGAATTAGAAATTGAAACTGGTTGAATTGCAGTGAGGGCCCCAAGAGACTCCTGCAGGCCTGAGCCCTGGACCCTCGCTTATTGAAAAGGCCTTAACACATGGCAGGGAAACCCTAGGGCTCCTAGGGCTCAGTTTGAAAACCACTGCACTAGGAAGCTCTTTCTCTGCCTGTGTGCGGGATCAGGAGCATCCAAAGTGAGTTGACAGCTGGGGGCAAGGAAACCGGTTAGTAGTTTGCTACAGTTGATCAAATGAATGTTAAAAAGACCTGAACTACCTACAGGTCTTTTTAGGGGGAGACATTCCAGGGACAGAGTAATTAGGACTGGGCAACTAACTGGATGTGAGAGTCACAAGAGAGGACAAAGATGCCTCTGATTTTTCAAGCTTGTGTGACTGAGAAAATTATGGTAGAAATTCAGTAGAAATGGCACTCAGGAAGAGAAGGAAATAATCCATTTGGTTTGGGGCATGCCATGTATTTTGTCTGGACTAGTTTAGCTTCTCTCTTTGAAACATCCTGGGAGCACTTCTATCCTAGATTGAGAAGGTGACCTGTCCACAAGTTCCCGTAGGAAACCAGGAGGGAGCAATGGCCCCATCATGCCTCCTGGGCAAACATGCATAAGACACAAAGCACAAAAATATGTGCCAGTTGCAAGGGAATAGGACTCCAGGCTGTGAAGTCTATTTACCCCAAAGTCATGGACAAATGGTCAAGATCAAGCTTCTAAACAAAAATGTGTTCTCTCTCCAGGCTCAGCCCTTCTGAGGACATGAGCTGGCAGCATTGCTCTCAGCCAGAATGCTGTCAGATCAGATAGTTGACAAATGTTTGCTCAGAGCCTGCTATGTTGGGGTTAGCCTAGAGAGGTGAGATTACTGGCTGTCCTCAGGATTCAAGCAGCCTAAGCACACAGATGGGGTCACCCAGACCACTGTTTATTCTCCAGAGTGAGTTCATTTGTTTATCTCAGAGTGATCCACAAATAGTGACTTCATGCAGTTATGACCAGGGCTTCTCTGTGCTCCATGACCCAGGCTGGATGCACTTGGCTGTCACAGTTAGAAAGCTGTCACAGGAAGATCTTCTAGTGCCAATCTCCTTTCTCCCTCTGTTTGCCACTGGATCACCAGAGAAGGCAGATGGTGCCCTGCAAACACATCCAGAAACCAGGCAAATGTGACTCACGTTGATAATGGAAATCCAGCAGTGGGCACACCATTGCATGGGACTAACCGCTGCAATGAGATCCCGCAGGGAGGTGGGAGAGGCAAACTTCAGGTCAACTCAAAGAAGAACGACCTTGATGGTTGAGAGCACAGCCTGCAGAGTCAGTCTGCCTGGGCTTGAGTCCTTCCTCCCTCCACCAGTTACCGGCTGTGAAACCTCTCTGTGCCTTAGTTTCTACGTCTTTTAGAAGGGAATAATGATTAATACCTCCTAAGCTGGATATAAGCATAAAGAGAGATAAGCCACATAGAGATTTCAGCACAGCAGTGTCCACATACCCAATACGTGGTGATCATTCTTAAGTCCCATTCCACAAAGGAGTGGGATGCACCAGGGGTAGGAGGTGCCCTACCATGTGGTTTTCCACCCAGCATTTGGACACCTTTGTCAATAAATAATGCAGAGAGATTTCAGTGTGGGTGGGGAGCTGACTCTCTTTTGCTTACTCTGAAGTCACTTTCACAGCTGAGACTGAAATATGGAGTCCAGACATAGCCTTTCTTCGTGAGCGCCTGCATCACCCCATGTTCATGCTGCCAGCATTCACAGGACACCTACTCCGCCCAAAGCATCATGCACTGTGTCAACAGTCGAGGAATTTTAACCCCAAAGACAAGGCAAGCTTGTGTACAGCCAGTCACCGTAGCCATGGCTCTAAAGACCCCAGGAGAAGGACGCAGACCGGGCTACGTGCACTAATCAAACGAGGACTTGTTTTCTATTTCTGCCTTTGGGATTATCTAAGGGATTGGCAGGTCTGTAAATCGCTCCAAGCTGCTTGACCACGCAGACACCAGACCTGCTACCGAAAACACCCTGCCAAGCATGACGCTGTTTATCAAAACAAGGTCTTCAAAAATCTTTTCTCTCAATTTCCACTCTATTTCCTAATCAAGAAATAGATAATCCCAGGAGAAAATCAGCTTGCATTTCTCTTCTTCTCTCTGTCTGTCTCTCAGCCTCTCTGTCTCACTCTGCCTCCTTCTCTCCCTCCTTTCTTTCCCTCTCTCCCCACCCCCTCTAGCTTTTATCATTTTAAGCTGTATGCATGCCATTCTTCAGGGGATTAAAGTCAAATTTAGTCTTCTGCGATTGTTATTACCTACCCCTCGGCTTATGAGATGCATTTGCCTGCATTTGTAATGCATCAATAACTTCCACTCTCCTCCACTTGTAAACAATGCATTATATTAAATAGCCTGTGTGTAGCCTTGTATTGAAACAGACGATAAATTAGGACTTCCAGTTCTTGGTTTTTACTGATTCCTAAACCTGCCAGTTACGTGCCTGTCCGCCCCACTGAACATTCTCTCTAAAGCTGAGAATGCACAAAGCCCTTGTTCACCGTTCCTCCTGTCTCCATCACTGCTGCCGGCTGTCAGTTTCACACCACCAAGCAGATTGTAATTGGCAGGATGAGGTGCCGAAATAGGGAATGGTTTGAATACGTGGTTCTCACCATACACACATGCACACACTCACAAAATCCAAAATTTCTCTCTCTCTCTCTCTCTCACACACACACACACACACACACACAGACGCACATCTTTCTGACTTACAATGTTCTGCAAATTTAGCAACTTGATTTGTGAAGCTTCTAATCAGAATCCACAAGGGCTGCCCTCGTTTTCTAGCCCATGGATTGGAAGCAAGCAGAGAAAGGAAACACAATGCAATCAACACCCAGTCCCATTCTAACACAGCCAGGCCTTCCCGGTCCTGGATGGATGTTGCTTTGGGAATGTGCCCTGCTGGGAGCCAGCCCTTATGTTTTGTCAGGAAGCTTCTCTGGGATCTGAAATCTGCAAACTTCTCAAGAACCGTAATCACCCTGTCCAGCCTTGAGTGAGGTCCCAGAGCAAAGAGCAAAAACTCTGGAAAGAGGAATCTAGCTCAAAGAATCTTGCGTCATTTATATAGATCTTTCCCCTCAGAGCAATGAAAACTCAGCATCAATCTTTCCAGTCGGTGTATTCCAACATCTACCAATCTTTTGCAAACTCAAATCTAGATGAATTGGATCATTTAAAGCAGCGTTTCTCAACCTGGGCACTATTGATGTTTTAATCCAGATCATTTAATTCTTCATCACAGGGAGGCTGCCCTGTGCATGGTAGGATGTTTAGCAGCATCTCTGGCCTCTATTTACTTAGATACCAGTAGTACCTCCTCCCAAGCGTGACAATCAAAAATGTCTCCAGATATTGCCAAATGGTCCTCGCAGGGCAAAATCGCCTTGGTCGAGAACCACAGTGACAGTTATATTTGGTCTTGATGTCTGCCCATCGTTACAGGATTTCACATCTAATAAAGCCCAGAGGGTTCCTCTAGTCGTGTGGTTCTCAGAATGTAGTCCCCAGACCAGCAGCATCAGCATCACCTAGGAACTTTTTGGAAATGCATTGAGCCCCACCCCAGATACATGTAGTCAGAAATTCCAGGGAGGGGGCCTGACAATCAGTGTTTTAATGAGCATCCTGGGTAATTCCAATGCAAGCTACAGTTCAAGAACCGCTTCGCTCCTCCAACCTCTCATTATTACAAATAGAAAAATCAAGACCCAGAGAGGTAAAGTGACTTACCCAAAGTCACAGAGCTTTTTTTTCTTTTTCTTTTCTTTTTTTTTTTTTATACAGAGAGTCTTGCTCTGTAACCCAGTGGCATGATCTCAGCTCACTGCAACCTCCACCTCCAAGGTTCAGGCTATTCTCCTGCCTCAGCCTCCTGGGTAACTGGGATTACAGGTGCATGCCACCACACCCAGCTAATTTTTTGTATTTTTTTAGTAGAGACAGGGTTTTACCTTGTTGGTCAGGCTGGTCTTGAACTCCTGACCTCAAGCGATCCACCTGTCTCAGCCTCCGAAAGTGCTGCGCTTACTGGCATGAGCCACCATGCCCAGCCTCCCAAAGTCACAGAGCTACTTTGAGAGGCAGACTGTCTACCACCTGAACCAAAGCACTTACCACTCAATCACTCTCCCGTGCACCACCCTGGACCACTTCCCCATCTCACGCTTCAGCCCTCTTGCCCCTTTTCTGAATTGCACTATTCTTTGTGCTTGTTTTCCTGATCTTTTACCCTTTGTGAGATATTCTGCACTAACTAGGCTGAGATTGAGTTTAGCAATCTCTGTTTATACTTCCTGCTAGCAGTGGAGCGCATGGCAGTGTGTACGGCAGTGAGCACAGGTCTGCGTGGCTGTTTTGTGGGTGATCTCTGTTTGTGTGTCTATGTGTGCGCCTTTATGGCTGTGGCCATATGCATGCATCCAAGCATGTGTGTGCATGTGTTAGTTTTCTTGGGCTGCCATAACAAAGTGCCACAGACTTACACAACAGAAAGGTATTGTGGCTTACACAACAGAAAGGTATTGTCTCACAGTTCTGGAGGTTGGAGGTCTGAGATTAAAGTATTGGGAGGTTTGGTTTCATCTGAGGCCCTCTTCTTGATGCCTCATCACGCAGTCTGCCCTCTGTGCTGTGCCCCTGCCATCTCCTCTTCCCATAAGGTCACAGTCACATTGGAAGGGTCCATCCTAATGGTCTCATTTTGACTTTATCACCTCTTTAAAGTCCTTATTGCCAAATACAGTCACAGTACTGGGTGTTGGGAATTCAACATACAAATTCTAGGAGGACACAACCGAGCTCATAACAGTGCACAGAAAGGGGACATGAAAGTCAGAGGCTGTCTTTGAGCGGCCACGCTCCCCTCTCTGGCCCACATCTCCAAATGCAGGATCAGTAACCTGTGACCACCACTGGCAGCTTGTCCCTTAATTTGAGGGCCAGTGGCAGGCATGAATCTTGTCAGGCAGATTTCAGGCAGGCAGAAACTGACATGTTCCTTCTTTCAGATCAAAAGACTATAAAACTCATCTCTTGGGGCTTTCTGGAAAACATAACATGTTAATCCAGGGTCACCACATTGACTATTTTTGATGAAAATTCAAGCAGACTTTGTGATTATTTTCCCCCTACAGTTGTCAGAATTAAAAATAGTAATTTTCACATCAGGTGAGCAGAGCCTCTGACCCCCTAGTCTTGTATGAATATTACTAATTTAAAAACACATAGTAAAATAAATAGACTTTCTAATTCAGAAGCAGCTCTGAACTACCGGCTGATTTCAATCCTGATTTGAGTCCAATGTGGATGCATCTGAGTCACTGTAGAAATTGTGTATTTAGGAGGCAGAATGACCCAGGCTGCAAATGAATAACAGAGCTTAAGTAAGAACCGGGAGTCCTGACTTCAACCCACAGGGTTATGTTCAGCCAGGTTTTGTCCATTTCAAATGGCACAACAGGATCTTCCTTGACAGATACCTTGGGGTCAGGGCAAGCCACTCCTCGGCCTTGGGTTCTAGTAGCAACTGAAAGCTAGGACACAGGCAGGAGGAGATCACCAGGCCATCCTTCCCCATCCAGCACTTGAGGTTCCGTGAGCTCCTAGAAATGGGAGGACTTCAGTCCCTGATGAGGATTAGTCCACAGATCTGTGGGGAGAGTGCAATATACAGCCCCAGGTCAAACAGGTCAGACCTGGAAACCTAAATAGCAGATTGGAACATAGGAAATTGCCTTTTTTAAAGTCAAAATGGCCGGGTACAGCGGTTCACGCCTGTAATCCCAGCACTTTGGGAGGCTGAGGTGGGAGGATCATCTGAGGAAAGGAGTTAGAGACCAGCCTGGCCAAGATGGCGAAATCCCATCTCTACTGAAAATACAAAAATTGGCTGTGGTGGCGTGTGCCTATAATCTCAGCTACTCAGAAGGTTGAGGCAGGAGAATTGCTTGAACCCAGGAGGCGGAGGTTGCAGTGAGCCAAGATCACACCATTGCACTCCAGCCTGGGCAACAGAGCAAGTCTCCATCTCAAATACTACTACTACTGCTAATAATAATAATAATAAATAAAATAAAATAAATCAAAATGAGTAGAATGTTGGCAAGTTCATGTAGTTCAACTTATAACATTCATGGGTCTCCCTACAGCTGTCTTATGAACCCTCCATAGCCCCCGACACTTAGAGGACTCAAGGCACTGCTGAAGAGAGGAGAGGATGCAGGAGATAGCTTCAGAGAGCTCACAATCTAATTCAAGACTCAGAAAATCAGACCAGGCACCGTGGTTCACACCTGTAATCCCAACACTTTAGGAGGCCCAGGCAAGAGGATCACTTGAAGCCAAGAGTTCAAGACCAGCCTGGGCAAAATAGTAAGACCCCGTCTCTATAAAAAAATAAAAAACTCATCAGGCATGGTGGTGCACACCTGTAGTCCCAGCTAGTTGGGAGGTTGAGGCAAGAGGATCAAACGCTTGAGCCCAGGAGTTTGAGGCTGCAGTGAGCTATGATTGCACCACTGCACTCCAGCCTGGGTGAAAGAGGAAGACCCTGTCTCTAAAAAAGGAAAAAAAGACTCAGAAAATTAAGTTGGTTCTTGTGTTATTCCTGACTCAGAAAAATCAGAACTCAGTTCTGCAGTTCTCTAGTCTTTACACGGAAGATTCCTTAACACCAGAAACTACTGTATCTGTGAGCTGGTGGATGTCCACAAGCTGTTTGCTACCAGTTCATGAAAAGTAAGTCTAGAAATTGAAAATAATCATTGAAAAACACTTATAACAATTTGACATCGTAATTTTATTTCTGTTGGCTCTAACAGTAAAAAAACGGAGTTTGAATTCTGTATATCTGAGTTTTTATTGCGCTTTTCTTTCTTTTCTTTTCTTTTTTTTTTTTTTTGGATGGAGTTTCACTCTTGTTACCCAGGCTGGAGTGCAGTGGTGTGATCTCTGCTCACTGCAACCTCTGCCTCCCGGGTTCAAGTGATTCTCGTGCTTCAGCCTCCCGAGTAGCTGATATTACAAGCACACGCCACCACACCTGGCTAATTTTTTGTATCTTTAGTAGAGACGGGGTTTCACCATGTTGGCCAGGCTGGTCCTGAACTCCCGACCTCATGTGCGCCACCCGTCTCAGCCTCCCAAAGTGCTGGGATTACAGGCGTGAGCCACTGCGCCTGGCCTATTTCACTTTTCTAATTATTCAATGTTATTGTACTTTAAAAATTATCAGTCCACAATGGATTAGAAATATTTTTTAAAGGTCTTTCACCACAGATACCTGAGAAGTAATGATCTGCAGGAAGGTAGATATCAGCTTAATATAAATAACAATAACTATTGTCATGATGTTTATTATGTACAGGTCCCATTATAAAGTCTTGCAACATAAACTCATTTACTTCTCACAGCAACTTTCAGGTAAGAACTATTATTACTCCAATCTCACAGATCAGGAAACTGAGTCACAGAGAGGAGAAATTACTTTGCTAGTATCGCACAACCAGTCAATCATAGGGCTGAGATGGGAATCCAGGCAGTTTGGCTCTTGAGTCCATGATGGTAACCTCTGCAATGAAACATATGCGATAACTTGATTCATATGTCAGTGGCAAAATATAAAGAAAATCAAGGAGTGATTAACACCAGAACTTGGGAAGGGAGACATCTGTGGGAGGAAGGAAGGTAGGGGACGTAACAGGAGGTGTGCGTGCCAGGCGTCAAAGGCCTGCTTGCATTCTATGCCTTAACATGGTGAGGAATATATACAGATGTTCGTTCTATAATGCTATCATCCTCCAACTGTACACACACATTTTACTCACTCTTTGATGTATATGATACGCCTCACAGTTTTAAAATTTTTTGGAAGGAGTAACTGGAGCTGTCAAACAATGGCAGCCACGGCCTCTGGAGAGGATGAGCGCCCCCTCATGGAGAGGACAAGAACAGCCATTCTCCTCCATCAGGCACAGGGCAGGTGCGAGGTAGAAGGACCTCAAAGTTTACTTCTATTCAGACTCTAAGCTTCTTCCTAAAGTCACATTCTAGAATTCACAGGAAGGAAGAAGTCCACATTACCTGAGACTTCGTAGCCACGCCTTTATAGAGTGATGCAGAATTAACATTTAAGGTTGACAGAAGTGCCCCACTTGAGAAAATATACCAGAGCACAGTTTACAGTGACAGAGGGTACTGAGGGAGTCCTTGGTATATTTCGAGAACTTTCATTGTATGTAACTGGTACATTAATACTGATGCAGAAAAAAATGGGGGCCACTCCAGGAAACAGGTGATGCCACTTGCCTCGGAGGAGACTGCAGTAAAATGCATATTTGTGCCGCACAATAACTTTTTTTTTTTTTTTTTGAGACTGGGTCTCACTCTGTCACCCAGGCTGGAGTGCAGTGGTGCGATCACAGCTCACTGCAGCTGCGACCTCCCTGGCTAATGCAATCCTCCCACCTCAGCCTCCCAAGTAGCTGGGACCCCAGGCCACCACACCAGGCTAATTTTTTAATTTTTTGTAGAGACAGGGTCTCACTATGTTGCCCAGGCTGGTCTTGAACTCCTTGGCTCAAGCAATCCTCCTGCCTCAGCCTCCCAAAGTGCTGGAATTATCGGCATGAGCCCCCATGCCTGGCCTAAGAGCTCCTCTTGATGTGTAGACAGCTAGTGTTGCTAAGGCAAGTCTGGGTGTGAAAGGTTCAAACCATTTTGGGGTATCTTGACAACAGCTATGTGAGATGAAGACTTAGACCCCTAATCACCAAGAAAGCCAGGTTGATGCGCAAGGCAATTCAACAAGCATGTTCCTGAGAGGCTGTAGATCATTGGGTCCCACACCAAACCAGCTGAATCAGAATCTCTTCTGAGTCGAGCCTAGAAATCTGCATTTCTACAAATCGCATCGCCCACTCTGTGCTTCTGATTGAGGTATTCTGGGACCATGGTAAGACAACCAGGTAAATTAGGAACAAAGATTTGTAATCACACAAACCTGGATCAAATATGGTTTCTGCACTTACTTGTTGCATGGTCTTGAACAAGTTATTTGACTTCACTGAGCCCTAGTAGTCCCATCTGTAAAACTGGGTGATGATATTACTTACCTCTCAGAATTACTCGGAAGATTTAATTAGAGATTGTATATAAAATACAAGCACTTGGCTATAATAAGCACTCAAAATCTTTCACGACATTTATTCACTGTCATTTGTGAGTATCCATAATCTGGAAGACAACGTGGGGAAGAGGCAGAGGGAAGAATACCAAAAAAGAACAGCCCCCTCCCTTCAAGGAAATTCTCTCTAGTGGGGCTGCTTTTAAAGCTTTCCTAGGTCAGGAATGGTGGCTCACACCTGTAATCCCAAATTTTTGGGAGGCCACGGTGGGAGCATCACGTGGGCCCCGGAATTCAAAACCAGCCTGGACAACATAGCAAGACCTGTCTCTCCAAAAAATAAAAAATGAACCAAGCGTAGTGGTGTGTGCTTGTAGTCCCAGCTACTTGGGAGGCTGAGGTGGGAGGATTGCTTGAGCCCAGGAGTTCAAGGCTGCAATGAGCTATGCTCGTGCCACTGCAGCCTGGGTGACAGAGTAAGATCTTGTTGAAAAAATAAAAATAAAAATAATAATAATAATAAAACTTTCTTATAAACTTATCAGGAAAATAAATTCTCACCTTTTTTCTAGGGTTATCAAGGCATTACCAGCCTGTGTTAAAGACATTTTAAACCTTTGATCTTATTTGGGAGACACCTTTATAGGTTGGAGGTGGGTGGGAAATCTACTGAGACCGTGTATAAGCCAGAAAACACCTCCTTTGAACCAGACTGGGGACTATGAGTGACATTAAACTATCGATTGACCATAAGTTTACCAGCCTATGCCCTGTTTATCCTACCGACCCCTTTGTGCCAATTGATTTAATGCCAGAAAGCACTACAGCCTTAGGGAATGTGCAACAGTGCTATTGGCCTCTGTTTGTCAAACTCCCTTTTATGGGGACAGTGGCTCCCAGGACCCTATTCCCATCTATCTGCTCAGTAAGAGGAGAGCAGGGAAATCATGTCAGTCTCCTCTGACGCACTTGGACCATGCTCTTGCAAAGCCCATCCCCTCTAAAGGGAAAATGAGCCCCCAGTGAAAACACATCTGATTCTTCAAGTTTCTGTGAGCTAAGCATTTGTAACTACTATTGCTAATTCTCTGTGCCAATGAAGGAATATCAGTAGCAGCTTTATTTCAAAATGATAATTAATCCAGAAATTGCTACCTGGGGATAGCAAGTTCTAAGACTGCACAATTCTTCAAATAAATTACTCTATTCAAACTGACCCAGAGAAAGCTAAAAAGTTGTACACCTGCCCTAATCTGAACTCTTCCCACATCTGTGTCCATTCTAGAGCTAAGCAGCTGTGTCCATTCTAGAGATAAGCAGCAATCCAGGATTGATGGAAAGCCATCCAAAGCTGATTCTCCTTCTCTCTGATTTGAACCTGGTTGGGGCAATACACAAGGGTTTTAGTTCAGAAGACCTCTTAGTAAAACTAAAGACTGCATAGAAGCATACCTGTACATGAGAGCTAGTGAATTCATTGATGTAAGAATTTTATGACCTTGCTAATTATGTGGAGAAGAAATTTAAATCAAGATTTTTTAAGGAGGAACAATAGTTGGATAATCCATCATCAGATAAGTGGCAACTGATTAGTAGGAAAGAGTCATGATTGATAGTTATGATGCTTACCTTGGTAAGGTGGATCTCACTGGATCCTCTGGGTAGATATTTAAAATATTGATGCCAGATCCTATCCCCAGACCAATTACATCAGAATTCCTGGGGATAGGACCCAAGCACCAGTATTTTTAAAGATTCCCAAGTGGTTCTAATTGGCAGCTTGGTCTGAGAATGTTGCCTTTGCTAGCAGAGTTTACTTACCTGAAGCAGTAAATGCTGCTTTTAAAGTAATTTGACTTTTTCCCTTTAGCACCAGGGGAATCAAGTTGATTAATTAACATTTTCCAAACAACAGCAATGAATTAACTGCTGCTAATGTTCAGGCCATGGAATTAGACGTGACTCCCATACATCAGACTCATCTCCCCAGATAGAAGCTTGAACATAGGTTTCCGAGAACGAGGGCTTAGCAAACAACAATCAGAGATAGATTGACCTTAGCTGAGCAAGCACTATGTAGGGAGCAAAAAGACAAAATTACAAGCTCATTTCCACACTCACTCAAATATGTATTCAGTGTGTCAGGAACAGGACTAGGAGCTGGAGGTCCTCAGATTATGAGAATATGACCAAGGCAGAAATTGAAAGTCTAATGGGGAGAACAAAAGGTAGACAAAACTTTCCAGCCATGCAACAGGTGATCAAGGTACACAGCAAGTACTTCCCTCCAAGGGGGGAGCACAGAGGCCTTGAGGTGACAGATGAGGCTTCCTGGAGGAGGAGATGTATGAGTCGATTCTAGCAGGGTGAGTGGAAATCTGCCAGGTCAATGGGGACTAACACACAGGCAAAGGCAGAGAAGAGCTTGAGCAGTTCTGGGAACAGCATGTGTCACAAATGACACTGGAAAGGCAGGCAGAGACTGATTATAAAGACCCTTGTATGTCACCGAAGGATTTTTACCTTAACCTTAAAGGCAGATCATTTGAGTCCTGGAGTTCAAGACTAGCCTGAGCAACAAGGCAAATCCTCATCTCTAAAAAAATACGAAATCATTAGCCAGGTATGGTGGCACACACCTATAGTCCTAGCTACTCAGGAGGCTGAGGTGGGAGGATCACCAAGCCCAGGAGGTCGAGGCTGCAGTGAGCTGTGATTGTGCCACTGAATTCCAGCCTGGGTGATAGAGTGAGACCCTGTCTCATAAAATGTAAAATATAAATAAAGCAGGGAAGTGACATGATCAGATTCACATTTGGGATGACCACTCTGGCAGTTTCGAGAGCCTTGCTACTCAAGGTGTGGTGCACCGACCAACATCATTGGTATCGCCCAGGAGCTTGTTGGAAATTCTAAAAACCTCAAGCCCTATTTCAAACATACTAAATCAGAATCTACATTTTAACAAGCTCCCCAGATGATTCACGTGCACATTAAAGTTTGAGACACACAGTTAAGAAAGGATAAATTTTCATGAGAAAGAGGTGAAACTTAAGGAAGACCATTAAGGAGACCATGGCAGTAATTTGTTAAACCTTTTCTTTAAACAGTTCTTTAACAGTTACATATGGATGAGGACTCCATGTCCTCCAAAATACCCCATTGATAAGTGAAACATTTAAACAATAATTATACAGATAAGCTGAATTTTCTTCTTAAATTACCTTCATTTTCCACCAGATTAGCAAGAATCCCAGAGACACAGCCATAGCGCGAGAACCACATGTCATGTGGACTGAACTATGCAATATGTATTGCCGAATTTCAGAGAGAGATTCAACAGAAGGGAGGGGAGGTCTCTTTGTCTAGTTTTAATGATAGGTAAAGGCATGAGGCCATAGTCTTTCCTTCTGTTATCCCAAAGCCCGTGAGTGGTGTGGACACAGCCTTGATAATAGGGACCCAGAGACTGAGACTAAAGTCAAGTGTGAACTTTACAATTGCTGATTGTGTGTTCTGAGAGACAGAGAAAGAGACAGAGATCTGAAAAGAGAAATGGAAGAGGCTGTGTGTCTTGGGGTAGTCTTTAGTGAAGAAAATCCCCTCTCTCTGATCATGGACAATAGTATTGATGGGACCAAGTTGATTCTCTTTTTCATTAGAAAATAGGCTTCTCCTAGAAGTGAATCTTGAAGAATTTGAAAGAGGGAGTGTGGTCTACTAGGCAAGAAGTAGGAGGTTTAAAAAAACAAACAAGCAGTCTATAAATACATAGACTATAAATACATAGCACACATACACCTCATCTCTAACAATCAGCACGTTATTGAACAGGGTGTACAAATTGGACTTGGGTTAAATTAAATCTATTTTAAGCCCATTCTGGGAGTTTGCTATTTAAAGAAATCCTTTGTAAAGTGGATAATCACCCACTAATTAAGCTTTTGTTAAATCTGGAGTTCTACGAAGCTAAAGTTCCCAAACTGACTGTGCTGGAAAGATCATCCCACAGATATCTGGTAGAGTACAACTTGTCTGTGTGCCAGAGAACCAACCTCTGTTAGGAAACCCACCTTCAAAAAGAAATGGAATCCTGTCCTTGCGGAAAATGAGTGATGGACAGGGAAAAGAACCCATAACGTGGTGACTAGAAGAGAACCTGGGACCCAGGGGTCAAGTGGAGCAGTGGGAGCTGGTAAAGAAACAGCAGATGAGTTTGTTGGCAGCAAATGGGACATAGACAGCAGAGAGAGTGAATGACCACAGAGGACAGGGAGATTATACTTGGATTATTACTAAAACCTTCTCTTTTTTTCTTGTGACAGCATCTCTTACCAATACTAAATCTTTCTTGTCTCTAACCTCCGGATTTCTAAAGCCGATATCCAGAATGTTTCAAAATACATTAATCCAGTTACCTTTGTGGCATCTGTGAGTTCTTAACTAACTAGAGAAACATTCTGGTTGGGTGCAATGTAATATACGAGTAATTTAGTGTTAATCGAGTGATCTTGCATATCTTGACTCTAAGCACCGAAAGGGGACAGCCTTCTCGCTGGCCTCCTTAGATCGCCCTCACAGAAAAGAGGGAGTTTAAATGAAAAACTGAAAGATGGGGGAAGTTTGGTAATTGGGAAAGGGAGATAGGAAAAGGCAATCAGAGTTAAAGCCAGAGGCATAGCTACATAAGACCCTCTCTTTTAATTACCAAGCACAAGTCGTGGGCTCTCCAATGGAAAGACCTACCCAGACATAAGCCTGGAATGGGACCCCAAGAAAGGACCCAGGGTGAGGAGCTGAGGACTGAGCAGTTCCACTTCCCAATAGTGATCTAGGATCACCATATCCTCCTTAGCCACTCACACAGTCCATACACTGGACTCCCTCTGCCTACATCCCAAGACTGAATGAGAAGGAAATTGTTCCTTCGTTCAATAAATATGTATTGAGCCCCAAATAATATTGGGGCAGGAGGTTTGAGAATTACTCCTTTGCCTTCACAAAGAGTTTGCATGGAATGAGAAGGAAATTGTTCATTCGTTCAATAAATATGTATTGAGCCCCAAATAATATTGGGGCAGGAGGTTTGAGAATTACTCCTTTGCCTTCATAAAGAGTTTGCATGGAGTGGGAAGATTATGAGAAAGGCTAAGAAATAGTTCTGTAGGTCAAAGAAAAGCAGGTCTCAATTTAAGTAAATTGGATGTTAGAAAAAAGTTTAGTTGGGCCGGGCGCGGTGGCTCATGTCTGTAATCCCAACACTTTGGGAGGCCGAGGCGGGCAGATCACTTGAGGTCGGGAGTTCAAGACCAGCCTGGCCAACATGGTGAAACCCTGTCTCTACTAAAAATACAAAAATTAGCTGGGTGTGGGGTACACGCCTGTAATGTGAGCTACTCAGGAGGCTGAGGCAGGAGAATTGCTTGAACCCGGAGGCGGAGGTTGCAGTGAGACGAAATTATGCCACTGCACTCCACCCTGGGCAACAGAGCTCACTCAATAAACAAAAACAAAAAAAAAAAATTTTGATCCCAGGGCTGTTAAACATTGCAGCGGGCTCCTTCTAAGGTCATAGAGATAGAGGGATTTCCAAAGAAGCCTTCCTGAGTGATGTGTGATTTGGAGGACAGGATAAATACTTGGTAGCTTCCTCACAGGTGGAGGTGAACCGGATCAGAGCCCTTTTTCTGAGACTGTCATCTGCACAGCCCTCCTGCTGCATCTGCCCCTCTTCACCTCACCAGGTCCTGCAGAAGAGAGAGGCTGGGAGGTCTCAGAAAGGTGGGAGATAGAGAAGCACTGGCCCAGGAAATCAAAAGAGAAATCAAGGGATCAAAAACTCCAGTAGATGGACCAGTGAAAGGGTCAGAAAGGGGTTAAGTAGAGTCGAAAGAAGCTCCATTTAGATTTCAACCAAGATCAGTACCAGCTATTTCTCAAAAGCTTTTAAGACAGCACGTAACTTAGCAACTGACCTATGTTTGTTTTTTGTTTTTGTTTTTGCCCATGTCAGTTTCTCAGTAGTTACTATCAGCAACAACAACAACAACAAAAATGCTTGGAATTGTGCATTTACTGAGAGATGGGAAGCAAGGAAGAAAAATTATGGGCTATGTCCTGTTTGGCAAGGTTGTGTCAAGACAGGACACCAAAAGAGATGAGCCAAACATCCAACCCTTGGGATTCTCAGAAGAAAAATTAAGGCCTGAAGGCTGTCCCTGAGCCCAGAAATGCTCTTAGGAGAGTACATCCCAGAAGAAGGCCCTGGTGGCACATTTCCTTGAGATGCTTCAGGAAAGAAGCACTTGCAGGTTTTACTTCTCACTTACCTAAAAATCAGCACCAAACTAGGCAAGTTGTCTACACAGACTCCTTTGTTGTATTCCACATTTCCCAGACAAGTCATCGCCCTGGACCAAAGAGACTAGGAGAGAGTTCAGACTCTTTTATAGCTGACTTGAACCGCAGCCCTCCATCCTCACCAGACTCAGCTCTCCCCTTAGTGAAGAATGTTTTGAAAGGCCATAGCCTATGAGCTCTCCCAATCGTCAGGGATGACTTTTCACTGGAATGATAGAAATAGCCACATTACTTGCAAATTACACACATGTACACACACACACACACACACACCTTGACCTCTTTGCTGTGCGGCAGAGTCAAGCAGCAGGAGTTCGCTGTGGCTGTTGCAGGGACAGCTCCCCGGCTCCTCAATAGCTAGGTGGCATAATGTGCATATCAGCACCACACTGGCGGACAGCTCATAGCAGACCCATCCTTGCGCTTTTCCCAGAAATTTGTTCAAAACTCTCAGTCGGTCATGGGAGGGAAGCAAACTTCCTAATTGTCCGCTCAGCCACTCCTTTCACTATGCCTTGAGGCAGAGCAAAGAAGTTCTGTGACTCTAATCTTAAGGAGGGCTCTCACGCTTCCTTCCCCAAGGACAGCCACGTACCTTTGAGAGAGTTAGGCGCCTCAAGGCGGGTGGTTACTGCACTGGTTTAGACCTCAGTGATGCCATGAGGAATTCAAGGCCTTTCTATCTTTCCACTGTGCCTTCATTTGCTAATGATTTTTGTCATCTAACAGTCTCAGGATAGCTGACCCTGCTCCAGATGCCACGTCCATATTTAGGAAAGACAGACAGACGGGAGAAGGGAAGTCATTCCAGCCACATCTGTTCCATTTTATTAGTTCTTGAAACACCCAGAGAGTTCCAATTGGGCCTCAGTGGTTAGTACTGTCAGAAGACCACTTCTAGCTGCAAAGGAAGCTGGGAGAGGGAATATTTAGGTTTCCCAGCTTTTGTAGTTAAAAGACATGGCGGGGGCGTGGGGGTTTCATGTAATCATCTAATGCATCTGCCACAAACAAAAAACATCACTGCTGTGAGGCTACTTCCTCATCTGTAAAATGCAGTCATTCTAGCATTTATTTAGTAGGGATGGTGTGTTCTCTACACATGTGATTCTCATAGGATGCAGGACACACAGGCCCATAGATCCCAGGACAAGGGCTGAGAAGTCCCTAGGCACCTCAGGAGATGAGCAAACAAAACTCTGGGCCACAATGTGGTGCTAATGTCTATAAAGAACCTTTGAGGCTACAGCAAGGCACGTCAATATAAATGTCATCAAAAGTGTGAGTCCTTTCTATGGGCAGGAAGGAAGGAAGCAGGCAGGAAGCAGATCTGGGAAGGGCACCTTAGTGAAAAGGAATCAGGATCTTGCTTACTCACTAGGTATTATGAAGTATCCAAGTGAAATGCAGAGCCAATATTTTGGGGAGCAGACCATTAGAGGAGGAGGTTGGTGGGGGCAGATGCAATGCAGGGGGCTGTGATCTCACTGAGAAATCCAGGCATGGCCCATCCACCTGCATTTCACGGTGTGGAGAAAATGGCAGTCTGTCTTTGCAGACATCCAGCCCCAGTGCCCCTTTACATGGTGACGTGCATAGCCACCGTGCCCTTTCCTGGCCAAAAAGTACTCTTCACTGAGAACCGTTTCTGAACAGCCTGCTTGTTGGTATAGCCAACAAAATGAAGCTTCTTTATTCAGCCAAGAGACTGAACTCACATCAACTTTCTACCAGGCACCGTGGGAGACACAGAGAAACCTGGAAGAACAGATACTGACAGAAATGACAACTTTTGTTAAGTACCAACTTCCTGTCAAGCCCAGTGCTAGGAGCTTTGGGTCCGTCACCCTATTTGGATTTCAGAGATCACTGTCACAAAGTGAAAAGCAATAAATTGCCCTGAGAAATGCAGATGATAATGAGGATAGTAATGATCACAACAGCTAACAGATGTTGAGTGTTTACTGTGCACCAGCTACTGTCCTAAGCATTTTGCACGTATCGCCTCCTTGAGCTAATGTACTATACAGAGGTCTCTTAATGTTTCCCCCTCCCTTTCTCAGTTTCCCCCTAATCATCCCAGCTTCCCCTTCCTAAGTTTCCCTCCAGGGCCTCTGAGCCTGTCTTTGGTCTCAGTCCATAAAGTGATTCTGGGAAAGAGAAGAGGTTGGTGGAACTCCCAAAAAGCTGAGTACCCCCCAGGGTGGTGTGGGTTGGTGCCTTGGCCCAAACGGAATTGTCCAAGGAGAAGAGCAGGGAAGAGCAGTTCCCCTGGAGAACAGAAAATGGATGCATTAAGGAAGAGGCAACCTCAGGAAGTGATCCATCACCCGTGTCATCTAAAATGGAGGTGGGAAGAATCAGAGGACAGCGACAGACAGAAAGCAGCCCCCTGATGAGTGCCCAGAAAAATGAAACGATGAGCTCTTCACAGTTCTCCCCACCTCTGACTCGCCGGGTTCCACCCACAGACTCAGAGCCCCTCCCAGGAGCCGGGTGGTGAGGTCAGCCTGGCTCAAGGCGAGGACTCCAAGTTTTAAGCCCAATTAGACTCTCTCTTTGCTACTTGACCCTTGCTCTCTTAAGTAGTGTCTACACAACCCCAAATCATCTTATCAGTCGAATCCGAAAATTCAGCCAGTCATTTACCTAGAGGTCTGGGCTCCAAATCTTTGGACCAGTTTGAAAGGATGCTTTTATTGGATTGATTAAATTGACCAGATGGTTTTTTCCTTCATTTTGGCATGCCCTCAGGTCCATATCTGGTTACAGCATTTGAGCCTGAGGGTAGGGATGAATGAGGAGTGAATATGCATCTTTTAAACACAGGGTTCTGCTTACTGCACTTTGCTTTAATAAATTAGAGTAAGCCCACTAGGTTGCTGTGAACCACATCTATGGAAACAGACTCCTCCCTGTTGATGAGCCTTCTTTAGTAACAACTGCAATTTTTTTTTTTTTTTTGAGAGGTAGTCTCACTCTATCACCCAGGCTGGAGTGCAATAGCCTGATCTCGGCTCACTGCAACCTCCGCCTCCCAGGTTCAAGTGATTCTCCTGCCTCAGCCTCTCAAGTAGCTAGGATTACAGGCACGCACCACCACGCCTGGCTAATTTTTGTATTTTTAGTAGAGACGGGGTTTCACCACATTGGCCAGGCTGGTCTTGAACTCCTGATCTCAGGTGATCCACCCGCCTCAGCCTCCCAAAATGCTGCGATTACAGGCATGAGCCACTGTGCCTGGCCAGTAACAACTACAATTTATAAAGTATTTTACAGTTTATAAGGCCCTTCCACTTATCTATTTCTGCTAAAGCAGAACAATTTCTGAAATATATGCAAGAGGATTGTGGGATGAAACAAGGGGATTTTTCCAAGACTAATAAGGGACTGTTGGTATAAGTTAGAATTGGAACAATATGCCAACTGTAGCAAGCAGCCTCTAAAACAGCCCCCAAATGTCCCCGCCTCCTGGTATTCACACCCTTGTGTAATTATCTCACTTTGAGTGTGGGCTGGGTTTAATGACTCACTTCTGAAGAACAGAATATGGCAGAAGTGATGGTATGTCACTTCCAAGAGTCAGTTATAAAAAGTCCATGGCCAGGTAGAGTGGCTCACTCCTATAATCCCAACATTTTGGGAGGCAGAAGTGGGAGGATTACTTGAGTCCAGGAGTTCAAAACCAGGCCAGGGCAATATAATGAGAACCTTATCTCTCCAAAAAAATTAAAAATTAGCTGGGCACGTTGGTACATGACTGTAGTCCCAGCTACTTGGGAGGCTAGGGCGAGAAGATCCCTAGAGCCCAAGAAATCAAGGCTGCAGTGATCACACCCCTGCACTCCAGCCTGGTTGACAGAGTGCGATCTTGTCTCTAAAAATAAGTGTTTTAAAAATTTAGAAGTTAAAAAAAGCACTATTGGCTGGGCAGTGACTCACACCTATAATTTCAGCACTTTGGGAGACTGAAGTGGGAGGACTGTTTGAGGCCAGGAGTTTGAGACCAGCCTGGTAACATAGCAAGACCCTGGCCCAAAAAACAGGACTGTTGTTTCCTTCTGGGGTTCATGCTTGCTCTCTCTAGAGCAAGGCAAGCACCACGTCACGAGGCAGCCCTATGGAGAGGCTCACGTGGCAACACCTTGAGGCTTGCCAACAGCCAGGAGAGTGAGCAGAAAAGCAGACCTACCCACTTTGGGCTGTGAGCCCTTGGCCAACACCGTGACCCCCTGACTGCAGCCCCATGGGGGACCTTGAGCCAGAATCACCAACTCAGCTGCCCCTGGCAACCTGACCCACTTATAAACTGTGAGATAATAAATGTTTGTTGTTTTCAGCTGCTATATTTTGGGTAATTTTTGATGCAGCAATAGATAGCTAATATCCTGATTTTCACATGTATCAACCCCCCAGCTATTAGATCTCTATTAGATCTCCCCACATTCACTTAGATGTTAGCACACACATTCATTCAGTTCAACAGACACACACATGTAGGTATTTCATACACATTAGGATGCTAAACATATCACTCAACGATAAAATGTTATTTAAATGTACACAAAGGTTCTCAGATGGCATCTTACCCCCGGCTCCCGAAAAAGCAGAGCTTGATGTCAACCTCTTTTGGTAGAGAGAGAGTCCCACTGTGTTGCCCAGGCTGGTCTTGAACTCTTGGCTTCAAGCTATCCTCCCTCCTCAGCCTCCCAAAGCACTGGGATTACAGGCATGAGCCACCATGCCTGGCCTGAAGCAAATCGTATACCAACTCATTGCTATGATTCATTCCCAGAACCACAGCAGTGAGGTGGGGGAAGGGAAGTGAGGCAGGGAAGACAGAAACAAATACAAAGTTGTGTGTTACCGAGGTGGCTACAGGGTCACAAAAAAACACAGCCAGTTGTTTAGTCACACAGGAAGTCTCCAGAAAGACCATACTATGGTCTAAATGCTTGTGTCCCCCCAAAACATATGTGTTGACATCTTAAGCCCCAAGGTGATGGTGTGGAGAGGCCTTCTGGGAGGTGATTAGGTCATGAGGGAGGGGCCCTCATGAATGGGATTCGTGTCCTTATAAGATACCCCAGAGAGCTCATTGGCCCCTTCTGCCATGTGAGAACACAGTGACAGGACAACCATCTGTGAACCAGGAAGCAGGCTGTCACAAACGCTGGATGTGCCAGAACCTCAATCCTGGATTCTGGCCTCCAGAACTGAGAAATACATTTCCATTGTTTATGAGCCACCCAGACTATGGTATTTTGTTATAGCAGCCAAACCAACTCAGACAGTCCACATGCAGCCATGGCACCTTACACAGCCCAGGAGAGCCAGACAAAGTGAGTCATGTATTTCCTGGCTCTTTCCTGTCTCTTGTCCCTTCTTGGTCAAAGTTCACCCCATAGGATGTTAAAATTCCCTACACTTCCCAGTGGCGTTCCCCACCTCCTCCGGGCAGCCACTGGGGAAACCATGTCCTATGGCAAGTGGTCAGGTCGCCCAGCTCGGAGCTGTCGTGGCTATCCCCACAGCAGACATCACGGAGGCTTCACCAAGGTCTGGCCCTCGCTGGGGAGGCTGAGACAGATGGCAGTGTTAGGAGGCAAGGTGACAGAGAAAGCAGCTGGGGTTCTCTGCTGATCAGACAGCCAAGAACCAGAGGGAAGGTGAGACTAAGCAGATCGGGGCAGAATAGAAACTGGATCTGGGGAAGATGTACACACAGATGAAAACCTACTCATTGGGGTGCATGGTTATATTTGAATTGTGCATGGGTATGTATACATTTGATGTTACACGCATTGGCTCAGACTTTCTTATTTGTCCCTGAGCACAGAGCTGAGCCGCCCTGCATGGAGGCTTAGGAGAGGGGTTCTGAAGCTCTCAGCAGCCTTGTCTCGTGGAGCCACCCTTCTCCCTCGGGGGAATGCTACCTTCCTGGAAACTTAATATTGCTAATTCCATTGTCTGATTTCATATCATGATGTCACCAAGAAAACAGGAAAACGGGAGCTGACTCAGGATGCTGATACAACCTGGACCTGAACCACACCTACCATGCTCTGGTGCTGAGATAGCCCTCAGAGTTGCCCCAGATGGAGGCAAGGGGCCAGGCCTCTGTATTCCTGTATCAGCCGGTCACTGTCAAACCAACCCCTGAGAGGGATGTGAGGGAACAGCCTTGGAAGAAACAGTTCCCCATTGCCAAGAGCAAATCCCAGCTCTGAGCCACTTGCAACCAATATTCCCAGGAGCCTGGGGATGGGTGCATCAAGCCCACAAACAGAATCTGGTGGAATGCCACAGTAGCCACTGCAGTTGGCCACCATCTTGGCTAAACTTCCTATGTTAAGAATGACAACTTTGGGCCAGGTGCGGTGGCTCGTGCCTGTAACCCCAGCACTTTTGGAGGCCAAGGTGGGCGGATCACGAGGTCAGGAATTCAAGACCACCCTGGCCAACACAGTGAAACCCCATCTCTACTAAAAACACACAAAAAAATTAGCTGGGTGTGGTGGCGGGCACCTGTAATCCCAGCTACTTGGGAGGCTGAGGCAGGAGAATCTCTTGAACCTGGGAGGCGGAGGTTGCAGTGAGCCAAGATCGTGCCACTGCACTCCAGCCTGGGCGACAGTGCAAGACTCTGTCTCAAAAAACAACAACAAAAAAGTGACAAATTCATCTAACTCTGGTTTACCTCCAAACTTGAACACGCTGGTTCAGCCTAGACTTTTACCTCAGGGTCAAAAAGTCTTCCAATTAGGCATCACAGAAGATTCCCTAGAAGTGGCTTGATTGATCACATGAGGTTTCCCTCTGAGCTCAGTTGACTTCCTGATTCGCTAGAGCTACAGGGACAGGAGCACAGATAACCCCAATTTCCAAAAACATTTTCTGTTACAAATAATCCAAAATACAGGTTGTACTTCCGTAGCCACTATTCCTGGATTTGGTTGTACCTCCCGGAGCAAAGGGACAAGCCCAGCAATTTGCCCCAGGCCAAGAACACTCCGTTCCTCTCGTTTCCCTAAATCTGAAGGCACTAGTAAAATAAAATAAAATAAAACAACCATACTCCTAGGTCAGAAAATCTCACAAAATCCCCCAAATGTGGTCAATCTCCTCTCATCACTCTCCTTCACCTACCTTTTTTTGTTGTTGTTTTTTTTTAAATAGACAGGGTCTCACTCTGTTGCCCAGGCTGGAATGCAGTGGTACAATCACAGCTCACTGCATCCTCAACCTACAGAGCTCAAGCGATCATCCCACCTCAGCCTCCAGAGTAGCTGGAACTACAGGCATGTACCATTGCACCCAGCGATTTTTTTAATTTTTTGTAGAGACAGGGTCTCACTATATTGCCCAGGCTGGTCTCAAATTCCTGGCCTTAAGTAATTCTCCTGCCTCTGCCTCCCAAAGCACTGGGATTACAGGCATGATCCACCATGCCAGGCCCCCACACCTACCCTTTATCCTTGCTCCTACAGTCCATGCTGGAACAAAGGCTGCAGGGCCCTGTCACTGTGCTCATGAAACCCCAAACCTGCACGCTCACCAGGCCTCCAGGAGTCTCCTGCTGCCCTAAATCAGAGCTTCTCGCAGTGCAATCTGAGGGCTTTGGGGTCTGACATGGGAGGAAATACATTCCCTATCCTGGATTTTTGCAGAGCAGCTGTTTTGGTGTTTGTCTTGCTGTTGGTTGTTAATCTGTTTCACATACTGGTCTGTATGTGAAACATAAAATGTTTACTGAAGAAAGGTCAAGAAAATACATTTGAGAACTGTTCCTCTTATTCAATATTCAAGTGATCACCATCCACATCGCATCGACCTCTGTTTCAGTAACTGGGCTTCCTTTCTATGGGCACAAGCTCATCTCTCTGATACTTGCTAATCACCCATTTTAACGCATTTAGACACTGCAAAGCCTCAGCAGTGTCTAGCCGGATTGCGTGGCTGTCTTTTTCATTGCATTCCTTTTACAGTTGCTTTCTAGCATGGCAAGCAGTATTTGCTCCCCATCAACATTTATGCCATAGTCTTCATTTCAAATAAATATATTTCAGATGTTTAAGTGAAGGAATTTAAAGAAAGCTATTAAGTAAATAATAGAGCAGGCTCACAGTTATAGCAAAAACCATGCAGGTGGTAGAGATGAATGCCATCCTCAGTGGAGGAGTTACTTCCTGCTGGGTGTTCCATCTGCGGTCCATCATCCAAGGACGCACTGTGACAGTTCTCCACCTGTTGTGCATAAGAACCAGAGACTTTAGTTCAACACGTTGGAAGTGAGGACCAGGAATCTGCATTCTTAACAGGTGCCTCTGGTTATTCTGATACTTGATTATCCTCTTCCCAGAATATCAATTCCCCAAGTCCACCAGACCAAGAGCTCCTTAAAAGCAAAGACCATGCCTTCCTCATACTTAGCTGCAGAATTTACACATGGCAGCTGTGTTAGCCTGTTTTCACGCTGCTGATAAAGACATGCCCAAGACTGGGTAATTTCTTTTTTTTATTATTATTATACTTTAAGTTCTAGGGTACATGTCCACAAGGTGCAGGTTTGTTACATAGGTACACATGTGCCATGTTAGTGTGCTGCACCCATTAACTCATCATTTACATTAGGTATGTCTCCTAATGCTATCCCTCCCCGCTCCCGCCACCCCACGACAGGCCCCGATGTGTGATGTTCCCCTTCCTGTGTCCAAGTGTTCTCATTGTTCAATTCCCACCTATGAGTGAGAACACGCAGTGTTTGGTTTTTTGTCCCTGCGATAGTTTGCTGAGAATGATGGTTTCCACCTTCATCCATGTCCCTACAAAGGACATGATCTCATCCTTTTTTATGGCTGCATAGTATTCCATGGTGTATATATTGCAGCACTATTCACAATAGCAAAGACTTGGAACCAACCCAAATGTCCATCCATGATAGACTGGATTAAGACTGGGTAATTTCTAAAGAAAAAGAGGTTTAATGGACTCACAGTTCCATGTGGCTGAGGAGGCCTCACAATCATAGCAGAAGGCAAAAGGCACATCTTACATGGCAGCAGGCGAGAGAGAGTGACAACCAAGCAAAGGGGTTTCCCCTTATAAAGCCATCAGATCTCGTGAGACTTATTCACTACCATGAGAACAATATGGGGGAACTGCCCCCATGATTCAATTATCTCCCACCGGGTCCCTCCCACAACACTTGGGGATTATGGGAGCCATAATTCATGATGAGATTTGGGTAGGGACACAGCCAAACCATATCAGCAGTCCTCAAATAAATATTTATGAAATACAGTCAGGCAGGTAAGACAGAATTTACACGAATTGCAAATGTGAAGCTGGGAAAGGTCTTTCCAGTTTGCAAACAGAAAGTGAAACTCAAAGAGGTTAAATTCCTTGGGTATGGCCCTTGGCTGGTAAAAGGCAGAGCTGGAACTGAGGCTAAATATCTGAGCTGCAGGCCAGCATTCTTTCCCTTACGGTCCTAGAGCACTGCTTCTTGAGTCAGTGATCCTCCTAGGTTGGAGATGGAGTTGACAGGACCTTAGAAGATCATGGGGACATATTCAGTTAGCTTGGTCCACTCTATTCTACAGCATAATTTTAGCACTGAATTTTGCATAAGTATAAGGGAGATAAAGTGAGGCCCCCTAGAGAGGTCTGCATGACTGGAGGATAAAGAACAAGCAAATCTACTCTAATGGGTCAGTAGCAAATTCAAAAAAGCATGTACCAGGCACTGAACGCACCCTGGAACCAAATGAATGCAATACCTTAGTAACGTAAAGAAGCTGCATCCCTCCCCAGCTTAGAAAACGTGAGAACCTGTGTAGCCATCTTTATCCCCACCGATGTCCTGAGTTATTGCTGTAATTGCAGGGCCTCATAAAACACATCCCCAGGAGACAGCACAGTGCAGTAGTGAACATGTAGGCTCTAGAGCCAGATGCCTGGGTTCAAATCCTGACTCTGATTCTCACTATCTCAATAATCTTAGTCATTTTTTTTTTTTTTTTGAGACAGGGTCTTGCTCTGTCACCCAGGCTGAAGTGCAGTGGCGCAATCTCGGCTCACTGCAACCTACGCCTCCCAGGTTCAAGAGATTCTCATGTCTCAGCCTCCTGAGGAGCTAGGATTATAGGCATGCGCCACCATACCCAGCTAATTTTTGTATTTTTAGTAGAGATGGGGTTTTGCTATGTTGGCCAGGCTGGTCTCGAGCTCCCAACCTCAGGTGATCCACCTGCCTTGGCCTCGCAAAGGTTTAGATTACAGGAGTGAGCCACCGCACCAGGCCAATCTTAATCAGTTTACTTAGCATTCTCTTTACCTCCATTCTCTCAAGTGTAAAAGTGGGTAAATAGGAGTTCCTACTTCATAAAGTTGTTCCTACATCAAGGGTCAGAACAGTGCCACCTAACATGCAGTAGGCATTTGGTCAGTGTTAGCAACTATAATCACCAATCAATCAATAATCAGCAATCAAGCACCTATGTTAGGCACCATGAGAGATACAGAGCTGCCCTATAGGTACATGCAGTCTGAAGGAGGAGGTGCAAAGTCTACAAAAAATTACTGTAATTCAAGGGGAGACAGTAAGCATCCTAAGGTTGTGCATATAAACAGTTACCATGTAGGAGCATCTACTTTGAGGTAGATAGTCTAGGCATTCCCATTTGATAAGCCAAAGAACTAAGGCATAGTATGGTTACTTTACTTACCCACAATCACACAGATACTGAGTAGCACAGCCAGGCTTTGAAGATGGGCTTCTCTTACTGCAAAGCCTGTCCTCTTAACCGCAGTACAGGATACACATTGCCTGATAACATGCTATATGGTCAGTGCAGCTGTGACAGGTTCTAAATAAACTCCATCAATAGACCAACACTCCTCAGTGGTGACCTCACCAAACCCAATAAATCTCCAATGATGTGCTAAAAAATTAGTAATTCAATTAACTACTTAATTAGCTAGCAGATACGCTAATGCATTAAGAAGCCCATAATACCTAATTATACCTATTAGTACCAGCCTAATACTAATACCATTAGGCTGAGATTGGCCCAATGCATTCCTTGGTACCTAGAACAATGCCTGGTACATAGTATAGTATGCATTCAATAAATATCTGTTGACTAAACTTACTCCTGGTTTATGCTCATTTTTATGTTCAAATGTCTTTAACATTTTTATTATTAGAGTTAGTATTTTGTGTGTAATTAGGTGCCAGACCTTATAAGGACTACAAGCTTCCTAATATTAACACAACATCTGCCCTTTCCTAATTCTTCCATCAATTGATGAAAAACCAAGGATCAAAAGAAAAGTTTATATCTCGTGCAACTCTACCAGAAGCCTAAGAAAACACCTAGTCCAGGCAAGAACAAGGCAGAGACCCTTGGACGGGGCAGGGGCAGGGGCAGGGCCAGAGAGAAGGCTGATGGACTCTGAAAAGAACAAAACTTCCACAGCAAATAACATTTCAGCAGCCTAATTAAGAAAAGTGGACCGGGAATTAGAGATGGAGCCATCTGCCAAAAGATAAATTAGAACAGGTATGAAACCACTGACCCACTTTTCGTGTGCTATGATCTTTAGTAAGCACAGCCACAGTGCAACTTATGTTCCTATCAGCTGGTACGCAGGGAGAAGAAACCATAATAACAAACCATGCTCTAAAATGTGTTCTGGTCTCTTCTACCTTGCAAGGATGTATCTAGTCTCTGCACAACATGAACAGTCAGAATCCTGGCAGGAAATGGATGACAGTGCAAGCCAGGTAAAAGAGGGGAGATAGCAAGAGATTATTCACAGAGGCGGCAGCAAGACTAGAAGAAACTAACAAGGGATGGTGCAGTACCCCGGGGCTAGTAACATGGAGGGTGCCTTACCACTCCAGGATCCAAAGGCACAAGGGATGGTCTTGGTGTCCAGAACCTGGAGAGAGTAGCTGTGTGGGGAGGGGCTCCTTAATAGGAGCTGTGACCTTTGGTTCTTGGGCATGGGGTGCAGCAATACAGCGAGGATAAGCCAGAGGAATAAACACCCTGCTACATTCCTCCTGGTGGTGCCTCCTGTGGGCCAGACCTAACCAGAAGCCAGAGGCCAGGGTGACCCAGAAGCACAAAGCAAGGTCAAAGATGGAGCATGGTTTAGGGTGGGGGCAGGTGTAGATGTGACATGGGTCTTGGTGTTCACGCACCTCCCAGGTATGTTCTCACCTTCTCCGTCCTACTTTCTCCTTATATAAATCACAACAAGGAGAGACCCCATGATCTCTGGCTTCTAGTTGGGTTTAGCCAATGGCAAAAATGAGAATGTGATCACGGTGTTGATTTTTCTGTTGTCTCTGGCTGCCGGTGCCCCTCCATGGAGAGAGGCTGACTACATAACTGTTTATTGAGGTCCCAGGAACCTCTCCCTACCCTAGTCCCTTCCAAGTATCACATGATGTCTTTTACACGGTATATTAGTCTGTTTTCACACTGCTATAAAGAACTTCCTGCCTGGTCAACATGGTGAAACCCCATTTCCACTAAAAATACAAAAAATTAGCAGGGAGTAGTGGTGGGCGCCAGTAATCCCAGCTACTTGGGAGGTTGAGGCAGGAGAATCGCTTGAATCCGGGAGGCAGAGGTTGCAGTGAGTTGAGCTGAGATCATGCCACTGCACTCCAGCCCAGGCGACAGAGTGAGACGCCATCGCACACACACACACACAAAAACAAAAAAAAAAAAAGGAACTTCCCTGAGTGATATGGTTTGGCTGGGTCCCCACTCAAATCTCATCTTGAATTCCCACATGTTGTGGGAGGGACTTAGTGGGAAGTAATTGAATCATGGGAATGGGTCTTTCTTATGCTGTTCTCATGATAGTGAATAAGCGTCATGAGATCTGATGGTTTTATAAACAGGAGTTCCCCTGCATAAGCTCTCTCTCTCTCTCTCCCTTTGCCTGCAGCCATCCACGTAAGATATGACTTGCTCCTCCTTGCCTTCTGCCATAATTGTGAGGCCTCCTCAGCCATGTGGAATTGTTAAGTTTATGTAACCTCTTTCCTTTGTAAACTGCCCAGTCTTGGGTATGTCTTTATAAGCAGTGTGAAAATGGACTAATACACTGAGACTGGGTAATTTATAAACAAAAGGGGTTGAATTCACTTACTCACAGTTCCACATGGCTGAGGAGGCCTCAGGAAACTTACAAGCATAACGGAGGGGGAAGCAGGCACCTTCTCCATAAGGTGGCAGGAGGAGAAAGTGAGCAGGGCAAACTGCCCCTTATAAAATCATCAGATCTTGTGAGAACTCACTCACTATCATGAGAACAGCATATGAGAAACTGCCCCCCATGATCCAATCACTTCCCACCAGATTCCTCCCAGAATACGTGAGGATTGCATTTTGGATTACAATTCAAGATAAGATTTGAGTGGGGAAACAGCTAAAGCATATCACAAGGCGATATTTTTCTGCAATAATACATTCTGATTTTCATATATCTTCCATTTTCAATGGAAGTTAGTGAGAAGCTAGAATTTATTTACCAGAACTCCATTTTTACATTTTACAAACCCTGTTGGAATACATACTTTCCAATACCTAAATGATACCTGGGAAGGAGGAGAGTTCACAGTAATACATGTTTATGATATTATACAAATGGGGAAAGATGTGAGCCAGAGAGAGAGCTTCCTTTCTCCAAGAAAGGAACTCTGCCATGGGCTGGCTCCTGACTTAAAGCGTAAGTAAATGTTACCCAGTACAAACGGTAAAAGCAAACTGGTCATCAAGCTTAACTATTCAGTAAATACGGATAGAGGGAAAGTCAATCCAAACAGGATTGAAATCTTATTGTTCTTTCTCACCTTAAACAAGAAAATTTGCATGGCTCCCAATTGCACATTGGATGAAACAAAGTCTTAAGCATAAACTCCAAAGTCCTCTGAGATCTGAGTCCAACCTGCTCTTTCTTCTTCCCTTGCTCTCCAAATGAATATCCTAAACCCCAGCTACCTGGACCACTACAGCACTGTTCCCTGTCGGTATCCTGGGCTTTACCTCTCTGTGGTCATGTAGTCCCCCTCCCTTAAATTATGCTTTCATCTTTGGCTGTCCAATTCCTACTTGACATCCAAAGACTTGTACAAAAATTTTCACAGCAGCTCAGTTTTTAATAGTCACAACCTGGAAACAACCCAAATGTTTATCAGTGGATGCATGGATAAACCATGGCACATCCACACGATGGAATTCTGCTCAGCAACAAGAATACACTTTTGATACGTGCAATAACATGGATGAAATCCAAAATCATGATGGGTGGAAGAAGTCGGATAAAAAAGAGTATAGACTGTATAATTCTGTGACCATACAACTCTAAAAAAATGTCAACTAATTTATGATGGCAGAAAGGAGCTCAGTTGTTGCCTGGAGATATCAGTAGAGAAAAGGATGGACTTCCAAGGGACTCAAAGACTCTTCTGGGGGGAGATGAAAATATATGTTATTCTGATTGTGATCATGATTTCAATGGTGTACACAAATTCCAAAACTGATAAAATCAAACACTTTAAATATGTGTGGTTTATCGTTTACCAATTATACCCCAATAAAGGTGTAAAAAAAATTATAAACAAAGTTAAACCACAAACTGCAAAAACCACTGCAGCGAACCAATAAAGGGGTATTATCTACAAGGTAATGAGGGCCCCAACAAATCAATTAAAAATACAGATGAAGCAATGGAAAATGGGTATAGAGCACATGCTCGAAAAAAACTGTTCTGTCTCAACAAAATGTAAAAATTCACCTTATTTACCGATGGCTTTGAAGGAACAGCAATATCTGTAAGGATCACCGGTGAGAATGTGGTCCTTCAGGTGGGAAGAGCACCCCTCACAGAGCATCCTAACCACACCTCCATCATCCTAATCACACCTCCATCATCCTAACCAGACCCCCAGCATCCTAACCAGACCCCCATCATCCTAACCACACCCCACATCCTAACCACACCTCCATCATCCTAATCACACCTCCATCATCCTAATCATACACCCAGCATCCTAACCACACCCTCAGCATCCTAATCACACCCCCAGCATCCTAACCACACCCCCAGCATCCTAATCACATGCCCAGCATCCTGGCCACACCCCCAACCCTTCTAACTCATCCCTCCAAGCTCACCATCCTAGGTGCTACCTGGCCTGTCAGATCATCAAATTCCATATGTGAAACAGAAGTCCCACCCCACATGTACATATGTCCTTGAACTGTATTTTTTCAGTCCAGTCGTTTACCAACTTTCCATTTTGTTGAGTTGTTTTTTTTGTTTCTTGGTTTTTTGAGTTTTTTCTTTTTCTTTTTTTCTTTTTTTTTTTTGACAGGGTCTTGCTCTGTCATCCAGGCTGGAGTGCAGTGGTGCAATCATGGCTCACTGCAGCTTCCAACTCCTGTGCTCAAGTGATCCTCCAGCCTCAGCCTCCCAAGTAGCTGGAACTACAGGAGTGCACACCAGGCCCAGCTAATTTTTAAATTTTTTGTAGAGGCAGGGTCTTGCTCTGTTGCCCAGTCTCATCTGGAACTCCTAGGCTCAAATGATCCACCTGCCTCAGCCTCCCAAAGTTCTGGGATTACAAGCATCGGCCACTGTACCCGGCTTCATTTACAGTTCCATTACTCAAACCCAATGCAGAGAAGGGATTATTATAACCCTCAGGCCAGGATAGAGCTCCACCGAGGTTTGGACCACAGTGTGCATTGCTATGGTGAAGGCATACCTATCCTCCCCGCTGTGGAAACACAAACTCCTTGAGGCCACAAGGGCATCTGTTCCTGCCTAGCCCCTCCAAACGGAGCACATGACTTCCTGCCCTGCATCCAGAATCATATCTCGAGTTTTATTACGGCACTTTGCAAAACACTTCCAAATACTTTTTTTTTTCCTTTTTTTTACTTTGTTGTTGCTGCTTTCTTTTCTTTTTGAGACAGGGTCTCCCTCTGTCACCCAGGCTGGAGTGCAGTGGTGCGATCATAACTCACCGCAGCCTAGAACGCCTAGGCTCAAGCGATTCTCCTGCCTCAGCCTCCCAAGTAGCTGGGACCACATGTGAGCACCACTACACCCAGCTAATTTGTTTTATTAGTATTATTATTGCTGTTGTTGTTGTAGAAATAGGGTCTTGCTAGGTTGCCCAGGCTGGCCTCGAACTCCTGGCCTCAAGTAATCCTTCCGCCTCCGCCTTCCAAAGTAGAGGGATTACAAGTTTGAGCCAACCCTCTGGCTCGAACATTTTTCTTATTCAAGTTTCACAAGAACCCGGATCTGGTATCACAGTTAATGTTATTATCACCCGTATTTCGAATTTGATGACTGCAAAGACTTGCAGTTGAGTGACTGTCCCCGAGGTTGTCCGGTTCATCGGGAAGGGGACCTGAGCCTCCCGCCTCCTGCCTCCATGTGCATCGTTTTCGCCAGAGCCCCGACCACTTTTGGAAACCAGAGCTGCAGGCGAGTGCCGCTTTGTGGAGGGAGCTGAGGCGAGGCGAGGAGAGGCGTGCCGGGGTGGGCGCGGCCGGATGCAGGGCTGCAGGGTTCCTTCTCCCTCTTCCGTCCCCCTCTGCCTGACGGTTCCACTCCGCCCGCCCGCAGCGGACTGAAACTGACAGGCCCTCGGGCGAACTGGAGCAGAGGCGGGAGGGGGCGGGGACAGGAGGCGGAGCCCGCCTGGAAAAATCCCAGGTGGCCGTGGAAGGAATAAGGGGGAAACAGGAACATCTATAGGAAAAGAGACATTATGTGCACATTTTGTGTCTCCTCGGCTCTCCACCTTTTCTCCCTTTAAGCCTTTATTAAAGGGAAAAAAATGAACAGATAAATAGTTCGTTTATTAATTATTAACAAACAAGTGGCACTAATGAATAGCATCATTAAAGGGCATTTTGTGAATATTAATGTGTAGATATATTCTAAATAAGGTCAGCCAAGGTCTTTCCCATTCTTGTTCAAAAGTCATCTATCTTAATTACACCCCGTCCCCTAGCCCCACAATCACAACCCCGATTCGGCATTTCCTGTAGTCCTTAATCACATAGGACAGTATTAACACATGATTTTGACATTTATTTTCATTGTCTGTCTCTGTGCACTAGAGCACACGTTTTATAAAGACACAAATTTCTGTGTTTTGCACACTGATGTGAACGAGTACCTGATGATGCCGTAGGTGGGCAATAATTATTTGTGGAAAAAATAAAATAGACCGGGTGCGGTGGCTCATGCCTGTAATCCCAGCACTTTGGGAGGCCGAAGCAGGTGGATCACTTGAGGTCAGGAGTTCAAGACCAGCCTGGACAACGAGGTGAAACCCTGTCTCTACTAAAAATACAAAAAATTAGCCGGGTGTGGTGGTGAGCTACTCAGGAGGCTGAGGCAGGAGAATTACGTGAACCTGGAAGGTGGAGGTGGCAGTGAGCCGAGATCGCGCCACTGCATTACAGCCTGGGCGACAGAGCGAGACTCTGTCTCAAAAAAAAGAAAGAAAGAAAGAAAGAAAAGAAAAGAAAAAGAAAAAATAAAATAACACTATAAGTGACAGTGAGAGGGGTTCCCTCCATATGCCACCACCCACGTCCGGTATTCTTCCTTTCTATCATCAAGGGCTTGCGAGAGAGGCGAAGGGAACCTCGCCTCAGCCATGAGCTATGTCCTTCCCTCTGAGCAGGCTCTGGAATTCTCCACTGCAGAGCTCCTGGCTGCTACCCCCTGGCTCTCTGATGCCTTGGGCAGCATCCTCCCATGCAGACACATAGTCAGTTTCACAGTGGAAACAGCCCAGTGCTCTTATTTTACAGGACCTGGTGAGACAGAGTGGCCTTCCCAAGGGTACACAGTGAGCTCCTGAGTTCCTCTCTCCCTCTCTACCAGTGCACAGACACTTTGTCGGTCGGTGGACAATGGCCTGGCCCTTGGCAAATGCTGGAAGGTGGAAGCTGTATTGAGGTCTGGCAGCCTCCGCTGTCTGTGTTCTCTTCTCCTCTCACCCCAGTGCTGGTCTTTCCTCTTTCAGCCTTCCCAGAGCCATGATGTACTCAGTGATTCATCAGTGATTGCATTTGTCCAAGCAGACAAAACCCTTATTTGACTCCAGACTCCAGGGGAGGAGGCGCTGGCATAGAATTGCAGTCATCAGGGAGCTAAGTAGAAAGATATTTTGCAGAGGAGGATCATCTCATCCAAACTCTAATACGTGCTTTTTCTAAAGAGCTTTCAACTTTTTAAACCCACAGGACAGAGCAGAGTCCAAAGCCAGCGAGAGGAAACGACTGGCCCAGGATCTCTCTGGGAGTCAGGGCTGTAGGAATCCAGGTATTCTGATTCCCAGTTCTCCATCTACAGATTTTCTCTTCCCTCCATTATCAATATATCTTGAGCAGAGAAGAGCCGCATAAACAAGGAAAATTTCCGTCAGGTTTTGCCTGGATCTTTCTAGCTCGAAGTAAGCCTGACATATGGATGCTTATTCTCACTCCTACCTCGAACCTCATCATCAGAGGCTGCCAGAGTGAACTTACAGCAAGAGATAAAAAAAAAAAAAAAAAAAAAAAAACAGTCTTTAAAACAGGCCAGGTCCTTTTGTGGTTCATAAGCATGATGATTGGGTTTTCAGGCGATTGTGTGAGATGTGCCTCATTGAAACCTTGTTACGATGTCTGCCCATTACCCATCTGATGGGAAGAAAAAGAAAAAAGGCCAGGGACAGCAGCTCACGCCTGTAATCCCAGCATCTTGGGAGGGTGTGGCAGGAGGATCAGTTGAACCCAGGAGTTTGAGACCAGCCTGGGCAATATAGCGAGACCCCATCTTTAAAAAAAAAAAAAAATTAGCCTGGTGTGGTGCACACACCTGTAGGTGGGAGGATCACTTGAGCCTGGGAGGTTGAGAGTATAGTGAGTTATATTTGTGCCACTGAACTGCAGCCTGGGCAACAAAGCTCGACCCTGTCTCAGAAAAAACAAACAAACAAACAAACAAACAAACAAAACAGGCCACAATGATTTCTATGTGTTGAGCATCTAATATGTGCCAAGCACTTCCAAGTATCCATCCTCTGGCATAATCTACACAACAATCCTGCAACATCGGCTCAGAGACCACAAAGCCAGGAAGGATCAAAGCTGGCATTTACACTGAGCACTGCATGACACCAGAGCCCACGTTTTTTGCTCCTTAAAATCTTAGCTGCAGTGGGCAATGTCAAAATGGAGAAAAAGGCCTTCAGGGAGATGACCCTCTTGTTCCTCAGAGGCTGCCAACTCCAAAGGAGTCCCTTCCATCCCACATTTCTGGGTTAGGTTTTCCACAGCTTCTGTTGCCATGGTATTAGGGGCTCTTATCACCATTTGAAAGCCCAGAAGAGGAAAATAAGAGGTTCAGCTCTTTGATTCAAGAGGTGACCAGTTCAGTGGCTGAGCATGGTGGCTCACACCTATAATCCCAGCGCTTTGGGAGGCCAAGGCAGGCGGATCACCTGGGGTCAGGAGTTCAAGACCAGCCTGGACAACGTGGTGAAACCTTGTCTCTACTAAAAATACAAAAATTAGCCAGGCGAGGTGGTGGCCACCTATAATCCCAGCTATTGGGGAGGATGAGGCAGGAGAATAGCTTGAACCTGGGAGGCGGAGGTTGCAGTGAGCCGAGAGCCGAGATCATGCCACTGAATTCCAGCCTGGGTAACAGAGGGAAACTCTGTCTCAAAAAAAAAAAAAAAAGAGCTGACCCCGACCAGTTCTTTTAAAAGATCAACTCGATCTGGTCTTTGAATGAGGATTAGAAATTAGAGACAGATGATGGCATTTGCAGGCCTCGAAGTTATTCAGCTTCTTGCTCTAAGAAGTTCTGTTTACTTTTCAGACATGATCTCATTCTCCTCCCCAGGATCATAGTGGGAGAGCAGAGAGGGGACAGGGACAGTTCTCTGTAGGGTCAGACAAGGAGTGAGGCTGATGCCTCCACCCCTGTGGCAGAACCTGCTCCCTCTCTTCTCTTCTCCTGCCTGGCGTGAAAGCTAAGGCTATCACACCACTGGCACTGTTACAGGTAAGTTGGAATTTACATGAGAGCCATGGTTTGCCCCATCAAGTTTAAAAGATCAAGAAAAAGGGTCAGGTGTGGTAGCTCATGCCTGTAATCCCAACACTTTGGGAGGCAGAGGTAGGTAGATCACTTGAGGTTAGGAGATCAAAACTAGCCTGGCCAACATGATGAAACCCCGTCTCTACTAAAAATACAAAAAATTAGCCAAGTGTAGTGGCAGGCACCTGTAGTCCCAGCTACTTGGGAGATTGAGGTAAGAGAATCGCTTGAACCCAGGAGGCAGAGGTTGCAGTGAACTGGAATCTTTCCACTGCATTCTAGGTGAGGCAACAGAGTAAGACCTTGTCTAAAAAAATAAAGAAAGAAACAAATAAGCCCCCAGGTCTCTAGACTATTAGAGCTGAGAAGGACATCCCTGTTCTAAGTTTATCCTCCTACCCAACACCCACCTGGCATCTTCCACAGGGGCAAACAGTAGCCCACAGAGATGAAGCGAATGGAAGGGAAGGAGTTTCTGTTCAAAACAGCCTCTAGGTATCATGTCCCCCTTTCCTGCTCCAGTGAGGAACATTTTCCATGCCCCTTATAAGATGCTCAGCGTATGCTTTGTTTCATCATTCTCTCATTTGATTTTCTCCATACTGTGGTCTGTGTCCCTCCAAAACTTCTGTTGAAATCGTAACCCCCACGGTGATGGCATTAGTAGGTGGGGTCTTTGGGAGGTGATTAGGTCACGAGGGTGGAGTCTTCAGAGTGGGATTAGTGTCCTTATAAAGGAAACTACAGAGAGCTCATTCACCCCTTTTGCCAGTAGGGATACAGCAAGAAGAATTTGCCATCCATGAGCCAGAAAATGGGCCCTCACCAGACACCAAATCTATCTTGAGCTTGGACTTCACAGCCTCCAGAACTGTGAGAAATAAATTTCTGCTGTTCTTCAGCTAAGCTGCTTATGGTCTGTTCGTCAATTTCCCCATCTGTCACATCTCCATTGGTTACAGCCGCCCAAATGGACTAAGACCCTGTGTGACGCTGCTTGCTCTTAGCACAATGATACAGTGAAAAGAAAACGCCCTTTGGAATCAGACAGACTTGGGTTTAAAGCTCAGCTCTCCTTGCATTGAATAGCTGTGTGATTTTAGCAAGTTATTTAATATTTCCTCAAACTCAGGGCTGAGAACAGTCTGGACAGGCCCATTTTAAATCCAACACTCTCTGGTTCTCTGTCCTAGATTACTTAAAATAAGGTACTGGAGGACTCCGACTCTTTGCTTTGTGTGTTGATATTCTAGTACTTGTATTTCAAATGTTTTTAACATTCAGCTTTGAATTCCATGTCTCAAATTTACCACGTTTTTATACTTAGAAACTGTGGTTTACATCACATTGACCAGTTCTCAATACAGAGGGATCTGTTGGGAGTTCTGAAACAGAGACACGTACCAATTTCCAACTTGGCCAGACCACTCAAAGATGAAAGGAGAAGAGACAGAGCTCTTGCTTATGGAGCATGCTTTTTAGTAATCAGCTTCCCATTTTGTAGGTAAGGCCAAGGATGTCAAACGGTGTTTGTTTAGGCATCTGTGAATTAGCACTCCCAGCTCTTAGCCCAAACTGCAGAGGAAAATTCATTTGGAATTTCCAGTAGTCCCAGCCTTTGGCAGCATATAAATTAAAAAGAAAGAAATGGCCTGGGGGTGCAATTCTAGAACATCCTAGCACAATCAGTACACTCAAAAATTGAGCACAGTAGACACTATTTATTTATTTATTTATTTACTTATTATTTTTTGAGACAGAGTCTTGCTCTGTCGCCCAGGCTGGAGGGAGGGGCACGATCTCAGCTCACTGCAACCTCTGCCTCCCAGGTTCAAGTGATTCTCCTGCCTTAGCCTCCTGAGTAGCTGGGATTACAGGCATGCGCCACAACGCCCAGCTAATTTTTGTATTTTAAGTAGAGATGGGGCTCCACCATGTTGGCCAGGCTGGTTTCAAACTCCTGACATCAGGTGATCCATCCACCTCGGCCTCCCAAAGTGCTGGGATTACAGGCATAAGCCACCGCACCCAGCCTAGACACTATTTAATAAGAATTCATCCAATACTTTATTCATATGTTTAGACTAAACGCTCTACTTACCTGTTGTCAGAATCACTCTCAAACTGGTAGGGTTTGGAGAGCTAAGTAACATTCTAATAATTCAGCAGCTGTAAGTTTTCACACTTAAAACCTTTGGTGCCCAACAGGCCTGAGTTAAAATCCCTGAGCAGGCCGGGCGTGGTAGTTTCATCGTTAAAAGTAACTTTATTCTTGTTTATATCATGGACTTCCCCAACCCTGAAGGAGAAGGAAAATATCTATCCCACAAAATCTTGCACGTGGGAAGTGCTTCGCATTATTTCTGGGCTGTATGTTATTATTGGATCTATTTGAAATATGGAATTAATCTCCTTGTAGCCTCTTTTGTTCCTCAGTTTCCCCATCTGTCATTTATTTTCTAGTTTCTATCTAGTGGTGTATCAGTCACCTATCTACAGGTGTGAGGAATCAAGCAGTCTCTAAACATGGCTTCCTCCATTGTCTGTCACTCCTGTGAAGCAGGCAATACCCCAGAGTCAAGAGGAGGAAATTATTGTTCCAGCTGAGAGGTCATAAGTTAAAGAGCCTTGCATAGAACGGTAAACATGATATCCTCTCAAAATGCTCCTTGCAGGAAGACTAATAAATGTCACCCCAAGGAACCCTTTATACACAGGATCTTGGGCTTCAAAACTGGATTCCAAGGAGTTTTGAGTCCTTCTATTAAGTTGGCGCAAAAAATAATTGCTTTTAATGGCAAAAACCACAATTACTTTTTGCACCAACCTAATACTTGCCAAAGATCTCCTTCCCCGGTAGGACCTTTGTTCAATGTCACTACAGGACATCCTTCCTACCAAAGCAAAGAAAACAACACAAATCAAGCAATTAAGTTATAAAATAAGGCTTGGCACCTAGAGGAAATAGGACAATGATTAAGAAGGAATCCGAACACCTAATAGAATCCACAAACTGGCAGACTATGTCCTCAACCTACTGCCACCGAATGTCATCTGACACAAGTGGCTAAGAATGGCAGGAGTGAGTTTTCAAAATGCTGTTGGTTGAAGAAGCACCATAGATTATTTTGGGGTACTACTTGTGGGGTTCAATAGCAGGTCAAATTTGCTTTGTATCTCTGACAAATGACCTAGACCCATCTCCTGACAAGCAACTGAGTCTATCAGAATGCGTTTAGCTGCAAGTAACAGAAACCCCTGTTCAATCAATAAAGAACTTTATTAGCTCACATAACAGGAAGGCCAGTAGAAATGCAGGTTTTCAGAATTGATTGATTTGGTGGCTTGGCAGTGTCATCAAGGACTCGGGTTCTTTTCATCTCTCTTCCCTGTCATCCTCAGAGTTGGCTTTAATAATAGAATGGCAGGAATAATTCTTAGCATCTCATCCAGACCCTTCATCATCCTTTAGAGGCAAGAAAGCCTTTTCCTGAGACCTTGCAGTACTAACCACCAGCCAAGGGGAAATATACCCTTTCCCCAGTCAAAACCACTCTGGAGCTGAGGGTGAGGTCAGCTCTCCACAGGCACATGGTTACATAGGGAATGGAGGATACATGAACAAGATTGGGGTAGTGTTAAAAAAAAAAGAGGGGGGAAATAGAGTGATCATTGCACAAACCATGCTAGGACACAACGGAATGACTACTGAGCGATTAAAAGCCTGTAGGAGCATATAGGCAAGAATTGCATTGTCCTCAGACTGAGTAATGATATGGCTTACCCTCCTTTCGAGGCAACACAAGGCAGTCTGTCTTAAGAATGCTAAAGGAAAGTCAAATCATCCCAAAGATGTGACAGCAATGAGTGGAAGTGACATGAAGGGAGCTGGGGGATGGGTGGAAGCACATGACAATTACTCATACAGACCCACAGGCTTTCTGCAAGGTCCTGAGCTGTCTCCCTGCCCATGGGGAATGGCGAGGAGGGGATGTGTCACTGGCTGTTTCCAGCAACACTGTGACTGCCTGATAAACCAATGGTGTCAGTGTGAGTGTCTCTGGCTTATTAAGTTAATGGAGGAAGTAAACTTTTTTTCTGAATATGGAATGGACCAAAGCCAATCACAGGCAATAGCCAACTCAAAGTAGGATGACAAGTTTCCCTTGGAAGTGTCCTGACATCACTATCTGCAGACTCCGTGATGGGCATGATTTGACATTTTTCTAGCCCACAGTGATTAAAAGACAGAAATGCGTATTCCTTCCCATCAAAGACTTTGTAGGAACGATTATTATTAATTATTATGGCTCACTTTACAGTTAACAAAACAACTTCCCATACATGATCCTATTAATTTCATATAACTTAGGTATTTGTTGTTATCCTCCTTTGTAGTTGAGGAAACTGACACTCAAGGAAGTTAAATAACACACTCAAGATTACACAGTTGGTGAATAACTCAACCTATACCCAGAATGGCCTTTCATAGAGGTAGAACATCTACTTGTCTTTCTTGCACAATGTGTGGCATCTCTGAGGTCCTGAAGGGTTGTAGAGGCTATCTTCCACCTTGATCTGAAATTGAGCTTGACTTTCCTACTAGGAGGAACATCCCATTGAGCTAAGGCACCACGTCTCCAAATGAGTCCTACCGAAAGGTCCACATACTGCCTGGAAAATGGAAAAGAAACTGGAATCCTATTCTCTGCCAATTATACTTTAGTGGGCTGCCATGCCTTCCCTTCAATCCAGAGCTATGTAGCCAGCTCTCACATGGAAATCAGAGGGCCAGGGGTCCATGGAAAGAAACAGTTACTTAGATGTAAGGGAATGAGATCAGTTATGAGGAGAAGAAAGAGATGCTACAGGATTTTATCCTCCTTCTCGTAGGAGTGACGCAGGCTGCTGGAAAAGGAAAAGGGAGCCTTAAAACCCAAAGGATACACAAAAGGGAAATGATTCCAAGCCTGGAGGAAAACCCACAGGAATCTGAATTACACCTCTGGGTGCTGAGCCTTCCTTAAGGCCCCGAGTTTCAATCATCAGCACAGCTTGCCGAGGACATTGAATCAAACATTCAGAACTTCCCAGTCTAAACAGCGGCAGGCAGAGGTCCCAGCTTTGTCTCCAAGGGGACCCTCTGGGCGCTGTCTTCGGTACTGAAGCAGCACAGCCTGATGCCTGGAACACGCAGAGGCATCAAGGACCTTTCCAGGCTGCTCCATGCTCTGCCTCTGATTTAGCTTCAAGGTTGTAGCAATCCCTAAGCCTGGAATTCAGCTGCTTAAAAGGCAGAATTGGGACAACGTGCCTAAATCTCTACCTCTAGCTTTACTCCCATCACTGACACCAGCTTCTTGAAGGCGTAGAAAAATTTTTGAAGCTTCAAGAACTGTACCAGCCAAACTGCCAGGTCAGATAATTTGCCAATAACATTCCAAAAATCCACTTTTCTAGTCCCATTTTCCCTCTCAGTGGATCTTCCTTTCCCCATCTCAAATGCTGCTCTCTTACACTGGGCCTCTTCCACATCGCGCTTCCAACCTCCTCTTGGAAGAGGATCGGGGAGATATCTTTTATAAACCAGAGAGAATTTAAGTCAGTGTGGGCCTCCGTTTAAAACCTTACATTCAGCCAGGTGCAAGGGGTCACGCCTGTAATTCCAGCACTTTGGGAGATCGAGGCGGGAGGATCACTTGAACTCAGGAGTTCAAGACCAGCCCAGGCAACATGGCAAAACCCCATCTCTACAAAAAAAAAAAAAAATACAAAAATTAGCCAGGCTTGGTGGTACATGCCTGTGGTCCTAGCTACTTGGGAGGATCAGATGGGAGAATCACATGAGCCCAGGAGTTTGAGGCTGCAGTGAGCTATGATTACACCTCACCACTCTAGCCTGGGTGACAGAGCAAGACCCTGTCTCTAGAAAAAAGAAAAGTAAAAAATGAAAACCCTTGCGTGCCATGGAATGAAAAGTTATGCTGCCACTTGGGAAATGTATTTTGAAGGCAATAAAAAGGTATTTCTCAAGGCTTATAATGCCACACCCATGGGCAGCTTCCTATTGTCCATACACATGACCAATGTTCATTACTCTCATCATTGCACAATGTAAAGGGTTTTGGTATTATAGGGAGAAAACACATTTAATTTACTGTCAACCAAGAATATTTAGTTATTCAAGTGAAACACAAGAATGACCAAGACACAATCTCTGTTCTCAAGGCATTCCCAACTTAGTTGGGGGAATGAATGGTGGATTGCAAACTAATAACTTACCCACCAAGACATAAGCCAAGTTTCATAGGAGTCCAGTGACCTGCCTAGAGGACCTAGGCACAAATCTTGAGAAGGAATTTACTAGGTTAGCAAAAGGGGAAAGAAAAAAAGTACAAGTTTTGAGGTTAGAAGACCTAGGTTCCAATCCTAATTCTGCCAACTAGGATGTGATCTTAGGACAGTCATTTTAACTTATTTTTCTTTATCTGTAAAATGAGAATAATAATAATATCGAGTTTCCATAGAGATGAATTGAGGTAATAAAAAAACATACTTTATAAACTGCAAAGCACTATTAAATAAAAAGTTAACCATTTCTGACTGTTCAAGTGACAATGCCTAAGCTTGTATGTAAGTGCAGTGAAGGTAGGGCCAGGTCCCCCTAGCTAGTTACAGTGCCTGGCATAGCATCATGTTCTCAGGGACATGTATCAAGAGCCTTTTGATTGCAAAAGAGCTCTGACTTGGGGAAGAAAAACTACAATGTTTGTCCTCAGTGGCCAGTTCTGCCCAAGCCACCCCTGGGGTGTGGGGCAGAGAGGTGCAATGGAAAAAGGGCAGCTTTCACAGGAGGAGTTGGCCTACAACAGTAGCTCCAGATGGAATTTCAGCTGGAAGCATACAGAAGCAGCTGAGCTCAAAGAAACGACTGAGGTTTTCTGGACCTCCTCTCTGGCTAGTGGACGAGATGCATCAGAGAGAAACAGAGGACAGGTGGTGCAGGCAGAAGGTAAGGAGAAGGGATGAGTAGAAGCAAAAGAGAGGTCACGATGGAGGGTCACATTCCAAATCTTTTGCTTGGGTGGAAATTTTTAAGGAATACAACTGTCACTGTGTATCTCCCCATCCTCATGAAGAAATACTTTTTAAAAAGAAGATAACCACAGATTATTAAAGTTGGATGAGACCTTTAAAATTATCTAATCCAACATCTTCATTTCACAAATAAGATTAGGGCCAAGAGAGGTGAAGTTCAAAGTGAAAAAAAAAAATGAGTTCCTGATGAAACAGAACAAGGAGTCAAATCTGATCCACAGGTCACTTTGTTTCTCACTACTCAATAATTGAAAGAAGGTAAAGTTTGAGGTGCTGTAACAAATAAACACAACACTGTGGAGACCTAATAAATAAATAAATAAGGGTTTTTTCCCCACATTAATGTAACAGTCACAATATGAGTAGCATATTGGTTTGGATTGTCCAGGAAATAAACTAATTAGGAGACTTGCATGCTAGAGGTTTACTGGGGAGTACTCCCTGGAGCAGCAACTGGGCAGAGAGATTGTTGCAGTTGCAACAGAAGCTTCAGCCAATGCCCCATGGGGCTCTGATGTCCCTTTAGAGTTGTCTAAAACTGAGGCATGTCCAATTTAACTTAGCACTGTCCAATCATTGGATGTGGGATGCTCCTGGGGGAGGGAGTGCAAATTCTGGTGACGCAGCTCTCTTTGGCCAAGAGCAATTCCTAAAGATGAATTCAAATGTGACCCATCAGGTGCTAATGCTCCCAGAATCTGGGAGGATGAGTGCTTCAGGACTAAAGGGGAAGACCTGGGAAGCCCTACCACAGTATCAACTACAGTAGTCCAGGTTTGGGGTTGGAGATAGGACAGCAGCTTTGCTCCACATAGTGATTCAATGATCTAATCACTGTTCAACCATCCCTTAAGAATCATCATTATCCACATGTCCAAAGCTGGTCATCATCATGTCTAGGTTTATGCCATGGGAAGGAGAAATACAGCACGATAAAAACACACTACTCTATTAATAAACAGACCTGGAAATGGTTTGGATTCCATTGACAAGAACTCAGTCACATGACTACACTTAATAGCAAGGTAAGCTGGGAACTGTAGTCTTGCTAGGCAGCATGCGCCCAGCAACAGTTCTGCTGTTATCAGAGAACATACTAAGAAAGAAGGCCCTAAAGTGCCGTTTATTTTTCGGGGACTATATGGTTAAAATGATCTCTTCCTGTTTTAATTCCTCTTTTTGGAGGTGGAGAACACATACTCCTTGAGCTTCTTCTACCCTGTTATTCTTCCTGGAGCCAAATTTACTCCAGAGATAATCACTACCTCCAGTGGCCAAGCCAGACTGTTCTCTGGATGGGGGTCTTTCTTGATTGCCCTTAGAGTGACCCAGAAAACTATCAAAGAGTCCTTTAGAGACTATCACTCTATTCCAGAGAAAGCTGGGGTTCTAGATTTCTCCAGGAAAATCTGCAGGGCACAATGACTTCAAGTCTGTGTCCCCACCACCCCCGTGAATGTCATCCCAGGGTGAGCTACAGAGACTCGCCCTAGGAAGCCTGGCCTAAGTCATAATTTATGAATATTCTGTCTCTCTCTCTCCCTAAGTCTGTCTGATCATAAGCAGCATCTCTTCTGCCTCAATACCCAATATGACTTGATCCCATTTATTTCATATCAGAACACTGTAACTTAAGTGCTGTTGAAGAAAGAACTGATGTTTTCAAGATCCAGAGAGGGACTTCTGAGTCTTCCATCTAAACTCCTAGAACTGTTTTGATAGTTCTGGTTCTCTGCAACTCAGCAAAGCCCACTGAGAATACAATGTGGAAGCATTTTTCATTCTTCCGGTTTATAATCCTATGGTCATACTAAACCCCAGAAGGCATCCTTCTCCTGGGTCTCCAATCTGGAGAATGAGGAATGGGAATCTGCATTTGAGATGTTTGTAGCAGTCATGCAGGGGGCATCGCTGGAGTCAGAAATGTCTATATATGACCATGTGACCAGCCTACCCTGCCCAGGACTCCAATCACAAAATAGGAATAATCAGGCCTATTCTTTTGTGTTTTTTGGTTTTGTTTTGTAATGTTTTGTTTTGTTTTTGAGATGGAGTTTCGCTCTTTTTGCCCAGGCTGGAGTGCAATGGCACAGTCTCGACTCACTGCAACCTCCGTCTCCCGGGTTCAAGCGATTCTCCTTCCTCTGCCTCCTGGGTTCAAGTGATTCTCCTGCCTCGGCCTCTAGAGTAGCTGGGATTAGAGGCGCGTGCCACCACGCCCGGTTAATTTTGTATTTTTAGTAGAGATGGGATTTCACCATATAGGCTGGGCTGGTCTCGAACTCCTGACCTCAGGTGATCTGCCCGCCTCAGCCTCCCAAAGTGCTGGGATTACAGGCATGAGCCACCGCACCTGGCCTATTGGGCCAATTCTTATTGTGAGCACCAATGAGATCTATCCTTCCTGAAAGTGTCCTTAGAGCTGTAGGTGAGTACAGCTCTACACATGAAGAAATTCTTCCAGATATCAGCATCCTCACTTTGGTTTAGTCCATTTTGGCAACTTACAAAGCATGTTTATATCCATTAACTCAGTGGTTTTGAAAAAAAACAACAAAAAAGGTGCAGCTACCCCAGGAGATATGCAGAACCATCCATGGAAATGCAGGAAGGAAAATATCAGAGCCTACCTATAATCTAAAATATCAGAAAGGGAGTTTTATTAATATTCAATATGTGGGTTGACACTGATGACTTTTTTTGTCTGTGTGTCAGTAGCCCAAGTGTCACTTCCAGGAAACACATTATCCTGAGGGAAGAGCAAGAGTTCCACAATGTGAGAGGGGTAAACGAAGTTCCAGATTATACATACTGGTTTTAATTAAACTCACCCCCAACAAAGAGGATGCTTGGCTTAGAAAGATTCCTGCAAAGAAATCCCTAATGAAAGTGAATACTAATAACACGAGCAACCTGACAAGGTAGAACTGACAGGTCTACTCCTGGTTAGAGCTCTTTGCAACCACATTACAAGATTACAATGACGGCTTATTCAGATCCAATATGAAGTTGGCCAAAAATTTTTTAAATTATCACATGGTTAAAAATGTGATTTAATATCTACTATTATTAATAATGAACCTTACCCTAAATGTATATTAAGACTTGAGATAGTTGGCTAATGGTATAAGTGCATTATATAATTTACAAATATATAAATATACATACATTGGGGGGCAGAGTAAAATTTTTACCAATGGGGATCATAAAAAGATTTAGAGAGCATTGTCATAAGTCATCTAAACAATTCTTTTTCTAATTTATATTTTTACTTTAAGTTCTGGGGTACATATGCAGGATGTCCGGGTTATAATCACACCGTGAGTCATATTATTTTGCAGATGAGAAAACTGAACCTAAGGGTGGCAAAAATGCCCGGAGACCATCGGCTACAGGATTTATGTGGAAGCGAAGACTAGCCAATAGAACTGGTACCCCAAAAGCTGAGTGAGCAATTCAGGGAGACATCTGTGGAAATTAAAACACAAACTCCTCCCCCAAAGCTAATGAGTCCTAGGCTCTGTCCTGTTCTACTCCAAATGGATTACGCCAGGAAAGCCAGCACCACAAAGAATAGCTCATTCTATCACCCCTGAATGATGTTGCTCTGAACCCTAGAAGCCTGCAGAAATGTCACCCTTTAAGAGAAAAGCAGGCATTTGCCCTAGGATGCTTTAAAGACCCTGTCATCATCACCATCAACAAACACTTAGAAATGTTGCCTTACTATGCAGGTCTGGAGCAGGAAGAGAGATCAGAATCCCAAGCGATTCAATCTGACTGCAAAAAGGGCTCTGATCTGGGCAAAAGCCAAGGTTTCTCACATTCATCCCTTTGGGGCTTGCAATGTTTAAAAGTAAATTTCCCCCCACCACTAGTACCCACTGTGTGGAACTAGTCATGAGAAGAATGGATACCCATTTCCCTCTGCAGCAATCCGGTCTGCCTCCCGAAGCTCAGAAATGTGCTGTGCTCAGCATTTCTGTGCTGATGCAGCATCCATGGTAGAAAAGGCAGGGGCGGCCGCAGCGCCGCAGCAGCAGTTGCTCTAGGGGGTGGAAATCAGATTGCACCATTCCTACCTCATTTGGCAGCAGAAGCATCGAGTCACAAGGAGGATGAGGTTCTAGCCCAGAAGCAGCTGGGCTATGTCATTCTAAAGGTGGTGAGTAAAATGGCTATTCACTGGGGCATCAGGTTTTCTTTCATGCTATTTCCCTGAGTGGAGAATCTGGGTCTAGAAGGGGGTGTGTGTGTGTGTGTGTGTGTGTGTGTGTGTGTGTGTGTGTGATGGTACACATGTATGGCACTTACATTTTCACTGAGCAGCAATACTTGCAAAGCTGTGAGTGCAATAACTAAACAGATCATGGTGTTTTCAAGCGGGAAGGGGTCAGAAATCACGTATTCAACCCCCTTGTTTCACAGAAGAGGATTCTGAGGTTCAGAGAGGTAAAGCCGTGAGATTACAAAGCTTGTAAGTGGCCACCTCTAGAACCCAGTGCTCCGATTCCTGGTACAGGATTCTTCCTATTGCTCTACATGGGTGAGCAGTGACTGCCTGTGTGCCAAGTGACCTGTGTCCCCGGGTATGAGACTGAAACCTGCATTTGCAGCATTAGTGTCACTGAGACACGTCTCGATGTTTCCAGTAAACATGGGAAGCCATTTCTGACTAACTGCAACCTGGGGTGCCGCAGCAAAACAGCAGCACGTGTTTGCTATAAAGTGCTCCATCCTAATGGCTACCTCCTCCCCCGAGGTTATTCTCCAGGTCACGTTGCAAACAAAGTGTATACGGCACCAGCAATTCTTCCCAGCAGAGTCAAGTGGGCTGTTGATAGGGCTGGAGAGTGTGTTTCATCAATGATATCCTCCTTTTCTTGCAACAAGTATTTGCTGAACACCACCCATATGCCAGGTTGTGTGCAAGCCACTGTCACGTTCTTTATGTTATTTAAAGCTCACCATGCTTTGCGAGGTATTACTATGCATACCTGACCAGGAAGCAGACTGAGCCTAGGTAAGGTTAAACAGTGCAAGCTATTTGAGGTCTCTTAAAAATTTCTAGTTTCCCTAAGAATTATGGTTTTAAAACAGTTATTTTCCATGATCTTCCTTACTAGAATCGCCATTGCTCCTAAACTGGAAGGGGATGTTCTTTCCTTAACAAAAAGCAATTATCTGCAACACTTTGGATCAGATGTGCAGTCAGAGAAGGGAAAATGACATTGAACACTGGAGACCTTGACTCTCAGTTAGCAACTGCGTGAGCTTTTGAGGTTTTCTCCAGTTTTTCTCCCATTTCTCTGGGTTCTCTTTCAAGTTAAGATTGCACAATATGTTCAGGAATCTTGGCTTTTTAAACCGGCTCTACCCCTAATTATGTGATCTTGAATAAGTCACTCTACTTATTTGGGTCTCAGCCTTCTCACTGACAAACTGACGACTAAAAGAAAATGATCTCCATCCTCCCTTCAAGCACTGAAATGTATACGTAGGCATTCACTCATTCACTCACTCAAGCATTATCTTGCGTTTCCATGACATGCTAGATGTGACACTGGTGGTGGAAGGATTTTAGAAATAACCTCCCCCAGCCCCACACCCTTCAGCTCTGGAGAGGTTATTTGCCAACAGTTATAGTTCCAGTCAAGCCCCATCAAAACTGCCCAGCATGCGTTCCAGGAACTAATCATTAGTTCAAATCATTCAGAGTTGGGAAAAAATTTACTGTGTCCCTCTGCTGGCTCTAAATGATTTAAATTCTCGTTCCTCTTGCCATTTCCTATATTAACATTTATTCAGTGCGTAGTCAATAAAACACAGTGCCAGGCACTATGTTAAGCAGTTTTCATGCATTACGTCATTTAATCCTGACAATAATCCTATTCAGTACATAATATGATTAGCCCTGATTTACAGATGAAGAAACTGGCAACTTGACCAAAGTTGCATAGTCAAAAAAAAAAAAAAAAAAAAAAAAAAAAAAAAGCAGTGGGGATAGGGTTTCTGTTTGGGATGATAAAAAAATGTTCTGGAAATGGATGGTGGTGGTGGTTGCACCACATGTGAGTATATTTAAGGCCACTGAATTATACAATTTAAAAAGGTTAGGATGGCAAATGTCATGTATATTTTACCACAAAAAAAGAAAAATGTAGTGGGGGAACTTCAGCCCAGATTAGCACCCAACTCCAAAATCACCTACCCTACCCTTAACCACTCCTCAGCCAGTGCTACCAGACAGGACTCAGAACTCAGAAATAGAGTAGGTGCCTCTACAAAACCAACAGCTGAAGGGATGTGTTTCCTCTCCAAAGAAGGGCTTAAGAAATTTTTCTTTCAATTATTCTTTCTTTTTTCTTTAGTTTCTTAGCCACAAAATCATGGCCCACACATCAGGAAAGCCCTCCTTGCCGCTGAAGGTAGCTTATTCCAAACGATCACCAGATTCCCAAGTCTGGGAGAGTCCGAAATCACTTCCACTCTCCTTCTCCCATGTCCTCCTCTCCCTATAAGCCGAAGCTCTGTCTACAAACTCAATTCCACTTCAAACACATCTAGATGCCAGGTCGCTATTTTGCATGAGGTCCTGGCTTACATGTTGTGGGGGAGCAGAGATGAGAAAGATACCGTTTCTACCTCAAAGACTTTACAATCTAGCATAAAGGGCAAAATACGCAAATAGCTACGGAAGGAGAAAAGTCATTCAGTAAAATTGCAGAGCACCTGGGCTAGATGTGAAGGCTGCAGAGAGGAAGAACACACCAAGCTAGTCCCCTGCAAAGAGAACACAGAGTCAGTGAGAAGGGCCCTCAGAGGAAAGGCGACAATCAGCTGAGAGGGAAAGATACTTGCAGTGGAGGATGTTTCTCCTCATCAATAAAGCAGCTATGGTCTTTTTCAGGTGGTATTAGGATCGAAATCTCACCATCTTTTCCCCTTTTTTTCTTCCTACCTTTCTATTTCTCCTTCTCTTTTTTTTTTTTAGGCTTAACCTGTTCTTTTTTTAACTTCTTTTGTTGAACACTTAAATCTTCAATCTTTAGTCTTTCTTCTTTACTAATATAAGTATTTTAAGACTGTCAGTTCTCCTCTGAGTGTTACTATAACTCCATGACACAAAGTTTTAAAATGTAGTCATTAAATTAATTAATCAAGAATTTACAATATAATTTCTTTTTGGAATTATGAGTTATTTAGAAATGTCTTTCCCTCCACCCCCAGATTTATGGGGAGAAGTATGTGATTTGGGGGGAGGGTTAATTATTTCTAACAAAATTATATTGTAGTCAAATGACACGGTTTGTATGATGTGACATCACAGATTTGTTGAGACTACTTTAGTGGGCTAGAACACAATCAAGTTTTATAAATGTCCCACATATGCTCAAAAAAATGTGATTGTTTTAATTATTGAGAAGAAAAATTCCAAATGTGTCTGTTAGAGTACGTTTGATAGTTGTGTTGTTCCAATCTTTTATATCTTTTCCAATTTGTCATTTTCTCTCCAATGTTGCTTCTATTTTTTGCTTTTCTATTTTGAAGCTATGTTTCTAGGGGCATACAAGTTTAGAGTTGTTCTCCTAAGTAGTTTTTCTTTTTCATTGTTTATTATATACAGCCCATCTTTGTCACCAATAATGTTTATTGTCTTCCAGTCTATTTTATCTAACATTAGCAAACTGTATCAGCTTTCTTTTGATTAGTGTTTACTTATCATTACTTTTCCATCATTTTTGTTTCATGTTTTTGATGAATCTCTTGTAAACAGCATATAGCTAGATTTTCTTTCTGACCTAGCTATATTTATTTCCTTTAAGCTCTATGAGGCAATTAAAATGATACTCTAATATCTTGTCTAAAATTTTTAGCTACTAATTTCCAGGAGGTTGTCAGGCTTCTTATTGCCAGAAATGAAGGGTTTTGGACCCTATTTTTCAGAAGCTTCATAAGTATTTTTTTGACATTCTGTCCCTTAGGATGTTAAAAACTGGAACTTTCCCTCATTCAGCCTGTGTTGTTCCATCACATCAAAAAAGCTCTTAATTTCATCTTGTCTCTCCCAGACATCTCCAAAGAATTTCACATTTATATCTAAATTCTTCTCTTTTTCTTCTTGTAATGGTTCATGCTAATACATTGTACCAGCAATGGAATGATGATAAAGTGGCTACTGTGGGGTGTACTTCCTTGAAAACAGACATTAACTTTAAGTATCAGGTCCCCCAAAGGAAAGAGAGTTTCTTAGACCTTTGGAAAACATGATGACAATCAGCCTCTTCTGCTAAACTATCACCCACAAAACATCAGGGAACTTCTCTGGCTTTTATCAAGAATAAAGCCAATGATACTAACAGCCTTTATTTGCCAATGGCTGCCTTTTTCTTTTCTTTCTTTCTTTCTTTCTTTCTTTTTTTTTTTTTAAGGTAAAAAATATCTTCAGCTAATATTTGTTGAGCACGTCCCAGGACATGGCACTGTGTTAAGTATTTCTTTATGCACTGTGTCATTGTATTCTGACAATGACTCTAACATAGGTGTAACTATTACCTCTCTTCAAGGGAAGCTCTAAACGTTTGGGGTTCTAGCAGGGCCGGGCTAAGGCTGGGTGAAAAAGAAAGGCAACAGACTCTCCAAGTTACCTCAGCATAAAACTCTACCTCTTCTCACCGGTCCCTTCCTCTGGCTTCCTGCGAGGTCGTGCAGTGCTTTTGTTTTTGATTTCTAGCTACCTAATCAATAACTCTGCGGCCTTGGGCTAGGAAGATACTTCACTTCTCTGGACCTCAATTTCCTCACCTGCCAGCTCTAAGATTCTCTCTGGTCTCCCACCACCCCACACACAGTGGGGTCAAGACCGCCAATCAGCTGAGAAAGTCAATGTCCCCCGCTCCTGTTCAAGCTCCATTTCTGTAGGAGTTTCTAAAACCCTGCCTCAGGATTTTAAAAGCTCCTCCTGGAATTCTGAAAGGAGCGGTAGCAGTGCCTCCCCATTTCCTTATGTGCTGTTCTGACAGTGCTTGTCCAGTCATATGGTGGGTCAAAGATGGGATCGATATGAAATAATCTTTCCCCGGGCTTCCGTCTGGCTCAGGCTGGGGCCAGCCATGGACCACACAGGCTGGAGAACGGCATGGAGCATGGCAGTTCACTGCTGGCCCCTGCCGGCTCTTCTTCTGGGGCTGGGAACCACTGACAGGAGCTGCAGTCCTCAGGCTCACCTTGGTCCACCAATTTTTTTTTTCTTTTTTTTTTGTTTGAGATGGAGTCTTGCTCTGTCGCCCAGGCTGGAGTGCAGTGGCGTGATTTCACCTCATTGCAACCTCCGCCTCCCGGATTCAAGCAATTCTCCCTGCCTCAGCCTCTCGAGTAGCTCACTTTGGTCCATCCTTTAGAGAAGAGGCAGAAAGATGGAGAAACACAAAATTGGGATTCACTGGGTGTTCTCTCAGTAAACGACAGCCCTATGGTGTCGAGACTATCATTGTCCCCATACTGCACATGGAAAACTGGCCCAAATCACCGAGGAGGTAGGGCCTGGAGCTGGGATGTGGATTCTCATCTGTCTCGGCTCTGAGACCCATGCTTGTTCTCTCACAGGGTGTCGCGTCTACAGCAGAAGGGGCCAAGGAGCCACACAAAACCAGCACCGTTTCAGCATTGCCCAGAAGGCATCCGCTGTCTCCCCCAAACATCCATGGCTCATCTGCTTAGGGGTTCTCAAAATGTTAACTGATGGTCCGGCCTTTTAAAAATTCCCTTAAGAGAGTAAACATAGTCAGGTGCCAGTTGCTGAGTCGAGATCTTGCCCTACAAGCAGATTGGCTGAGGAGTCCGGAGGGATCCTCATGAAGGGGGAGCAGGAAACAGAACAAAGAGGAAGGTGGAGCAACAGGGTAGGCAGAAAGAGCCCCTCCACTCTTCATTTACCTGGGAGGGAATAATTTAGCCCAAAGTTTCTGTCTGTGGCAAACCTAGAACTAGAATCCAGGTCTCCTGCCTCCCAGGCCAGCAGTCCCACACCACATAGCGTTTTGCCAGCGTGCTGGCTCCTTTATTGGACAGGGAACTCTCTTGCTAATCTTCTAGTTGTAGACAAATGACTAGTAAGGAATTTGTAATGAACGCCATCTTTTCCTGTCCCCCGGCAGCTCCATCATTTCGAAGAAAAAATATATATATTAAACAGAGAAGCAAATCCCACAAAAATGAAGTTCCCATCATTTAGAAAAAAATTTCTTCCTGCTTTTTCTATCCCTTGTGTTCTGTTGTTTACTATCAACTCAGGGTATCTGCCCAGGCACCAAAAACCAGGGAACATCTTTGCCAAGCAGGGCGTCTTGCCTTACCAGCCCGGCTTTAGGGGAGACTGGAAACAGGATTATCATCCAGAAATACATTCATCCTGATTTACAGCCTGCCACCCCAAGAATTTCTCCGGGCAATGTGCCCCCAAACGGGCTGCTAAGTCCTCAATTTCCCAACCTCCCTTTTCCGCCCCAACCCAGGTGGCCAAACGCTGTGACTGTTAGGATGCTGTTTAAATGCAGAATGCTATTATCACTATATATCATTCCGATCGGCTTTCTAGGTCGTACTGAGGATATCAGAATGATGCAAGGCAACATTTTTATTATTTAGGATACAGTATACTAAGTTTATGTTGATTACTCTGAGTATCATCTTTGAAAGATAACTAGCATTAAAGTGTTGATAATGTTCCACTTTTGCAATCATATTTGCATAGTGTACAACAGAGTTTAGCAGGAAAAAAACGATCTTAAGTGATGTTTTTCATCTGCTCTGTCAGCCTCACCCTACTTATTTCAACTTGGTACATGAGGCAGGACAAATACTTAGCATCCTTTATATCAGCTTTACATTATATAATGTTATTCTTGTTCCTTCTGGGAAGACTTCAGCATGCAGTTGTAATGGAAAAAGGAGAGTCTTTGGGGCCAGTTATATCTGGATCCCAATGCCAGCTTCTGCACTTGAGAAAGTCACCTCTTTGTAACATGGGGTTAGTGTGGATCTGAGATTGTAGATAATATAAGAAAAACATCTAACTAGCCCTGTGGCTGGCATGGAGCTGCCATACAGTGGCCCTTTGTCTTACGTACAATGTTTTTAAATGCCTAGTTACCGCACTTTGAAATTAAAGATTGAAAGTAAGCCAATGTTCCCCACACTGTACTTCCAGCTGACGACACTCTCGCCTCCCAGCAGAGTTATATATGCAGATAATCTGTTTGATGCTGCTGAACACAGAAGGGACACTGATTTTATTTTATGAACAATAGTTAAATGTCTCCTGAGTGTCGGCTACTGGGAAATAAATATTCTAGATTTCATCTCTTCATTCATTCATTACAAACAAGCTATCCTGCAAACGACCCCCTCATTCTTCCTTTTTCCTTTTTCCATCTCCTTTTTTTTTTCTGTTACAATCCCCCAGGCCTACCACAGTCTTTTTGCCCAATTAGATGCTATTTTTCTTTTTTGTCTTGTCACCACCTAATGTCCAAATTTATTTAAATCATCCTCAGACACAAACCTACAAGATCTGAGTCACATTTGAGGGGTTTTTTCCCCCTTCTAACTTGTCAGCTGCCTCATTTATGATTGACAAGATTTCCATTTCAGTCATCGCTACTAATTCTGCTTCAAATCTGTATATTTAATGAACACACCAATCGGCACTTCATTATTAGTCAAGGCCATTTTGTCAAGTGTAATCCTCTGATTTTATAATGTATAGTACATGGTAGCTGCTTCTAAATGAAATTCAAAGAAAGCCTTGTCCAGTTTGCATTATAACAATATCTGGCATCTGAATACGAGCACTCCATCCTCTGCATGGTCTCATGCTTTATGCATATAGAACATCGTTTTCATGCTCCCATCAGACTCAAACACAAGCAAGTCTTTTCTCCTTGTAAAGGTATGTTGAATTGTATATCTCTGCACAAAGAGGAAAAGAAAAGCAGTTTGCCTGCACCAAAACACAGTCCAAGTTCTCTAAGGCAAACACAATCTGACACATGCTAAAAATTGCCTGAAGCACTGGTGAGTTATAGTTCGCCTCCCTGGGGCAGATAATTCATTAAGAAATAGCCTCATGCCCTATGTAGCAACTGAACAAAAATATTTACTTGTGGTAATATCAGATGATAAGGGTAACAGGGTTCCTTTCGGAACAAGGAGGGGAGAGGGAACCCCTGCAGTAGATGCCCATCATGAGCATTGCAAATGAATCATTAGCCTTCATCCTGCAATCTAGGTCAGGATGGGCGCTAAAGAGGAGGGCTTTTAAATCTGCTGCAGGACTCAGGTTGAATCTGCTTAGGTGAAAACACAGAAAGCATTCAGTTATGCTGTGCCGGGCGCACTGAGGGGAATAGAAAAATGCTTTCACCTGATAGAAAGACCTTTTCCTGACCCAGAGGGTAATCAGAAATAAAGATGGCGATACTTTCAGATGAATGCCACTTAAATGCATGCGCCCACACACACACACTCTCTCTCTCTCTCTCTCTTTCTCTCTCTGTCTCTACTTTTCTCAAAGCTTTCCATGTTCAACTTTTCAGACCCTGAACACAATGTCTGCCAGATAGATTTTAAAAGGGAGGCAATATCTTCCAGACTCAGAAACGTGGATTCTGTTGAAAAACAATAGAATCACACACTGTTCGTGTTGAAAGGGACTTTAGAAATCATTTACTCATGTTGAGGAAGAGGATAGAAAACAAGGAAAGTGACTTACTTGCACAAGATCACACACGTGTCCGAGACCACAGCTTATTTTTCTTTTGGGTCTTTTAAAAAATATATTCCTTTTTTGTGCAATATGAATAATTTATTAAGTAATCCAGAAACAAAACAAATTGACGTGGTGACTGTCACCTGATAGACTGAATTTGTGTCGCAGACTCTTGCCCCCAAAATGACTGTGAAAGAACACTATGTTTTCCATAGCTGTGTCTTGGGCTGGGGGAGTCCTTCCTCAGAACCCCAGTCCTAGCTTTAACGTGATTATTTTCTAGACACGTTGTGGCTCTTAAGTCACTGGGTCAAAGGCTCTGACACTTCTGTGTGGCTCTTGCCCTATCCATCCAGGGTCACAAGAGGTTGGCTGGGTGTGTTTTCCTAAATACCTCCTGAAATATTGCTAAAACTAGAGACATTTAAATAGAAAAAAACTCAAATTTCAAAATTCAACCCAAGCTAAACACTACATGAACACACTAGGGTCCACTATTTGTTTTATTTGCCAAAATCTTTAGGAAGCTTTTCATGTTCAAATACATGAGGAAAAAATACATACTGGCAAGAAATGAAGAGACTCAGGTTTTGCTCTTAACTTCACCACTGAAATTGCTACAAACCACCCACATGATCTCTAGAAGCTCTTTTTCCGTCTCTCTGGGCCCTGCTCTACTCTTTTATAGTAGTAAGGGGGGCACCAAATGATCTCCAGGGTTCCATCATTAGTTATGCTATGCAAATAATACCTCCAAAATTGTTTTTTTAAAGACACAGTAACTGCAGAACTCTCTGTAGCTATTTCCAAAAACGTGAACTGACATTCAAGGAACACAAAAACACTTCAGTACCTGCTACTGTACATAAAGGTTTCAAATGAGGGAGTTTCAATATTGAAAGAATTTTCCAAAACAATGTTGACTGACTTGGACTAAAAGCTTATGTATCTAACCATCTAACCACTATTTTCCCCTCATTTCACTTTCCAGATTGATTTGTGAGAGTTTTTTTCTCTCTCTTTTTCTCTGTCTCCCTTATTTTTAAAACATTTGTTAAGGCCTGGAGAGACTGCAAGGGGTTATGCACAAACAGATAAGTAAGAACAAGCCCGGTCTTATCTAGACTGAGCATTGCACTAGGAACAGAGTTTTGTATCCCGCTTCTCCAGCCACCACCACTGAAAGGTTATAGAATATTCTATTTCAGGACACCTTTAAAAACGAGAAGCGCATTTAAAAGTACTGCAGAATGTTATTTTGATTTCTGCCACAGAATGAATCACTCCTCCTGAATGCAAACACCAGCAAAGAATGCGTTAGAGGATCCGCCATCATATTAAAAATTAAATCCGGCCGCATTTCATAATGGGCTTTCCTTTTTAAAGCACGGTTTCATCTTCTCACCATGGAAATTACACTCTGATGGCTGTTCTTTATGGTTAACACAGGCATCGGCTGAGGTCAGAACCCTGCTTCTCTGAACAGGGAACCACAAATGTCACTGACACATGGTACGCTTGGCAAATAATATATTTCTTTCCTGTGTCTTCAGTTTGTCTAACGTCATGCTTGTGGTAAGCTAAAGAGAGTTTATTTCTCGGGTTGTCCTTCCTTCCTTTGGTGGGACCAGCGGGAGGCACGCAATATACAATGAATTCAAAAGTGCATCTCTTTTGATTTTTGTTGTTGTCTTTATTTTAACCTCCAAGAAGTGAGAGATTTAACTCAGTCTTCACCCCAGGCTAAGCTAATACTTAGGTCATGTCTGAGCTCTCTGGGGAACCCTCGCTTTATACCATCGGAAGGGCAATGATGTCTTTTCACGTGGAGCAGCACAGCTGTCCGGCCATATGGGCCCCAAACAGCCCAGTCAATCGGATTTGGGGAGGTTTTACAATATAATTTCTTAACATGTTAGTATTTGGGGTGAGTTTGATCAGGAGCATAGACTACTCTTAAGCCCAAAGGTTTAGGTTTTAAGAAGCCATCACAAATGTCCCAGCATCCGATCAGGCTGGTTAAAAAGAGATATGAAATCCGTGACTGGGGGAGGGGAAAGGACTTCTGACCCCCTGGTTGGAGCAAGCCCCAGGGGTATGCTCTAACTATTAATTCAGCATCAGCTGCTTTTTTTTTTTTTTTTTTTTTTTTGTCTTTTTCTTTTCTTTTTTAACCCGGGGCTCATCATTTAAGGCGTTCCCACTCAGGCCTGCAGAGCCTGTTACAAAACCATTCTCTCCTCCCCTCCCCCCATGCCGCAAGATGAGCGGCAAATACCCTGCATTGCAGCAACGGCGAGGAGGGACTGCCAGAAACCGTCCTCAATCTAAACAAAACCAGGCCTTTAAGAAACACTACGGAAAAGGGAGCAGCAGCGTGTCCTACTGTCCTTCAGTCCAGGCCAACTCGGGTCACGGCCCCATCCCTCCATATACAAGGAGTTCCGAAACTATCTGCGAAAGGAATTCTTAGTGAATAGGAAACAAATTGTCCTGAAGCTAAAAACCCTTATCAAAATGGTGGGAGTCTTGAACCAAGCCACTGCCAGTGTAGTTTTTCCACCACAAAAGTATTTTAGTTTGAGGGAAACGTTATCAGAATGGTAAGTTTTTCCCTGAAAGACAGCCCAAATGATGGCTTTTTCCAATCAGGCATGGTCTTCAGAAATTAAACATCAGTTGCAGGCAATGGTTTATTTCTTATTTTTCTTCTTCTTTTTTCTTCTTCTCCTCCTCTTCCCCCTCCTCCTCCTCTTCCTCTTTTTTCCTTCTCTCTCTGATTAAACCAAAGCTTTCTGCTTCTTGAAATTCACAAAAACTGCTTCTTTTCTAAGCTTCTAGTGGTGCATTGTTGGAAGCAAAGGCTAGTGCTGAAAGGGTTTGAGATCGCCATTCTACTTATATTGGGACAAACACCCAATAATTGACAAGAGCCGAAATGGCCTCGAAGCGAGAAGGGCCTCGCCCGGGTCACCCTTCGTGCAGCCACTCCTGCTGGGTGGGCGCCTCTGCTGCGACCCTCGCGGGCTGTGTGGTTTCAGCAGGGCTGCTTTTAGCTGGCGGGGCTTGTTCTCCCCATCTCTAGTTGCCCTGAATCCAGCAGTGCCCAAGAAACACTTAGACCTCTCTCTCTCTCTCCCTCTCTCCCTCACTCACTCTCTTTTAAGTCATCAGAGAAGAAAAGCCGGAGTAGGGGAAGCAGATGGGCCCTGCGTGTGCGTGAACCGCGCGGGTCAGGGCTGCCCCTCGTGGCTGAGGCACTGACCCCTTGGAAAGTCCGAAGGTTTCTCATGGCAGGCGTTGGGTTATGGTTGGGGGGCTGGGGCGGGGGGTCGTCTTTAGTTTGGCTCTTATAGGCGGATTCATTCTGAGTCATTCCTGAAGGCCAAGCTCACCCTGTGCTCCCGGAAAGACACAAACACCGCCACGGCCACCACAACAAAAGGCGCCTCCCCGAAGTAGGTCTGATGTCCGCGGGACGGGTGGGCCCGTCGTGGAGCGCACTTCTGCGCCTCTAATCTCGGGCGTCCATCTGGCCCGGGCGCGCTGGAGGGCTCCGGGAGGGGCGGGGCCGCGCGCCTCCCAGGCGCGGGCACGCGCGCCGGCTCTCCTTCATGTTCACCTTGACTGCGGGGGGGCGGGGGATGGGGCGATCGTCCCCCTCTCCCCGACTCCTCTCCCAACCCCCCGCAGCTGTCCTGCCCAGACGCCCGCCCAGGCGGGGTGGGGGAGGCTGCACCGGCGCTCAGGTCGCCGCAGCGGCCCGGCAGCCGCCGCAGTGATGTCAACCGCATCCGCCGCAGTCCCCGGCAGCCCTAAAACGCGCCGCGGCCCGCGGAAACCCCAGCCCGGCTCCTCCCGCCAGGGCCGAGGAGGAGAGGACGCGCGGGTCCCCGGAGTCCCCCACTCCGTCTGCCTAAGCCGTGGAGACCGGGAGTGGACGCACGGCGGTGCCTGGACCCCCGGGGAGGTGGAAGAAGAGGAGAGGGAAGGGAGCTGTGGAGTCAGGTGTCGATTTGACGCCCGCGGCCGCCGAGGGGACTCTGCCCGGCACTGGTGCCGCCTGGGGGGCGTTCAGGGAGCGTGGGGCGCCGACCGCTGCAGATGCGGCGGCGCGCGTGGGCTCGGGCAGGCGCCCCCTTTTCCCGGGATAGAAACGGATAAACGGAAGCGCGTGTGAGTGTGGGGGTGCGAATCGCCACCTCCGGCCTTGGCTTTCCCGCTCTTCCGAGCTCTCCCACTTCTCACTTTCCCCAAATCCGCATTTTCCTTGGCACAGCTCTCCCCGAGCACGAAGGAGAGGGAGGTACCCGGGGGCAGTGAGAATGACGTGTGCTGGTGCAGAGGGGGTGGGGGTCTGCGGGCCTGGATCTGTGGACGGGCTCCTAATCCTCTTGTTTTCGGAACCGTCAGCAGATGCGGCTTCCTTTACCTGAATAATCCTTTAAAGGAGTAATAATTTTTAAAAAGGAGCTCGACCTCAGCCAAAGAGGACGGCGCACGAGATTAGGGCTTGGTAAGGAAAAATTAAAAGGCTCCCAATTCTCTCTGTCCCTCTCTGCCTTCCCCTCTACCCCTCCCCCTCCCTCCTCCACCCTCCCCTCCCCTCCCCCTTCTTCCTCATCCCCTGCAATCCGCGCTCGACGCGAGTTCACGCGAAGGGCTGGATTTCCAGGCGGCTCCGCAACTTGCGCGGCGCGGTGTTATTATTCATCCGAGGGTGCTGCCTCCTCAACCTTTGCCTCCTGCGCCGCTCTCCTTCCCCCGGCCGCCGCCGCCAGCAGTGCAGTCCCTCCGGCACGCATGCTCTGGTTCACCAAGAGGGAGACTGATTTTTTTTAAATCATGCTCATCATCATCATCATCATCATCATCATCATCATCACGTTCCTTATCATGGTTATCATTTCCTCCTGCCAGGTGGAGCGACCACCAGCGCCGGCTCGCCTCCTGCGCCTTCCCCAGCGAAGGCAGCAAGCAGTTCGGGCTTGGCCGTGGCGGCCGCTCCCAGGATGCTTCCTGCACCTCCAGCATCCCCCCCCTTATTCATCTGCCTGTGTATTATCTCGATCCTTTTCATTTCAGTAGATCCACTGCCTTTGGTTGGGCCGGCTGAATCGCTGGGGACTGCGGCCAGTCTCTTAAAAAAGGAGAACAAAAAGCCGAAGACCTTGTGTGGCCGCCGGGACAAAGCACCTTGGGTTCGGCGAGAAGGGACGCGCAGGAGCGCTGAACCCAGAACACGCGTGGCCGCTGCGGAAGGGCGTCCGCCCGGCGTGCGGAACGCTGAGGGTATTCGGATTGTCTTTTATTTGTCCCTGTGGCTTGCTTTCACAGTGTCTACGTAGGAGAGGGGTCGGGGTTGTTGGGGTCTCTTTTTTTTTCTGGGAGGGGTAGCTGAATTGTGGGAGACCTAGGTGGACTTGACTTGGCTTTCCTGCTACTCTGCGTCTCCTTCTCAAGATGCGGGGGTTGGAAAGGGGACAGGGGACTCAAGGCTTAGAAAAGAGAAGGAGCCCTCTGCTGCCTGGAGGGCTAAGGGAGTAGAGAGTGGAGATGGAGGTGAGTAGGGATGGGCCAGCCCGAAGAGCACTGAGGAGGAGAAGGGGTCTTCTCCTCCCTCGGGTCCAGTGGATGAGTTTTGCTGGGAATGAGAATTCGGGTGTCTGTCGATAGGAGCGCTGAGAAATTGATGAGAAATTGACATGTCCGTGCACATGCATGAGGCGGCGACAGGATTTGTGTGTAAACAGTGTGGAGAGGTGGAGGAGGGCATGGGGGTGGGGGCTTAAAATGATGTCTTATTGTCCTTTTGGCTTTAGGGACTCTCATCCTCTGTCTCGCCCCCTTTTTTTGACCCGGGGATCCAGCCGCATTATACACGAGTGACCTTTTAAATCTACGTCCACCCTTTACCTGGTAAAGCCCGCTGACAGTTGGGGGTGGGGTGGGGAGAGTGTAGGGGTGCTCTCTCCCTCTCTCCCTCCCTCCGCCTCTCCTCCCTCCCTCCCCCCTGCACTCCTCTCTCTTCCTCCCTCCCACCTCCCTCGCTCCCGCCCTCCCTGCTGCATTTTGCATGAGCTATCTAGGTCATTAGCATTTTAGCGTATGCAAGACTTGACAAAGCTGATGAGGGGCCAGATGGGCCTCGCTCTTATGGTTTTTTTTTCTTCTTCTTCTTCTTCTTCCTCTCTCTCTCTCTCTCTCTGTCTCTCTCTCTCTCGTCTCTCTTCCTTTCCCCCCTCCACCACTTGGGACCTGAGCGAGAGGACTGCAGCAGGCGAGTTCCGGAAGGCTGAATCCCCAGGTCCCAGCCCCGGACCGCGGCAACTCGCCCCTGCGGCACGCCCGGCCCGGCTGCGCCCCCACTCAGCGATGGAGGTAAAGAGGCGGCGGCCGCGCGCCCTGCCCCGGCTGCCGCTGCCGAGTCCCCGCTGCTCTCCTTGTCCTTCGCTCTCTTCTTCCTCCTCCTAGTCCCCTTCAGTTTCCTGGGCGAAGCAGAGGGCGACATGGGTGGGTGGGTTGCTGCGCTGGGGCGAGGTGGGGTCGATGTTGTTTTTTCATTGTCTGGAGCTGCAGGGGAGGCGAGGCGCGGGGAAAGGGGCGAGGGGAGCCGGGGTAATTAACACGGGGGAGGCACCCCTCCGTCTCCCACTTCCACCCACACCCCCATCCCTCCACCCCCTCCGCTTTGCAGGAAAAAGCCTGGATGCGAAAGGATGGGGGAGAACAAAGAGCCTTTGGAAGACGTCGCTGTTATCTCATTGTCTGTGTGATTGGGGGAGCTGCGGCGGGGAGGATGCTGTGGTCCCTTCCTCCGGCGTTCCCCACCCCCATCCCTCTCCCCGCTGTCAGTGCGCACGCACACGCGCCGCTTTTTATTTCTTTTTCCTGGTTTTCTTATTCCATCTTCTACCCACCCCTCTTCCTTTCTTTCACCTTTCCTTCCTTCCTTCCTCCTTTCCTTCCTCAGGAGAAAGGCCTCTCTCTCCGTGTTCACAGCGGACCTTGATTTAAATGTCCATACAATTAAGGCACGCGGTGAATGCCAAGAATGGGGCTGGCTGAGCACCGTGGGTCGGCGAGGGCCCGCCAAGGAAGGAGCGACCGACCGAGCCAGGCGCCCTCCGCAGACCTCCGCGCAGCGGCCGCGGGCGCGAGGGGAGGGGTCTGGAGCTCCCTCCGGCTGCCTGTCCCGCACCGGAGCCCGTGGGGTGGGGAGGTGTGCAGCCTGTGACAGACAGGGGCTTAGAGATGCAAACAGACTCAGGGAGAGAAACAGAAGCTGATTCTGTGACAGAAGCAGATCTGTGCAGCACAGATGCGGTGTGCGTGGGGAGGGGGTCGCCTGGGAGCGCATTGCGGAGTGCTTGTGTGTGCAGATTTTTCTCTGGGCTCAGGACTCATTGTATGTGGGTCAACACCTTCCTCCGTGACTGTGTTTTTGTTCTGAGCTGAGTTTTTTGGTTTGCCCTTAAAAAAATAATAATTTGGCATCCAGAGACTGGCAGACTGCCTCAGGGCCTGGACTGCGGATATATTGTGTTCTGCTTGAGGTTTGGGGAGGAGGGCAGGCGGTAGGAAGGGAGAGGGGGAGCTGTTTGTCACACTTTGCTGTAGAGCTGAGAGCACCTGACAAGCTTAAGGAAGTCGTTGGGCTATGTGGACAAGAAGGAGCCAGCTCCCAGCGGGTTCACAAGCTCTATCGGAGTTGAAAGCGTGGTCATGGCTCTAAGGAGCACCTCACGCCCTCCCTGTAGCTGTTATTGCAGTTTCAGGCAGAGATCCAGGAGCTGCAGAGGAAGGGAGAGGCACAATAACCTACATGGACCCAAGGGAGACATGTGTTCCTTTAAAAATGTGAACAGAAGGAAAAACAGAATGTGTGCAACTGGGGGTCTGAGGAAAGACTGTTTTGAAAGAGGCTGTCAGGGAATGGAAAGGGTTAAGCTTTTCATCCTGAAGAACCTGCTTCCCAAATCAGGCCTTCCTCCCATCACTAGACCCTGAGCAGCAGCTGGTCCTAGAGACCCCCCTCGTACTGCGCTGCCACAGTCTCATCCCATTTCCAGCTCTGTATTAACCACCAAGCTGCAGCGGATGGGGCAAGACCTAAGCTCATTAATTTCCAGGTGGAGGAAATGGAGGAGGGGCAGGTCCCTGCAGTAGAGGGAGGAGCAGAGAAAGGAGGCCAAGAGCTGGATCCTTCTGCCCAGGAAGCCTGCTGCATCCCTTCCCCCGAGCATGGCAGAGGCCTGGCTTTGCAAGGCCAAGGCCATAAGGGATGCTTAGGAGATTAATTTGATTCCTGACACAATAATCAAGCCCTAAGAGTCTCCACTGAAGCTTACTGAGGACTTCTTTCCTCTCCAAAGCCTCAGTCTAGCCTGCTAAATAAATTAGTATTCAGTGATGCCTTGGATCAGGGCCCCTCCCCGGCCTCAGTTTCCCCAAATATTTATTAAGTACCTACTGTGTGCAATCCTTGTGTAATTATTAACTCTTAGGCTCTTCATTTGCCCTCCTAAAGCAGTGTTTAGAGTCAGGCAGAGGTTAAGTGTGTTGCACCTCACCTAGATACTTCCAGAACCTTCTCTGGGTCTGCAGAATGTGGCACAACCTGCTTGCCCCCGCAGAGAGAAAGCTGCAGTGCACATCCTGCAGACTGCAGGTGCTGGGCTGCCTCTGGAGTCCCAGAAGGCAAGCTTGGCTGCAGGACAGAAAGGGAGAACAGCTTCTCTCACCCCTGAGCCTTCACAAGCCCTTGTCTATTTGCCGTTGCCTTCAAAATATACCTCCCCCGAAACCAGTAGCTTTCTGAGTCCTGGTGTCCCCTCCGCCCTTTCTGGACAGGTTTGGGAAGAAGAAAGCAGTCAGTGCTGGGCCTTATTGGGGTGTGAAGCGCCTTGCTCTGCCCCTTCTGCTCACTGTGAAGGCCGCTGGATGCTTCTCTTAGGCATGGTTTAAGCCTCCGATTACTAAACCCCTTGCCCCACAAACGTCCACATTGACGAGCCTCTTTTTAGTAACTGCTTCCCCGTAATTCCTTCAGAGGTTGCTGTACCCTTCGCTGATGTGCTGCCCTCCTGTAAAACCTCCAGATGCCTTCCCACGTAATGCCCCTTTCAGATGCTTTAAGCTGAGAGCTTAAACCACAGGTACCATGGCTGACGCCTGCCAGGTTTCTGCTGCAGATAATCTATGATGGGAGGGGCATATTTTTTACTTCATTACTTATGTAAACTCTTGTTCCAGAAAGCTTTAATGTGTGTGGGAGTGTTCTGGGTCTATTAGGTCTGTGCGCATGGGTGTGGGCATTTGCCTGTGTCCACCGGGTGGGTCTCATTATGAAATGTATGTTTATGTAGGGCTTTAATGGCTGAAAATGGCAAAGAGATGAATAGACCACTTGGCCCCATGTGTAATTGCCAGGCCCCTTCTGTGCTCAAATGAGGTGTCCGAGTGAAGGTCAGCCCTTCCCTTCTGTATTTGGGGCCTATTTATGCCACCAGTAATTTTATAAGAAATCTGAATAGTTCTCCCCTTTGAGTGCATTTAACTCTTTAGTATCTTCTCTCTTACCTATTTGAGCCCCTCTAGCTACAGTCTGGCTTAAATGAAAGGGGAATTATATGCTTAAGAAAAAGTAGGACACGGTTGAGGCAGTTTGCTGACTGAATACGCGAAGAAGGACCTGATGGGCTCATATGCACCACTGCCATCACAGTCCCCATCGTGATGCAAGCTTATATGATTCTTGAGGTAACTCTACCAGATACTTCCAGATTTAGAAATGTGTCAAAGGAAAAATTGGTGATACTCTTCTTTCCCCTGCCAGAAACAGCCCAGATCTCCTCTTAAGCGGAAAAGAGATTGACCTTCTAGCAGAGGCAAAGGTAAACTCCTGTAAGTTACTTCTGTTACCAAAGGGAGGGGGGCGGCTTTTGTGAATGTATGAGGAGCTTTTGCCAGAGAGATATTCGGAGGAGGGGTGTGCCCATATGCACACATATATTTTCCCGCATAACCGTATCCAATGCTAGCATTTAGAGGAAGGCATTTAGCCACCAAAAGTCCATCCATCTATGCTGCTTCCACAGAGAAAACATTTTCTCTTTCCTCCTCTTGAACTTACATAATATCCTCCTCCCATTCCAACCTTAGAATGGAGTCTTCTGGGGGCAGCTGCAAAGCGTTCTCCCTAGGACAGATGGAGCCTCCCTTTCCTCATCTACTCTGTGGGTGGTTTCAGGGCCCACGAGTCAACATGAGGAGTTGTGCTGGTGGTATGTGTGTTGGAGGCTGGGCTGGCTGATTCACAGTGACGAGGATGTCAATAATAACAAGAATGAGAATGATGGTACCTAATAAAGACTTTTTTTCCCAAGTCCCATCTACAATTCTTTCATTGGGTGTTTTGCCAAGTCTTTCTCAATCTCATCTCAGCTTTTTTTTTTTTTTTAAAGAAAATGTATTCAATACTTAATTGCATCACAAATGTAGACATAGAAGAAAGGACTTCAAACGGAATTTATGGGAGGCAATGTGTGCGGCTTTTTGCCTTATAGAGCTGTGTAGAAGGTCTGGAATGATCTTCCAGCACCAAATTTAGATGGCCTCAAAAAAAAAAAAAAAAAAAAAAAAATCAGGCCTTATTGAGGGCAAGGAATGTTCCAGGTCAGAAATAAAAGTGTCAGCAACTCTCAATAGGTTCATCTTTTTATTTCCTGTCCTTCTCCCTTTTGTCTTAAAATAGAAACGCTACCAAGACCTGAGGGCCTGGGTCAGGGGCCGGGAAGCCCAGAAAACAAACTTCCAGAATCACTAAGGGCTTTCTCTCTCAAAATTACAGTGGGAGGGTTCTTTTGAAATTCAAATCCAACCTATTTGTTGCTTAAGCACACACAAAATACTGAGACCTGGGGTCCAAGAGGCAATACTTCCGCTGCAAGTGCATGTTGCAACTTCGCGTGATGTTCCCAGGGCGGTTCTGCGGCAACTTGCGGCTCCGCGACTGTGGGCGCGGGCCCCATTTCGGGCCCCGTCGGCCGGGACCGCGCCCAGGGCTTCTCAAGTGACTCGCTTCCCAGCACGCAAGAGGCATTCTCGTCTCTTTCTCTTCGAATGCACCCGAGACTTCTCCATGAAGCAAGGAGAAGATGAGCAGGCGCTGGTTTCCCTTTTCTTTTTTGCTCCCATTTCCCAGTCTTGATTTTTTTTTTCCCTTTCTCTCTCTCTCCCGAATCATGCAGACCTGGAACTCCTAAGATTCGGGTCCTCCTGCAGTTCCCAAAGCTTTGGATCCATCCGAGGTGTGGGTAGATGCGGGTTAGTCTCAGGGTCTTTCTAGGATGAGCCCCAAGCCCAAGTTCTAAGGCGAGGGGGAGGCGAAGAGGTCAGGGCTACAAACGCCAGGGACTGTCCCCGGAGAGGTCATTTTTCCATTTTCCATGCACATCGATTTCACTCTAGCGCCAGATGGACACTCGACGGTCAACGTTAGAGATTTTTCCGGAGTCGGGGGCAGGAAGCGGGACGAATTGAGACGAGGGTACATCCTTTGCTTCCAAGGGTGGCCGAGCCAGACCGAAGGCCTGGGCGGGAGGTCACGTCCTCCCCTGGCCACCCACAGCGCTCCCCAGCCGCAGGCCTGGGCCTAGAAGCCGCGCCCTCCCGGCCGTGCAGCCGGTCAGCCTGTGCGCCCGGCGCCCGCAGTGCGGCTCCGGGCCTCTCTCTGATCCACTTCAGTACCTGCGGCCTCGAGGACCCCACCGTGCATCCCGGAAAGCCTCAGAACTTGCAAGAAAGAGGGGCTGGCAGGTGCAGCCTGGGAAGAGGACCCCGCCGCGAAAGCGCTTGGGGGTTGGGTTTTATTTGCTGGAGTGGGGGGTCCGTCTCAGTGCATCCTCCTGGATTCCCCATTAGGACGCCCCGCCCATACATCCAGCCTCCTCTCCCGGATACCCCCAGTGACCCGGCCAGGGAGCGGGCATCTTCCCCCAGGACCCAGAGACGTGTCCTCGCCATCCCCAAACACCGTCCTTCCCCACCCCCGCAACCCTCTCCACAGAAGCCAAAACCACAACAAAAATCTTCAACCCACAAAGAAAAAGACACATTCCTCCTTCGGCCTTAGTCAGCGTTAGTTCCAGATCCGAAGCCGGAGGGGACGGAGCCGCTCGAAGTCGGTTGGAAGGAAGGCGCAGAAGGCTCTTTCTGTCTCCATGAATCTCCTTGCAAATGCAACCGCTGCTGCCATTAGGACGCGGTCTCTGTTTGCAAAAAAAACTCAATTCCTTCCATTTCCTCATCTGTTGGGTCCATCAGCGTGCAGTGAGTGATGCAAGGTCCCTTTGGGTCAACAGGCCGTCCCCTGAAATAACTTTCAGAGCCCTGGCCTCAAGGTCATGGGCCGGGTGGCCTCTACAGGCCACAGGTCAGGACCAGGATGTGCCTGACTGAGGCTGTGCCACCGAGAGCTTCGGACGTGCAGAAAGGTGCCCTGAGCTGCACGGGGGGCTTCTGTCAGCCCCCTCCCACTCTACACAGATTGATGTGGCAATATTTATTCCCATTTAATTGAGACACTGGTTTAATTTCAGATTGCTTCGGCTTAAGGCCCAATGGGGTTTTCTGCAGCTCTTTTCCCCAGTGCCTCTACAGAAATTAATTGCTGTTAATATCCAATTTTGGCTTTATTATTCGTTAGCCAATTATGTATCCCATAGCCCAGGCCCCTTGCTGCTCTCAGCCTTTGCTGGAATCAGCTCACACTATGCCGGGCTTCTGCTTTTCTGCCTTCCCCTCTATTCAAACTCTGTCCTCCCAAGATGATTTACCGGCCCGTCAGGCATTTTGCTTGTGTCCCAGCGCTAGCTGAGCTGGCGGAGGTGTCTTTAAGACGTTTTCCCCCTTTTGAGGGAAATGTCTTCTTTGCAGTGGACATAATTTCCATTTAAAAAGGAATCTAAGCTTCTCCACTCTCGCTTCACTATCCTAAGATTTGCTTTCTCTGGAGCCATTTTTGGAGAGCAGTTTTCCATCAAAAGCAAGCAAGGTGCCCCGGCATCAGGGCTCCCCTCCCCACCTCCCTAGGAGCCCCTCCGAGACTGTCTTAAAGCCACCACATATACATAACACCATAGATTCAAACAGGGTGCTTGGAGGATGTCATTCCACATTTCAAGGAGGGAAACTTGAAAAAGCACTATTTTCAGAGATGAGGAGGGCAGCTCTCCCCTCGTCCCCCACAGAGGCCCTGGAAACCATTCCAGCCTTGCACTGCGCAACCCTGCTTGATGGAGCTGATGCAACTGGGGGCGAGAGCCTTTAAAAAGTGTTCTTTTGCCTTGGTTTTTTGTGCCTTGAGTTCACAGAAGCAAACACTTCCCATCACTGGTGCTCTGGAAACAGAAACATACAAGTGAGAATCCTAACGACAGCAGAGGCCCTTCTTTGTCTGCTTCCTCTCCTTCCCCCCTTGGAAAGAATGCCTCCCATGCCTTAATGTGCCCTCACACTTATCTCTAGCAGTTCCGTAACAACCTGCGCAGTGTCGGCATCAGAACCGAATGCAGAGAAAACAAAACGTCAGAGCCGCTGGCTTGGACTGCGGCCCCTACAGATGAAGCCCGAGGTGGGAGGTTTTCTTCTCCGCCTGGAAATCCTATGGTCAGATTTGTCGTAGGGGGGAGGTGGGTGGTGACTGTGGTGGAGGGCTGGGACATTGTTAAGAAGGTGCCTTACGCAGAAGGCTCAATAAATACCACCCAAATTGGATGTAATTAAATTAGCAGCAGCTGTCCTGCTTTTCCTGTTGAAAGCTACAATTAGGCATGAAGGCCTCCTGGGCAAAGGCTAGTTAGAGTGGCGTCCTAGGAAAGGAGGGGGCTAACAGTGTTTCTGGTTCATCTTCTATCCTCAGCCCCTGCCTAGCTTGTCCAGAGGCATGGAGTTTCTTTTCTTTTCTTTTCTTTTCTTTTTTTGTTTGCTCGTTTGTTTGTTTTTGAGATGGAGTCTGGCTCTGTTGCCCAGGCTGGAATGCAGTGGCATGATCTCGGCTCACTGCAACCTCGGTCTCCCAGTTTCAAGAGATTCTTCTGCCTCAGCCTCCCGAGGAGCTGGGATTACAGGCATGCATCACCATGCCTGTCTCATTTTTTGTATTTTCAATAGAGACAGGGTTTCACCATGTCGGCCACGTGAATTGGTAATATTCCAAAAATATTACCAAAGGACTGCCTATGGTCTTGAAATCCCGACCTCAGGTGACCCACTCGCCTTGGCCTCCCACAGTGCTGGAATTACGGGCAGGAGCCACCGCACCCAGCTGAGTTTTATTTTTAAAATAGTCCAAGCATAAAGACCCCACATACCGTGCCCAGTCCCAGACAGAATTTCTGGGAAAACAAGAGGGAAAAAAAAAAACAAAACTCTTTTTTAGAACCCTTCTATCGTCCTTCGAGAGCACTTTAACTTTCAAAGATCCTCATATTCAAATCTCTCTTGTCACCACTCCAATTCACATCTCAACCGAGGCCTTTCCCAGTGGGGTATGCCCTCTAAACAAGACTAACAACAACAACAACAACAACAACTATAATCAACTTCTATTTCCTTCTACTCTCCTTCCCCCAGCCCCTTGAAAATATCTATACTCTCAATGCTCAAGAGGTATTAGGATAAAGACAGTGAGGTTAAAGCATTTCATACTAACACGTGAGCCACTTGAACAAGTCTTCTAACTTCCCCAGAGATATTTAACATTTTAGAAGAGGTGGGCATGGTGGTTCATGACTGTAATCCCAGCATTTTGGGAGGCCAAGAAGGGAAGATCACTTGAGCCCAGGAGTTTGAGGCCAGCCTGTGCAATATGGCAAGACTCCATCGCTACAAAAAAAACAAAACAATTAACCGGGCGTGATGGGGCACAATCCCAGCTACAGTCCCAGCTACTCAGGAGGCTAAGTGTGGGAGGATCGCTGGAGCCCCAGAGGATGAGGCTGCAGTGAGCTGTGTTCGGGCCACTGTGCTCCAGCCAGGGAGACAATAGTGAGAAACTCTCAAAAAAAAAAAAAAAAAGAAAGAAAGAAGGAAAGAAGAAAGAAAGAAAGAAAGAAAGAAAGAAAGAAAGAAAGAAAGAAAGAAAGAAAAGAAAAGAAAGAAAGAAAGAAAGAAAGAAAGAAAGAAAGAAAGAAAAGAGGCACTTACCTACCAAGTCTAATTGTAGGAGTTTCTTATAAAGGCTCCCAAAAGCAGTAAGGAAGAATCACATCAGAGCCTCCACTTTCTGCTTGAGGATAACATCATTGTTCCTTTGTTCCAGACACATGGGTGCTCAACCTTTTAAACATAACACAACAGGAAAACACATGTAAAGAAGCCTAATGAATCCTCATGGCTTGCTCTGTCCTCTGCCTCCTCTATTAGTACCAACTGGTAGGAGCACCCCAAGCTTTTGGCAGGGACATCTGTGATGTCGATACCTGTGATGACAGGTAGATATCAGTCTAGGTCAAGGCTACTGCATCTTTGCAAATTTGAAGCCAGCCCTTTGCATAATCGTGAATTCTGATTTTGCTATTTCCAAGAGTTGTTTTTTTTTTTTTTTTTTTTTTTTTTTAGACAGAGTCTCACTCTGTCACCCAGGCTGGAATGATGTAGTGGTGCAATCTCGGCTCACTGCAAGCTCCGCCTCCCATGTTCAAGTAATTCTCCTGCCTCAGCCTCCAGAGTAGCTGGGATTACAGGCGTGCACCACCATGCCCAGCTAATTTTTGTATTTTCTAGTAGAGATGGGGTTTTGCCACATTGGCCAGGCTGGTCTCGAACTCCTGACCTCAAGTGATCCACCTGCCTCGGCCTCCCAAAGTGCTGCGATTACAGACATAAGCCACCGTGCTCGGCTTCCATGAATTATATTTAAGGAATTATTTGATTAAATACCAGACTATGTGACACAGTAAGCCCACTTCAACCTGCTAACCCAAGGTAGATGCAAAGTGGCTCCAGGCAAAGCTGGAACTTGGGACTGGACACTTCCCTGGGTTGGTTTTGGTCACTCTCCCATCCTCAGCCAGCTCCTTCCCTTGCTTAACCGGAACTCTCTCATGTCCTTGCAGCCCCGGCTCTCCAAGCACCCTGTCCCATGTCCCATTCTCAGTGCATCTGAGCTTCCCGCAAATGGCAAAGCCAGCACCCAGGAGCAAGTTCTCGTGGGGCAAGAAGCAGATGTGTTAGGACTTTCAGGGAGAGTGAGAGCCTTCCCAGCCTCCAGCCAGCCTCTTAGAAAACTTTGCCTTTGGAAATGTCAATTATCTCTCCCTTCTTTCCAGCCTTCTACTCCTACCTCAGCATCTTGCCGCCTTCATGTGGACAATTAATCAACAGCAACAGCATAGTGTGAAGGTTGGTAGCCTCGCTTATTTTTTTTTTTTTTTAGATGGAGTCTCGCTCTGTCACCCAGGCTAGAGTGCAGCAGCATGATCTTGGCTCACTGCGACTTCTGCCTCCCAGGTTCAAGGAATTCTCCTGCCTCAGCCTCCTGAGTAGCTGCGATTATAGGCGTGCGCCACCATGCTTGGCTAATTTTTGTATTTTTAGTACAGATGGTGTTTCACCCTGTTGGCCAGGCTGGTCTCAAACCGCTGACCTCAGGTGATCTGCCCCACTCAGCCTTCCAAAGTGCTGGGATTACAGGCATGAGCCACTGTGCCTGGACTGGACTGCTTTTCTATTGTACTAAACCTGTCCTATCTGATTCCCGAATCACTCATCACACTATTGACCAAAACCTATCCAAGACAGCATGTGGGAGCAGCTAGGAAAATTATTTAATGTGATCCCAGGGCCTCTCAGAAGCCCAGACAGACTTGGTACCTTCCTTTTTTTTTCTTTTTGAGGCTTCCAGTACATTCAGAAATGCCAAATCAGAGCTATAAAAATTACTGTATGTATAGCATCTTCCAAAAATATTACCAAAAGGAATGCCTATGAGAGCCTTTGAGACTGTAACACTCTGTGTGATTCCGTGAAAAGCCCCTGGATGTTAAGGCCTCAGCCCCCAGAGAAAGCGAAGCCCGCTATGACCGCCAGCCTGGTTATCACATTACGTCTGCTTGGTCCCCGGCGCTACCACCAGGCTGTGTAACTGTGCGTAGGTTGTTAAACCTCTCTGAGCATCCTCTGTAAGAAGGTGATATAATGATGCTATCTACTTCAAAGGGTTATTGTCAGGAGGAAATGAGATAATGCATGTGAAAATATTCAGCATATCACGGAGCGCTGTTCAATAGAAATAAAACACAAGCCATATGTGGTGTTTAAAATTTTCTAGTAGCCACACATTTAAAAATAAAAAAGAAACATATGACATTAATTTTAATCATATATTTTATTTAACCCAATACATATAATCAAAAATGGCATGATGGTGCACATCTGTGGTCCCAGCAGCTCAGGAGGCTGAGGGGGAAGGATCACTTGAGCCCAGGAGTTTGAGGCTGCAGTGAGCCATGATCACACCATTGCACTCCAGCCTGGGTGACAGAGCAAGACCCCATCTCAAAAAATAATACATATTAATGAGAAGTTTAACATTCTTTTATTCATACTAAATCTTCAAAATCTGATGTGTGTTTTATACTCCCAATGCATCTCAATTCAGATGCTAAATTTTCATCAGAAATACTTGTTTCTTATTTAGATTTCATAAGATTTATATAATAGTTGAAAAAGTACATTCACATACCCATGTTAGTTCCAACCATTCTTAAATATTTTCTAATAACTGAATAGAGTATCTGTTTTCAAATTTAAATTTAAATTTAAATTTAACAATTAAATTAAATTTTAATTAATTTAAATTAAAATTTAATTTAAATTAAAAATTCAGCTCTTCAGTTGCACTGAGCATATATATGCTATGTATATATTATATATATATTTTATATATATTTATATATAATATATTATAAAATATATTATATATTATATATATTTTATATATATATATATTTTTTTTTTTGAGCCAGAGCCTCACTCTGTCATCCAGGCTAAAGTGCAGTGGCGTGATCTTGGCTCACTGCAACCTCCATCTCCTGGGTTCAAGCGATTGTCCTGCCTCAGCCTCCCAAGTAGCTGGAATTACAGGCATGTGCCACCACGGTCAGCTAATTTTTGTATTTTTAGTAGAAATGGGGTTTCGCCATATTGGTCAGGCTGGTCTCGAACTCCTGACCTCAGGTGATTCACCCACCTCGGCCTCCCAGAATGCTGGGATTACAGGCGTGAGCCACCACCGCCAGCCCTGAGCATATTTCAAGTACTTAATAGCCACATGGTTAGTATCTACCACACAGTGCAGGTGGAGCATACTATTTGGCACATGGTAAGTGCTCAGTAAATACTCACTGCCATTACCCTTAGGCCCAAGGAGCAGCTCCTTCTCTTTTTTCAGATGCCAAATCTGAAGCCAGGCCTGTCATTTGTTCTGTGCATGGCCTGTGTAATGGATGAGTCCAGGCTCCGCATGTTCAGGGCCTCTTTGGAATATGTCTTAGTCCTTTCTGGGTGCTGTAACAAAAGACCACAAACTGGGTGGCTTATAAACAACAGAGGGCTAGGCATGGTGCCTCATACTTGTAATCCCAGGACTTTGGGAGGCTGATGTGGGAGGATCACTTTATCCCAGGAGTCTGAGACAAGCCTGGGCAACATGGAGAGACCCCATCTCTACAAAAAAATAAAAATTAAAAAATAAGCCCGGTGCGGTGGTGCATGCCTGTGATCCTGGTTACTCAGGAGGCTGAGGCAGAAGGACTGCTTAAGCCCAGGAGGTCGAGGCTGCAGTGAGCCGTGATTATGCCACTGCACTTTAGCCTGGGCAACAGAGTGAAACCTTGTCTCAAAAATAAAATAAAATAACAGAAATAAATTTCTCACAATTCTGGAAGCTGGGAAGTCCAAGATGAAGGCACTGGCAGATTTGGGGTCTGATAGGGTCCACTCCCTTGTTCATAGATGGCGCCTTCTCACTGACCTCACATGGCAGAAGGGGCAAAAGAGCTCTCTTGGGCCTATTATAAGGGGACTAGTTCTATTCATGAGGGTTCCACTTTCACAACTTCATTGCCCCTCAAAAGCCTCCACCTCCTAACACCATCACCGCAAGGGGTCAGGATTTCAACATATGAATGGCGGGGGGACACAAACATTCAGACCATAGCAGGGAACAATTTTATTTATGTTTTGAGATAGGGTCTCATTCTGTTGCTCAGGCTGGAGTACAGTGGCACAATCACAGTTCACGGCAGCCTCATACTCCTGGGCTCAAGGGATCCTCCCGCCTCAGCCTCCTGAGTAGCTGGGACTACAGACATGCACCATCACCCCTGGCTAATTTTGTAAATTTTTTTTGTAGACAGGGGATATTACCATCTTGCCCAGGCTGGTCGCAAACCCCTGCACTCACATGATCCTCCTACCTTGGCCCCTCAAAGTGCTGGGATTACAGACATGAGCCACCGCACCCATCCAGGGTAAAATTTCACAGTCCCTGAAGGGGCCATTTTCCAGGAACATCTTCCTGACCTTTCCCACTGGGATTCTAGGAAGGCTTTCGGGCTCTCCAGGATTGTCTTGCCATGCATGTGTGTGTAAGGAGCAGGGATAACAAGCCTTTGTGGAGGGTTATTCTTTGAAACAATAACCCAGTACATCTGTGCAGCAGAAATAACAAGACTAGCATGGTCACACTAGTGACTGATAGCTGTTCCTATTCACAAGCCAAATGAGGAGAAAATAGACATGGGTGTGGTACATGTTCCTAAATTTAATTCTGTGCTAATTTCTCATTCCATTAATAACCAGGGTTCTCATCCTCCCCTATAGTCATGTTTTTCAACTACTCTTTATTGAAATTGTGCTGCCTGTCAATCACCAATGTTAGCTAGGTGGAATTTGTGGATGAATAAGGCTCACGCCCTTCCTGCCCTCAGCAAGCACACAGTCCAGTAGATAAGACAAATACATTAGCAATTATGACAAAGCAAATATGAGCAGTCCCATACAAGACAGACAGTCAAAATGCCAGGAGAGTTCAAATGAAAGAGCCATGTTTTCCAATGAGAGGGCTGGGGAAACCTCAAGAGGCAGGTGGGATCTGGGGTGGAGGGAACACCCTAAGTGGCAAGATTAGCATCCACTCCATCCCAGATGTGAGGAAGTTTTGCAGAATTAAGCATAGGTACAATGACAATATAGGAGAAGGAAAGTTTGGGGCTAGATTGCAGGTGGAAATTGCTGGGTCATATGGCAATTCTGTTTTGCTTTGTTTTATTTTGTTTTGTTTTTGAGACAGAGTCTCACTCTGTCACCCAGGCTGGAGTGCAGTGGCGCAATCTTGACTCACTGCAACCTCTGCCTCCCGGGTTCAAGTGATTCTCCCGCTTCAGCCTCCTGAGTGGCTGAGATTACAGACGCCCACCACAACGCTCAGCTAATTTTTGTATTTTTAGTAGAAATGGGGTTTCACCATGTCAGCCAGGCTGGTCTCGAACTTCTGACCTCAAGTGATCCACTAGCCTCCGCCTCCCAAAGTGCTGGGATTACAGGTGTGAGCCACCGTGCCTGGTAATTCTATTTTTAATTTTTTGAAGACCCACCATACTACATCATTCCATATACCCACCAACACTGTACAAGGGTTCCAGTTTCTCCACATCCTTGCCAATCTTTGTTATGGTGTGTGTGGGGTGTGTGTGTGTGTGTGTGTGTGTTTATAGTAGCCATCCTTAAAGGGTGTGTGGTGGTATGTCATTGTGGTTTTGATTTTCACTTCCCTAGTGATTAGTGATGTTGAGCATCTATTCATGTGCTTCTTGACCATTTGTTTACCTTCTTTGAAAAAATGTCCAAGTCCTTTCTTTGCCCTGTCTTAATTGGGGTGTTGGTTTGGGTTTTTTGTTGTTGTTGATGCTATTGTCATGACAATCATTACTTTGGCAAATTCCAAGGCAGTTTTCTTGTTTGTTTTTGTTTTTTTGTTTTGTTTTGTTTTGAGACAAGGTCTCTCTCTGTCACCCAGGCTGGAGTGCAGTGGCAAAATAATGGCTCACTGCAGCCTTGACCTCCGGGGCTCAAATGATCCTCTCACCTCACCCTCTGAGGTAGCTGGGACTACAGGGGCATGCCACCATGCCTGACTAATTTTATTTTACTTTTCATTTTTAGTAGAGATAGAGTCTTGATATGTTCCCCAGGCTGCTCTGGAATTCTTGGACTCAAGCAATCCTCCTGACTTGGCCTCCCAAAGTGCTGGGATTACAGGTAAGAGCCACCATGCCCAGACTCCAGTGCAGTTTTGACAAATGAGGTGGAGTCAGCAGCCCATTACCCACTGAATAAAGCCTAACTCTCCTAAGTCCTGCATTGGGTGGTGCCCTGCTCACCTGCATGCCCAGTGATTGTCCTGTGCCTCCCCACCACCTGGTTTATTTGCTTAAATCCTCAAAACTCCCTCCTTGGTTGGGTTGCTGAAACCCTTCCTACACCTTTCCTGCCTCCGATTCCTGAGAGCTACATTTAACCTCCACAGGCTCCTATTCCAAATCGGATGAAGCACTGAAAACAAAGCACTTTCACATCCTTCACCCTGATCTGTAGCATATTCTTCAGAACTCTTATGATTTCAAGTGACAGAAACCCAATCTGAACCAGCTGAAACACTCAGAGGCATTTAGTATCTCATGGAACCCAGTGCCCCAGGGACAGGCGGAAACGCTGACTTGAACATCTCTTTCTGAGTTTCTCATCTCAGCGCCTCTCTGCAGATGTTGAAATCTTCTTTTTTTCTGCTAACTGGCCTCTGCTTCCCAGGTTCACAGCAAGAAACATGGCCATTGGGATGTCCCAAGCTTTGCATTTTATAGCCCAGCTTAGGTCAGGTGGCCACCCCTGTGCCAGTCAACTTGACCGAATGGATGGAAAACCTCAACTGATCAAGCTGGAGTTAAGTGCATGCAGGGAGCACCTATGGTAACTGCGGATGGCAGGGAGGGCAGCCACCTAGAAAAAGGTACTGCTGGCCAGGTAAGACCACAGGTATCCACAACTACCACCAATCTGCTGTGAACAGTTCCTCTGAAGTTGTGCAATAAGCAAGCCGTGTGATGCTGGTCTTGGTAGAATATCTTATTTCTAAACTCCAAACCATCAGATTGGCCTCTACCTCCCCATTTGCCCTCCTCAGAAGATCTTGACACCCAAGTTCACCCCATCCTCTGGAGTCCTGTGGTTTGAAATACTGACCATTTGTCCCAATCCTGGAGCCAAGGTCCCAGCATGCTCTGTGTCCAAGTTCAGATTACCACAAAAGCTGGTTGTGAAGACCACAAGTTGTTACCTATTTGTTTTTTAACCAGTTGTATATACAACATTTGGTGCTTTTCACAACACCACACTACCTCTGTCTTACTGTACTGTTTCTCTCCCTAGCAAGCTACCAACATTTCCTCTCTCCTCCCTAAAACATGAAAAAAGGAGAGAGAGAGAGAGAGAGAGACGCAGGTAATGCCTATACTCTCATCTCCTAAGGGGTCCTTGAGACAATGGATTCCAAAGAGCAGTTTGGAACATGAAGAAAACCCCAATGGGGAGGCCCTGCTCCCAAGTCTCACTAATTCTGGATTTAATTCTCCCCTGTGGGCCAGGTGGTGAATTAGTGGCCCTCCCACCCTACCTTCTGTTTTCTATGATCTCGTCTCATCTAATAAAGGCTCCAGATCTGAAAGTCTCTGAGACCAGAACCTTAGTCCAATTAAACCCTGCTAAAGCAAACAAACTTGGGAAAGACAAAGAGGTGAAGAGGTTAACAGCAGACAAAACCTCCACTGACAAGCTAAATTAGCCTTGCCCACCTCAGGAGAAGGTGTAAGGTGGACAGCGGAGACTGCTGGTAGTGATTAACATTTGCTCGAAATTCTAAGGAGCTAATTTTTTTTCCAAGTTAAATGTTAACCTGTGAAAAGAGGAACAGTAACTATGCGAAGAGGAATGTGAAGAAGAAAACAGAAAGACCAGCCTGCTGGGTGGATGTCTTCCTCCCAAAGTAGTCGAGACCAGGGATTCTGAGGAATAGTTTTCCATTTATCCTTCATCATCTCCATTCAACAGGGCCGCTGAGCTCCAGATGAGCATGGAAAGATGGAGGAGCTGCCAAACCTGACTTTGGAGGCCCTGGTCAGGAGCCCGTTGGAGGCCTTCCAGTTTTACACCCTTTGTGAATTTGTCCGTGGGGTGGGTTTGTTCTGATGCCATGAGTAGCTTCCACTGGAAAAGGCACCATCTCCACCCAACATTTTAGGTATGCTGGTGCATTGGGAGGACATTCTTGGTGCCAATAATCGTCTGAAGATTCTTTGCTATCCTTTGGTAGAGGCTCTATTTACCACAATGAAGAGTAGAAAGATTATGATGTGAGTGTGTTTTGGTGTGTGTGTGTGTGTGTGTGTATGTGTGTGACTATTAGTGAAAACTGCTAGTAGTATGTCAGTGTGGAGAGAAATTCAGTCCTCCCGCAAGTGGTGAGGCTCAATATTAAGGGACAGAACATCAGTGAGCACCACATTAAGGCACTATTCTCGACATCTGGGAAGAAGCAAAGAAAAATGTGTCATGCCTCTTACCTTTTAGGGACTTATAATACAGGAAAGAGAAGACTTGTATAAATGGCTAAAAATATACTGAGGAGTATAACTAATAACTAATGCAGAGTGTGCTGGTAAAAGGTTGTGTGGGTTCAGGAATGTCAAAAGTTGCAGCTGCTGTGAAAGCCAATATGGCGGGTCCTCAAAAAATTAAATGTAGAATTACCATATGACTCGGCAACTCCACTTCCGGGTATGTTCTTAAAACGATTGAAAGCAGAGACTCAGACAGATAATTGCACACCCATGTTCACAGCAGCATTATTCACAATCGCCAAAATGTGGAAGCAACCCAAGTGTCCACTGGCCAATGAATGAATGAGTAAAACATGCTATGTATCAACAGTAGAATATTATTCAACCTTAAAAGGAAACAAATTCTGGTACGTGTTACAACATAGATGAACCTTGAGTGGAAGAAGAAAACAGAAAGAGCAGTCCGCTGGGTGGATGTCTTCTTCCCAAAGTAGTTGGGATCAGGAATGCTGAGAAACAATTCCCCATTCATCCTTCAACATCTCCATTCAACAGGGCCACTGAGCTCCAGGATGAGCATGGAAGGATGGAGGAGCTGCCAAGCTTGACCTTGGGGACCCAGGTCAGGAGCCTTCTGGAGACCTTCCAGTTTTATGCCCTTCGTGAATTTGTTTGTGGGATGAACTCTATGAAGTGAACTAAACCAATCACACACAAAAAATAAAACTGTATGATTCCACTTATATGAGGCACCTAGTCAAATTCAGAGACAGAAATAAAAATGGGGGTTGATAGGAGAGGGGAGGATGGAAGAGTGGGAAGTTACTGTCAATGGGAACAGAGTTTCAGTTTTGCAAAAGAGTTCTGGAAATGAATGGGGTAATGACTGCACAACACTGTGAAGGTACTTAATGCCCCTGAACCACATACTTAAAAAATGATTAAGATGGTAAATTTTATGTAAGTGTATTTTACCACATTTTTTTTTTCAAATTCATGTAGTTTCAGATGAGACTTTATAGAAAAGGTGGCACCGAGCTGCCTGAAAGAATAGATGAATTTCAGTATATAAAGAAGAGGAAGAAGGACATTAGAGACCAGGGGAAGGACATGAAAGGATCAAAGGCAGTGAAGTATCCATGGGTACGCACAGTGAGTGGTTTAAGTTTCCTGGAACAAAGGGTTCCAGAAGGAAAACAAGGTCAGCCAGCCATTGAAATCCAGACAATGGCGAGCCTTGAAGGCTAGACTAGGGAGTTTGGATTTTATTCTCTAAGTCAGCGCATCCACCGTTTCCATAGTGTTCCACAGGACACTAATTCTATGAGATGCTCTGAAAAAAGCAGAGGAAGGGAGCCATGGACAAACAGGTTTGAGAAAGGCTGCATAGCCCTATGGCCAATTTGCCGTGCACGCTAGCTTACATTGGTAAATCCTGGCGTAAAGATATCTGCCTCATTTTGCTACAGTCAGTGTTGCCCAAACTTGTTGGATTATGCTGCCCTGGGATTCTCGTGACACCTATTAACATCCTTCAAAAGCATTCCACATGTTTAGAGAAACGTCTCCCTAGGAAAGGCAGCTATTGGAGCTTTTTAGCAGAGGCATTTACATGGTCAGAGTGCTGCTTTAGGAAGGCTAATCAGATGGCAGATTGCTGCTTGGATTGAGGGGGACAGAGACAAATGACTAGAACTGTGGATATGTCATTAAGGACTGGCGCATGTCAGATTTCTAGTGTCCGAAACACCGAAGAGATATTTCAAGCACCGAGAAGACACCCTGTTACTGAGATCAAATGCTGGCAATCAGCCGACTCCTCCGCCTTCCCCAGATTTTGACTCATCCTACCCTGAAGCACATAGGATCCACCATGGGTTCACGCCCCTCCGTGTCTCTCAGCCCCCAGAGGCACATGAAGTGGTGCGTTGGAGTGACTGGTGCCAGCTCATGGAAGCCGCTACCTGGGAGTTTCCCAAGAACCATTAGTAGAAGCCTGCCATGGTGGGGCCACCTATACCGTGGAAATCAGCCAATGCTACAAATGAGAGCTTTTGTTTGGGGGGGATCCATTTACCAGCACACAACTGACCAGGTGCCAAGTCGGGATTAAATGTGTAAAGGTTATATTAGAGAAAGCACTTGTGTGAGGAAAAAAAAAATGGGAAGGGAGGTAAGATAGGCTGCGATGGCGTGTCCGACAGCAAACCAGGGAAGGGAAGAGAGAGGAGAGAGGGAAAGGAGGTGGCGTGGACGTGTCCCAGACTGCATGCCCTCTAAGGAAGGGTCAGCGAGTCCTCCAGCCAAAGTCAGCTATCCGTGGATGTCTTCCAGGAACCGGCGTTAGATCCTTGCAGCAGTCAGCCACTCACAGGGAGCTGCCCGCGGGGAGGGCAGCCCAGGGCACACAGCCATGGATGTCTGCGCGCAGCCGCCTGGGCCCTTGATTTGTTGACGCTTCTCGTTGATGATGGTCCGTGAGACGCATGCTCATTACCACCACCGCCCACCCCCTTGCCCCACACAGATCTATTTCTCCAACCAGGAAAGTTCAGAAAGCAGCTCCTCCAGGGTTCCCAGGGGCCTTTCTTCCTGAGCGACAAACCACAGCCCCCGTGACGGCCGAGGGTCTTGGAGCATCCTAACCCCTCCTCCGCCCTGCATTTAAATTCCCCTCACCCTCAGCTATCAGGTCAGTAGGTGTCGGTAGCTTACCTGATGGGATGACCCTCATTCCTGAAGGGTCTAAATTAGAATCATACCCTGCTCAGTCTGGAGTGACTGCACCTGCGTATTCACAGATACAAGTGGGTGAGGGAGCCGCAGGAGGCACCTGAGCCCAGCCCCTGGGTTCTGCCCCTGTTCCTCCCCGCCCCCACTAGGTAAAAAAGCCCCTGCCTCCTGCTGCTGATTAGGTCAATAACGCATGCCAATAAGATGATTTCTCTTTTAACCTGCTGATCCTTGCGAACGAGGCATCCTGAGTGTCCCGGCAGCAGCTTCCACTTGCCGTTCAACAAGACCCTTGCTGTGTCTCCTGGCCAGAGTGTGTCCTCTTTTGGATCCGGACCTCCAACCCTGCAGAACCCAGAGTCGCAGAGCAGGAAGCCCCAAATCCCCCAGTGGGTCTTAGAGACTGGTGGTAAGTCACCTCTGCTTCTACTCCTTGGTTTCCAGACTCATGGGTCTTTCCTTTTGGGGACACACTGACATATACAAGTCTTTGCACACTGAAGGATGGTACCTCGTCCTTGTGGGGGTTTCCTCTGAGCCAGCACTTCAGTTGCTCCTTGAAAAGGCCATGCCAGCATTCTATGAGGCCAGCTGCCCTAGGGGGTTGCAGTGTGTGATGCAGTGAGCGAACCCCATGGTCCTGGGCTATGAGGTGTGTCTCTTAGTTGGCTGTTGTGCTGTGTGGGACTCATGGCTATGGCTCAGGCATTCTATAAGCCCCCAGATGGTAGTGCTGGCTGAGATGCTCTGGGCAGGAAAGGCAGATCCATTCCCAAAGTATCTACACCTGTGAAGACAAACCACTGGCCCTTTTAGGTTGGTGTCCTAGGGTAATAGCGCCGTAGCAGGCGCAACTGTGCTGCTGACATTCAGAGGCACAGTGGCTAGACTGGTAAGCCGGAGCCATGCCATTGACCTCTTATAGCCTCCATCTCCACACCTCAGCCATCTATCTGTTCGTGTTCCTGTCATGCCAGTTCTGGGGTGGACACTGACAGCCAGCATCACTGGGCCAAGTCATCTTGTCTAATTGATTGTTCAGAGGCTCTTCCATGATGGATGTGTCCTAGTGGACATGAATATGTGCAACAGAATCCTTCACACTGTATGCCCACTCTCAAGTGTACGTTCACACACCTCAGCCCCAGACCTCCTTAGTCACTATCCAGGATTTGCACAAATTCTCATCTTGGGCCACTTTTATTTCCCTATGCAAAAGGTTGATGACACGGTGCACTGTTCACAACCCTGTCTCCCAGGAAGAGCTTATCTCTCCACTGAGTTTCAGGGACACCCCTAAATCTGACTGTCATCTGTTATTTTTCATTTTTATTTATTTTTATTATTATACTTTAAGTTCTGGGGTACATGTGCAGAAAATGCAGGTTTGTTTCATAGGTATATACGTGCCATGGTGGTTTGCTGCACCCATTAACCTGTCATCCACATTAGGTATTTCTCTTAATACTATACCTCCCCTAGCCCCCCACTTGCTGATAGGCCCCAGTGAGTGATGTTCGCTTCCTTGTGTCCATGTGTTCTCATTGTTCAACTCCCACTTATGACTGAGAAGATGCAGTGTTTGGTTTTCTATTCTTGTGTTAGTTTGCTGAGAATGATGGTTTCCAGCTTCATCCATGTCCCTGCAAAGGACATAAACTCATTTTTTATGGCTGCGTAGCATTCCATAGTGTATATGTGCCACATTTTCTTTATCCATTCTATCATTGATGGGCATTTGGGTTGCTTCCAAGTCTTTCCTATTGTGAATAGTGCCTCAGTAAACATATGTGTGCATGTGTCTTTTATAGCAGAATGACTTATAAATTTTGGGTATGTACCCAGTAATGGGATTGCTGAGTCAAATGGTATTTCTGGTTCTAAATCCTTGAGAAATCGCCACACTGTCTTCCACAATGGTTGAACTAATTTACGCTCCCACCAAGAGTGTAAAAGCATTCCTATTTCTCCACATCCTGTCCAGCATCTGTTGTTTCCTGACTTTTTAATGATTGCCATTCTAACTGGCGTGAGATGGTATCTCATTGTGGTTTTGATTTGCATTTCTCTAACAATGAGTGATGATAACTTTTTTTCATGTTTGTTGGCAGCATCAGTGTCTTCTTTTGAGAAGTGTCTGTTCATATCTTTCACCCACTTTTTGATGGGGTTGTTTATTTTCTTGTAAATTTGTTTAAGTTCTTTGTAAATTCTGGATATTAGCCCTTTGTCAGATGTACAGATTGCAAAAATTTTCTCCCATTCTGTAGATTGCCTGTTCACTCTGATAACAGTTTCTTTTGCTGTGCAGAAGCTCTTTAGTTTAATTAGATCCCATTTGTCAATTTTGGCTTTTGTTGCCCTTGCTTTTGATGTTTTAGTCATGAAGTCTTTGCCCAGGCCTAGATCCTGAATGGTATTGCCTAGGTTTTTCTTCTAGGGTTTTTATGGTTTTAGGTCTTACGTTTAAGTCTTTAATCCACTTTGGGTTAATTTTTGTAAGGTGTAAGGAAGGGGTCCAGTTTCAGTTTTCTGCATGTGGCTAGCCAGTTTTCTCAACACCATTTATTAAATAGGGAATCCTTTCCCCATTGCTTGTTTTTGTCAGGTTTGCCAAAGATCAGATGGTTATAGATGTGTGGTGCTATTTCTGAGGCCTCTGTTCTGTTCCTTTGGTCTATATATCTGTTTTGGTAACAGTACCATGTTCTTTTGGTTACTGTAGCCTTGTAGTATAGTTTGAAGTCAAGTAGCATGATGTCTCCAGCATTCTTCTTTTTGCTTAGGATTGTCTTGGCTATGTGGGCTCTTTTTTGGTTCCATATGAAATTTAAAGTAGTTTTTTTCTAATTCTGTGAAGAAAGTCATTGGTAGCTTGATGGGGATAGCATTGAATCTATCCTATCCATGAGCATGGAATGTTGTTCCATTTATTTGTATCCTCTCTTATTTCCTTGAGCAGTGGTTTGTAGTTTTCCTTGAAGACGTCCTTCACATCCATTGTAAGTTGTATTCCTAGGTATTTTATTCTCTTAGTAGCAATCGTGAATGGGAGTTCATTCACGGTTTGGCTCTCTATTTGTCTGTTATCGGTGTATAGGAATGCTTGTGATTTTTACATGTTGATTTTGTATCCTGAGACTTCGCTGAAGTTGCTTATCAGCTTAAGGAGATTTAGGGCTGAGACAATGGGGTTTTCTCAATATACAATCATGTCATCTGCAAACAGAGACAGTTTAACTTCTTCTCTTCCTATTTGAATACCTTTTATTTCTTTCTCTTGCCTTATTGCCCTGGCCAGAATTTCCAATAGTATGTTGAATAGGAGTGGAGAGAGGGCATCCTTGTCTTGTGTCAGTTTTCAAAGGTAATGCCTCCAGTTTTTGCCCATTCAGTATGTTACTGGCTGTGGGTTTGTCATAAATTGCTGTTGTTATTTTGAGATACATTGCATCAATACCTAGTTTATTGAGAGGTTTTAGCATGAAGAGCTGTTGAATTTTGTTTAATGCCTTTTCTGCGTCTATTGAGGTAATCATGTGGTTTTTATCACTGGTTCTGTTTATGTGATGTATTACGTTTATTGATTTGCATATGTTGAACTAGCCTTGCATCCCAGGGATGAAGCCCACTTCATCATAGTGGATAAGCTTTTGGATGTGCTGCTGGATACTGTTTGCCAGTATTTTACTGAGGATTTTCACACTGATGTTCATCAGGGATATTGGCCTGAAATTTTCTTTTTTGTGTTTCTGCCAGGTTTTAATATCAGAATGATGCTGGCCTCATAAAATGAGTTAGGGAGGATTCCTTGTTTTTCTATTGTTTGGAATAGTTTCAGAAGGAATGGTACCAGCTCCTCTTTGTACCTCTGGTAGAATTCGGCTGTGAATCCATCTGGTCCTGGACTTTTTTTGGTTGGTAGGCTATTAATTACTGCCTTAGTTTCAGAACTTGTTATTGATCTATTCAGGGATTCAACTCCTTCCTGGTTTAGACTTGGGAGGATGTATGTCTCCAGGAGTTTATGCATTTCTTCTGTATTTTCTAGTATATTTGCCTAGAGGTGTTGATAGTATTCTCTGATTGTAGTTTGTTTTTCTGTGGGATCACTGGCGATATCACCTTCATTGTTTTTTTATTGCATCTATTTGATTCTTTTCTCTTTTCTTCTGTATTAGTCTGGCTAGCAGTCTATCTATTTTGTTGATCTTTTCAAAAAACCAGCTCCTGGATTCATTGATTTTTTGAAGGGTTTTTCATGTCTCTATCTCCTTCAGTTGTGCTCTGATCTTACTTATTTCTTGTCTTTCGCTAGCTTTTGAATTTATTTGCTCTTGTTTCTCTAGTTCTTTTAATTGTGATGTTAGGGTGTCAATTTTAGATCTTTCCTGCTTTCTCTTGTGGGCATTTAGTGCTGTAAATTACCCTTTACACACTGGGTAGAGGGAAATTTATTTAAATGTGTCCCAGAGATTCTGGTATGTTGTCTTGGTTCTCATTGGTTTCAAAGGCATCTTTATTTCTGCCTTCATTTCGTCATTTACCCAGTAGTTATACAGGAGCAGGCTGTTCAGTTTCCATGTAGTTGTATGGTTTTGCGTGAGTTGCTTAATTCTGAGTTTTAATTTGATTCCACTGTGGTCTGAGAGACTGTTATGATTTTCATTCTTTTGCATTTGGTGAAGAGTGTTTTACTATCAATTATGTGGTCAATTTTAGAATAAAAGTGATATGGTGCCGAGAAGAATGTATATTTTGTTGATTTGGGGTGGAGAGTTCTGTAGAGGTCTATTAGGTCCACTTGGTCCAGAGCTGAATTGATGTCCTGAATATCCTTGTAAATTTTCTGTCTCATTGATCTGTCTAATATTGACAGTGGGGTGTTAAAGTCTCCCATTATTATTGTGTGGGAGTCTAAGTCTCTTTGTAGGTCTTTAAGAACTTGTTTTATGAATTTGGGTGCTCCTGTATTGGGTGCATATATATTTAGGATAGTTAGCTCTTCTTGTTGCATTGATTTCTGTACCTTTATGTAACGCCCTTTTTTGTCTGTTTTGAACTTTGTTGGTTTCAAGTCTGTTTTATCAGAGATTAGGATTACAACCCCTGCTTTTTTTTGCTTTCCATTTTCTTGATAAATATTCCCCCATTCCTTTATTTTGAGCCTGTGTGTGTCTTTGAACACGGGGTGGGTCTCCTGAATACAGCACACCGATGGGTCTTGACTCTTTATCCAGTTTGCCAGTCTGTGTCTTTTAATTGGGGCATTTACCCCATTTACATTTAAGGTTAATATTTTTATGTGTGAATTCGATCCTGTCATTATGATACTAGCTGATTATTTTGCCCATTAGTTGATGCAGTTTCTTCATAGTGTTGATGGTCTTTAGAATTTGGTATGTTTTTACAGTGGCTGGTACCAGTTGTTCCTTTCCATGTTTAGTGCTTCCTTCAGGAGCTCTTGTAAGGCAGGCCTGGTGGTGACAAAATCTCTCAGAATTTGCTTGTCTGTAAAGGATTTTATTTCTCCTTCATTTATGAAGCTTAGTTTGGCTGGATATGAAATTCTGGGTTGAAAATTCTTTTCTTTAAGAATGTTGAGTATTGTCCCTCACTCTCTTCTGGCTTGTAGTGTTTATGCAGAGAGATCCACTGTTCATCTGATGGACTTCGGCCTTTGTGGGTACCCCAACCTTTCTGGTTGCCCTTAACATTTTTTCCTTCATTTCAATCTTGATGAATCTAACAATTATGCATCTTGGGGTTGTTCTTCTCGAGGAGTATCTTTTTGGTGTTCTCTGTATTTCCTGAATTTGAATGTTGACTTGCCTTGCTAGGTTGGGGAAGTACTCCTGGATAATATCCTGAAGAGTGTTTTCCATCTTGGTTCTATTCTCCTTTTTACTTTCAGGTACACCAATCAAATGTAGGTTTGGTCTTTTCACATAGTCCCATATTTTTGGAAGCTTTGTTCATTCCTTTTCATTCTTTTTTCTCTAATCTTCTCTTCTCACTTTATTTCGTTAAGTTGATCTTCAGTGTCTGATATCCTTTCTTCGACCTGATCGGTTTGGCTATTGATACTTGTGTATGCTTCACGAAGTTCTCGTGCTGTGTTTTTCAGCTCCATCAGCTCATTTATGTTCTCTCTAAACTGGTTATTCTAGTTAGAAATTTGTCTAATCTTTTTTCAAGGTTCTTAGCTTCCTTGCATTGGGTTAGAACATGCTCCTTTAGCTCAGAGGAATTTGTTATTACCCACCTTCTGAAGCCTACTTCTGTCAATTCGTCAAACTCATTCTCCGTCCAGTTTTGTTCTCTTGCTGGCGAGGAGTTGTGATCCTTTGTAGAAGAAGAGGCATTGTGGTATTTGGAATTTTCAGGCTTTTTGTGCTCGTTTCTCCCCATCTTCATGGATTTATTACCTTTGGTCTTTGACATTGGTGACCTTCGGATGGGGTCTCTGAGTGGACGTCCTTTTTGTTGATGTTGATGCTCTTCCTTTCTGTTTGTTAGTTTTCTGTCTAACAATCAGGAACCTCTGCTGCAGGTCTGCTGGAGTTTGCTGGGAATCCACTCTAGACTCTCTTTGCCTGGGTATCACCAGCGGAGGCTGTGGAATGCAAAGATTGCTGCCTGATCCTTCCTCTGGAAGCTTCGTTCCAGAGGTGCACCCACCAGATGCTAGCCAGAGCTCTCCTGCGTGAGGTGTCTCTCGGCCCCTACTAGGAGGTGTCTCCCAGTCGGGATACAAAGGGGTCAGGGACCTACTTGAGAAGGCAGTCTGAACCTCAGCAGAGCTTGAATGCTGTGCTGGGAGGTCCACTGCTCTATTCAGAGCCGTCAGGCAGGGACATTTAAGTCTGCTGAAGCTGTGCCCACAGTTGCCCCTTCCCCCAGGTGGTCTGTCCCAGGGAGATGGGAGTTTTCTGTGTAAGTCCCTGACTGGGGCTGCTGCCTTTTTATCAGAAATGTCCTGCCCAGAGAGGAGGAATCTAGAGAGGCAATCTGACCACAGTGGCCTTGCTGAACTGCAGTGGGCTCTGCCCAGTTTGAACTTCCTGGCAGCTTTGTTTACACTGTGAGGGTAAAACCACCTACACAAGCCTCAGCAGTGGTGGATGTCCCTCCCCACACCAAGCTTGAGCATCTCAGGTTGACCTTAGACTATTGTGCTGGCAGTGAGAACTTCAAGCCCGTGCGTTTCAGCTTGCTGGGCTCCATGGAGTTGGGACCCGTTGAGCCAGACCACTTGGCTCCCTGGCTTCAGCCCCCTTTCTCTTCTGATCTCAGAAGCTAAGCAGGTCAGGCCTGGTTAGTACTTGGATGGAAGACTGTCATCTGTTTCTAGTTTGCTCCCCATATTCAGCCAACCCATTTGCAAAACAAGCTTGGGATTTTCCTCCTCTTTCAGCTGGTCATGCAGGATCTCACATACAGTCAGAGATGATGTGATGAATGACAAGGGAGTCTGCACTACTTGCTTATATAGCTTACTCATGCCCTCTGGGCCAGGTGAGCCCCAGCCTGGGATGGACCACTTACATGGTATGATGGGACTGCAGCTGTCAGACTTATGGTTTTGCAGGTCAGACAGGACCCAACTCACCATGGGCAGTTCCCAATGCATGATCACCAAGTACCCCGTGGGCAAAATGGTCGTGTTCCATCTCCACTATAGCCCGGTAATATGCTGAAAGCTGATTCTCAAAGGCTGTATCAGTTTCAGAGGATGATGGCACAGCCTCACTCCAAAGTTCCAGCGGCCTCCATTGCAATTCTTCCAATGTACCTGCCGTAAGCTTTGTATTGTGCTTTTTCTCACTACTGACACCTCCACCACCATAGGATCTGCCAGAATTCATGGCCTAAGCAGCAGGGCAATTGCACCACAGTCTGGACTTGCTGAAGCACCCCTTTCTACTCTGAGCCTCCACTCGAAGATGGTCACCTTTAGTGTCCCTCAGTATATGGGCCAAAACTGTATTCCTAGTTGCAGAATATGTTGCCTCTGGAACCCAGAAAGGCCTGTAAGGTGCTGGGCTTACTTCAGTGGGATAGAGGATGCAAGATACACAAAGGTTTTTTTTTTTTACTTTGGAGGCCCCTGACTACTGGATTCCTAAAATCTTCACTGAAGTGGCCAATCCCTAGCTCTTCACAGGGCTTACTCACCCCCAACTGGAGTGCATGTGTCTTACCCAAGCCTCCAGCATACCAGCCACCTCTTCCTCATTTTGACCAATCAGCAGGTTGGCACCCATGTAATGATATAATCTAGATGTCTTCAGACTACACGATGACCAAGAACAGAAGAGTTCCTGTAGATGTAAGACAAAACTGTGAATGCTTATTATTGTCCATCTCAGTAGAATACAGTGTTTCTGATCCTCTTTTCTGATTAGAATGGAAAAGAATGCATTCACCAAATCAATGACCACCTATGAAGCTTTGCTAATCCATCCTAACAGTGATGCCATGTTCAATACAGTCACTGAAATCGAGGCTACTACTTGGCAAAAGTCCATAGTAGTCTATGGTCATTCTCCAATATCCAACCAGCTTTTGCAGAGTCCTGACTGGCAAATAACCTGGGCCACCACTGTTATATCCTTAAGTTTTAATGACGGTATTAATCTTCCCCTCCCAACCCCTGCTATGATATTGTTTTTTATTACTTTGGCTGGGTGTGGGGTGTGAGGAGGTCAGTTCAGAGATTCCATTTGGACTTCTCGACTATGGTACCTTCATAATCCACAGACCAGGGCCTGATGTGGAGGTTACTCCAACTGCCAGGTACACCCATTTCAGTTGTGCACTTCAGGCCTGGAGAAATGACCACTGGTGGATCTGCAGACCCAGTGGGTCCACTGTGAGCTGGAGTTTACTGGAACTCCATTTATCACCTGGACCTCATAGACCTCCACTCTTAGAAGGGGATATGATGACACCTTGGATCTCTGGCTATCAATGTCATTGCAAATCCTGGGTCCAATTGTCCTCAAAATATCTGGCTATTCCCTTTTTCCCAGTGTACAATCTCATCCAAATAAATTAAGTCCCTTTGGGGAAGGATTTGGGGGAATCCTCACAAATGCATACTTGTCTAGTATTATAGATTCCTTCTTTTCAGGGACTGTCTCTTCAGTCTGTGGGTTTCTGATATTAAAATTGGCTCAGGCTTAGGAATTGAACAAGGGACCTTGAATTTTTATTCAAGCCCACTGGACCTCCATTCTTGCCTTATTTGTCTTGTCCTTTTCTTTTCTTTTCTTTCTTTTTCTCTCTCTCTCTCTTTCTCTTTCTCCCTCCCTCTTTTCTCTCTCCTTTATTTCTTCCTTTCTCTTTCTTTTTTTTTCTTTCTTTCCTCTTTCTCTTTCTTTCTCTTTCTCTTTCTTTCTGTCTCTCTTCCTTCCTTCCTTCCTTCTCACTTTTTTTTTTTAAGAGAGAGGGTCTTGCTTGGTTGCCCAGGCTGGAGTGCTGTGGCATAATCATAACTCACTGAAGCCTTGAACTCCTGGGCTCAGGCAATCCTCCCACCTCAGCCCAGTAGCTAGGATAACAGGTGTGCACCATCAAGCCCAGCTAATTGCCTTATTTTTCATTAAAGATGTCATGCAGCACACTTTCTGGCTGCTTGTCTATCTTTTAGAGATGCCATGTTTCACAAACCACTTCCATAACTCTCTGAGGGTCAAGCCCCATGACTGTCACTCCAGCTTTGCCAGGTTTTACAGTTATTATGGCTTCGTGGTTTTTGGGGCTTGCATGCTGCCCTGGACTCTGTTCCTCAGGGCCCCTTCATCCCCATGGAGGGTAGTGAGGCCCTCTCTGTGACCATCTCTCCTTCAGTTACTTCTGACCTGATGAGCCACTGCTGAATGTCATTCATTCCTGGTGCCCTTGGTGGATGTGTCTTCTGGGCCCTCCATGGAACGTTCTCCTCTGGTGGGTCTCCCTCTAACACTGTGTTGCTTCTCCACCCCAGCACACCTGCTCCGTCAGCCTCATACACCTTCTGCCACCATCCTCCAGGGCAGCTCAAGCATTTGCCACTCTGCTCTGTGTTAACAATTCCGTTGCTTTTCTCCAGGCATCTAAGTACCACCCTGGCCTAGCAGCTGAGTTTTCCTGTCCCTCAGGGTCCTCAATTGGGTGTTAACATCTCATGTTCTAAGAAAGAGTCTCCAAGTTAATCCATTCTTATTTATCCAACCTCCCACTCCAACCCACCTGATCAAACACCCTAAAATCCTATCCCAGAAGCCCTTCCCTCGCTCTGGCTGTCTGTTTCCTACAATTCCTTAGGTGTGGATTCTCTTTTTCTCCCTCATCTGGCCCGGTTCATTTCCAGCCAGGGTGTGCTGGAACTTAACCCAGTTATCAGCCTGGCAGCGGAGATGAGGGTGTTCCTTAGGGGATCACCTAATGCCTCAACAAGGAGAAGTGTTGACAGCACCTTCAAGGCACAACAGACGAGCTGGCAGGGCAGACAACCTCTGCAAGGCCAGGGGGTCCACCGACATCTGTGGAATCAACGTCTTCAACATCCATCTAGATGTTGCCATCCATGCTTCAGAGTCACAGGCTGTCCTAGTCTACACCAGCTGCTGTAACAAAATACCATAGGTGGCAGCTTCAACAGTAGACATTTATTTTCTCACAGTTATGGAGGCTGCAAAGTCTAAGATTAAGGTGTCAGCCAATTCCGTTTCTGGTGAGGGCCCTTGTCCTGGCTTGCAGATGGCTACCTCCTCACCACGTCCTCACATGGCAGAGAGAGAGAAAGAGTCTCATGAGGCCACTCACTCTGCAGTGTTTCCAGTCTTCTCTGACTTGTTATCAGAGAGATAAAAATGTGACATTCAAAAAGAATTAGCCTATAACATTTTTAAATTCTTGGGTGTTAATCTAAATGTCCACTTCTGCCAATAAATGACAGAGATCAACTTCCTTATGCCCGTAGTTCCCACCGTACTGGTAGGTATTCATTATTTGCTCCTAGAGGTTAAAGATAGAACTACCTGCATGCCAAGCGCCATAGCTCACGCCTGTAATTCCAGCACTCTGGGAGGCCAAGGTGGGGTGGATCACTTGAGCCCAGGAGTTCAAGACCAGCCTGGCCAACATAGTGAAACCCTATCTCTACTAAAACTACACAGATTAGCTGGGCATGGTGGCGGGAGCCTGTAATCCCAGCTACTTGGGAGGCTGAGGCAGGAGAATCATTTGAACCCAGGAGGCAGAGGCTGCGGTGAGCCAAGATCATGCTACTGCACTGCAGCCTGGGTGACAGAGCAATACTCCATCTCAAAACAACAACAACAACAACCTGCCATTGATGGCAGGAAATGAGGCTGGGTATGCTAAATGCTGTCTTCGTGTTTTATACCACATCTCTTCCATAATTTTCTTCTGGGAAGCTTACCACCGAAAAGCAGTTGTAATGATTTGCCACTGTCGTTTTTATAACGTTCATGATGCTAAATGCATCTCTGTGAATGTTCAATGGCCAATAAAGGTGCATCCCCACACTACTTCTGAAAGGAAAGGGGTGAGTGGGTGGGATTTCATTCCTTTACCCAGGGGAGAAGCTCAAGTCCACGGTAGCAGAGCAGCCACTGTCTGGGAATGAGCTGCTGCAGGCCAGAGAACCCCTGATCGCCAAAGGTGTTCCCAGGACAGCTCCAGGTCCATCCTGTGGCAACAGATCTTTACCTCTGTCCTCTGCTTTTTCTCTTTTATTTCATATCCTATCCCAGTACCTCCTGATCCTAGTCAAAATCGGTTTCCAGTTATCAGTGGTAGAGTCCCATAAGCTCCTTCTGGCCTAAACTTACATAAAATAAGAATAAAAGGATCGTGATTGTCAAGTCAGCATTTACTTATTGAGCTCCTGCTGCATACCAAGCACGCACTGTTAAGTCCTGGGCTGCGGAGATAATAAGATGCCAGCCCCACTTTCCCAAAGCTCCCAATCAGCTTGTTCGCAGTCCTCATGCTCTCGCTGCCTTCGGAGCGATGGTGTCTAAATTATTCACAGAGGATAACATAGTCTATTTTGGGGTAATTCCTATCACACTTCGTGGTGACTGCTTCCATTTTTAAAATAGCCTCAAGTATGACTATTAATCAGGATATCATTAAAAATAATATGTCAGGGTGACATTCGTTTCCCTTCCACAAGTAATGTCACCAGCACTGAATTCCTGAACAATGGGACACTTAACAGGAGGGACAGGGTTGTGTCTTTTATGTTTTCCTTTCTTTTCTTTTCTTTCTTTCTTTCCTTTCTTTTTTCTTTTCTTTCTTTTCTTTTCTTTTCTTTTCCTTCCTTCCTTCCTTCCTTCCTTCCTTCCTTCCTTCCTTCCTTCCTTCTCTCTCTCTCTCTCTCTCTCTCTCTCTCTCTTTCTCTCTTTCCTCTTTTTTTGAGACAGGGTCTTGTTCTGTCACCCATGCTGGAGGGTAGTGATGTGCTCATAGCTCACTGCAGCCTGGAACTCCTGGGTTCACGCGATCGTCGCACCTCAGACTCCTGAGCAGCTGGGACCACAGGCATACACCAACGCATCTGGCTAATTTTTTGACTTTTTGTGGATATGGGGTCTCACCATATTGCCCAGGCTGCTCTTGAACTCCTGGGCTCAAGTTTTCCTCCAGCCTTGGTCTCCCAAAGTGCTGGGATTACAGGCGCGAGCCACTGCACCCAGCGTTTCTAACACTGAGCAACCAAGACATGCCTGACACTTCATAGGAACTCAGCAAATGTTCACTGAGCTCATTTTAAATTGACTTGGGACCTGATTGTAGATGCATGAGGCTCTTATTTGTGATGTCAAACTCCAAGGTCAGAAATGCTCCCAAAATTTCATGTGTCTTAGAAACCCAATGTTGCATATACATATATGGGCCAGGTACATTTGGGCCAGGTACAGTGGCTCAACATGCATGTAATCCAAACACTTTGGGAGGCCAAGGCAGGAGAATCACTTGAGCCCAGCAGTGTGCTATGATTCCGCCACTGCCCTCTAGCAGCCTAGGTGGCAGAGCTGAGATGCTGTCTTTAATTAATACATATATATATACACACACACACACACACACACACACACACACACACATTGTATAAATCTTCATCCTCTCATTTGTTAGGCTAATACATTTCATAAGTTTATTATTCAGTGTGTGAAAAGGTGCATAGTTTTCATTTGTTTAAAATCTGCCTCTATTAAAGGTCAAGAGCTGACCCCTTTTGAGTTGGGTAAAAGTCAGTGTGGTCGATTTCCACTTTTCTCTAGCACTAACAGTCTAGGCTTATTTGATTTCTTAAATTAGATGTTTGAGATAATTGCAGATCTCAAATCTATCCATTGTGCCCTTCACCCAGTCTCTCACTAATGGTAGCATTTTGTGTAACTATAGTACCCAATGTCACAACTGGGAAATTGACGTTGGTGCAATCCACTGAGCTTTTTCAAATTTCACTTGTTTTACATCAGATTTTCACTAGTTGTGTGTGCGTGTGTGTATTTAGTTCTACATAGTTTTATTGCATGGGTGGGTAAAACTAACACCACAGGCAAGCAATGTAAGAGTGTCATGACCACCATGGTCCCTGGTGCTTCACTTTTAATTTTTTTGGGGGATGGCGTCTCACTTTGTTGCCCAGGGTAGAGTGCAGTGGTGCGATCTCTGCTCACCACAACCTCCGCCTCCCAGGTTCACGCCATTCTCCTGCCTCAGCCTCCCAAGTTGCTGGGACTACAGGCACCAGCCACCATGCCTAGCTAATTTTTTGTATTTTTAGTAGGGACGGGGTTTCACCATGTTAGCCAGGATGGTCTCGATCTCCTGACCCCGTGATCCAGCCGCCTCGGCCTCCCAAAGTGCTGGGATTACAGGCATGAGCCACTGCGCCCGGCCCCCTGGTGCTTCACTTTTGCAGTCATAGCCATCTCCCTTCCTCCCCACCTCCCTAACCCTGGCAATCACTTGTCTATTCTATTCTCCATCTCTGTAATTTGGGTATTTTGTTTTGTTTGGAGATAGGGTCTTGCTCTGTCGCCCAGGCTCTGGAGTGCAGTGGTGCAGTCACGCTCACTGCAGCCTCAATCTCAAGTGAGGTTGCAGATTATCCTCTCACCTCAGAATCCCAGGTAGCTGGGACTACAAGCACACACCACCATACCCAGCTAATTTTTCTATTTTTTATAGACACAAGATTTCTTTCTTTCTTTCTTTCTCTTTTCTTTCTTTTCTTTCTTTCTTTCTTTCTTTCTTTCTTTCTTTCTTTCTTTCTTTCTCTTTCTTTCTTTCCTTCCTTCCTTCCTTCCTCTATCTCTCTTTCTTTCTCTGTCTTTCTTTCTCTCTCTCTCTCTCTCTTTCTTTCTTTCTTTTTTTTGTCAGAGTCTCAGTCTGTCACCCAGGCTGGAGTGCAATGGCACAATATCGGCTCACTGCAACCTCCGCCGCCTGGGTTTAAGCTATTCTCGTGTCTCAGCCTCCTGAGTAGCTGGGATTACAGGTGCACGCCACCATGCCTGGCTAATTTTTGTATTTTTAGAAGCGATGGGGTTTCACCACATTGGCCAGTCTGGTCTTGAACTCCCAACCTCAGGTGATCCACCCACTTCAGCCTCCCGAAGTGTTGGGATTATAGGCGTGAGCTACCACACCCGACCTAAAAATGGGGTTTCACCATGTTGGCCAGGCTGGTCTCAAACTCCTGGATTTAAGCGATCCACATGCCTCGACCTCCCAAAGTGCTGGGATTACAGACATGAGCCACTGCACCTTGCAGTTTCGCTTATAGAATGTTATCTAAGTGGAATCATACAGCATGTAAGCTTTTGAAATTTGCTTTTTTCACCCTACATAATTCCCTTGAGATTCATCCCAAGTACATGCATGCATCTATAGCCATTTGTTTTTCTTGCTGAAGAGTACTCCACAGCATGGCTGTAGCACAGTTTGTATAACCATTCACCTACTGAAGGACATTTTGGTTGTTTCCAGTTTGAGGTTAGGTCTATTTAATTTAATTTAATTTAATTTATTATTATTACTATTATTATTTTATTATTTGAGATGGAGTCTTGTTGTGTCACCCAGGCTGGAGTGCAGTGACGTGATCTTGGCTCACTGTAACTTCCACCTCCCGGGTTCAAGCAGTTCTCCTGCCTCAGCCTCCCAAGTAGCTGGGATTACAGGCACCCGCCACCATGTCCAGCTAATTGTTTTGTATTTTTAGTAGAGATGGGGTTTCACCGTGTTGGCCAGGCTGGTTTGAAACTCCTGATGTCAAGTGATCCACCCTTCTCAGCCTCCCAAACTGCTGATTACAGGCATAAGGCACCACACCTGGCCAGGTCTATTTAATTTTATAAAATAAAATCATTAGGCATATCATCTGTCAATTTTACCGTATTAAAAAGTCCAAATGCTTCCAGTTTCCTTCCAAATCCCTGTCCTTACCTTTTCCTTTAACTTTTAAACTGCCCTGCTCACGTCCTAAGCATATTTTTCTGAGGTTTATTGACCAAAATTCCATAAAATTCAGACTCAAAAATGCAATAATTTTGCCAGATGCAGTGGCTCACACCTGTAATCCCAGCCATAATCCCAGCCCTTAGGGAGGCTGAGGCGGTAAAATAGGGGTTAAAGAAGAGACTGCGCAACATTTCAAGACCCTGTCTCTACAAAAAATTTAAAAAGTAGCCAGGCGTGGTGGTGTGCACCTGTAGTCCCAGTTACTTAGGAGGCTGAAGTGGGAGGATTGCTTGAGCTAAGGAGTTCCAGGCTGTAGTGAGCTATGATCACACCACTGCCCTTCAGCCTGGGTGACAGAACAAGACCCTGTTTCTTTCTTAAAATGCAATACTTTTATATGATAGTATAATAATGTATTATCTTATGTTTCTATTACTTCTCTTGATTGGGCCCAATATATAGCCAACTTTTTTGGCTGCCTAAAGTTGATGAGCTCAGAAAACAGTCTAATATTCCGCACAGACGTATGTTTAGCCCTAGGAGCTATAAGTATAGTCTGGACTATTTTTGTCAACATTCCATGTTGGCCAGGCACCTATACTTCCCAGCTACTCGAGAGGCTGAGGCAGGAGGATCACTTGAGCCCAAGAGTTCATTTAAGGCTCAGTGAGCTATGATCATGCCATCGCACTCCAGCCTGGGTGACATAGTGAGACCCTGTCTCTAAAAAAATAAAAATAAAAATTCCATCTTTCATTGACCTGGGCTGAAACCCACCTACCACTTCTCTGTAGCTCGGAGAATCTGGCAAGAGTTTCATGTATCTTATGACTTTTTGTTTGTATCTCCACTACCTGTCAAGTCCTGTGCTATCTGCAAACCTGGGGACTGTGCCATGCAATCTCCTTCCCTACTCTTACATAAAGGACCAGGGCTTTGGGCCAGCTTTTCTCAATTTCTTGGTCCTGTGTCCATTGCAAATGAGAGTCTTATCTATGACTGCTCTCTGTTCATCAGAAAGAAGGAATTCATTTCACTTTCCAAAACCCTGAACCAGCTCTCTAAGTGCTAGGAAACCAGGACTGTTCCTACTGTAGGCTGAGAAAGAAAGAGACCAGTGAGCCATGCCAGTGGTTCCCACACCTGCCTGCACCTCACACCCAGGCACATTAGAGCTGAGGAAGCCCCAGGGCATGAGTATCTTTAGAAAAACCCAGGGACTCAAATAAATGCTGGTAAACATAGACACTGGAATACTAGGCTACCATCAAAAAGACTGGGGCAGCTGTTATGAATGAAGCTGGTGTAAATCAGTATGCTTCCATTTGTATAGGGGATAATAATGTGTATTTGCCTTTGGTTATAGAAGCATAAAATCTCTGGAAGGATTCACAAGATCCTTGGGATGAGGGTTGCCTCTGAGGGAGTTACAGGAGGCTGGGAGACAGAGGGCAGAGAGCAACTTTTCCTACGGACCTTTTAAAATTAGTTGAATGTTAAATCACGTAAATAGTTTACCTGTGTCAAGGATTAGATCCTTTTGTAGGTCATAAGTGCGATGATTGGGATGTTGTGCTCAAGTGTGAGATGTGCCTGCCTCAAACCTTGTTACAACGTTGGCACATTACCTGTCTGACATGAAAAAAAAAAAAAAAAGGAGACAGGCGTGGTGGCTTTCACCTGTAATCCCAGTACTTTGGCAAGGTCAAGGCAGGAGATCACATGAGGTAAGGAGTTTGATACCAACCTGGCCAACATGATGAAAGCCTGTCTCTACTAAAAATACAAAAATTAGCTGGGCATGGTGGTTTGCTCTTGTAATCCCAGCTACTTGGGAGGCTGAGGCAGGAGAATCACTTGAACCCAGGAGGCAGAGGTTGCAGTGAGCCGATATCTTGCCATTTCACTCCAGCCTGGGTGACAGAGTGTGACTGTGTCTCAAAAAAACAAAAAGAAAGAAAAGAAAATAAATTAAATAACAAAATTAAAACAAAAGTGATTCTAATGCATAGCCACAATTGAGAGCTACTGTGCAACACAGTTGTGAGCCAACAGTGAAAACTACAAGGCCAATTACAAGCTTCAGGGACAATCTACATATCTATCTCTCTTTATTTATTTTGGAACAAGGTGCCTGTGGTCCCAGATACTCAGGAGGCTCAGGTGGGAGGATCGTTTGAGCCTGGGAGTTTGAGGCTGCAGTGAGCTGTGATTGCACCACTGCACTCCAGCCTGGGCAACAGAGTGAGACCCTGTCTCAAAAAAAAAAAAAAAAAGTTGAAAATTCCCTTTTAGGTCCACATCCACTTACCTTTAAAAAATTGAGGGATAATGGGCCAGGTACGGTGTCTCACACCTGTAATCTTAGCACTTTGGGAGACCACAGCAGGCAGGTCACTTGAGGCCAGAAGTTTGAGACCAGCCTGGCCACATGGTGAAACCCCATCTCTACTTAAAAAAAAGTAGCTGGATGTGGTGATGCACGCCTGTAATCCCAGCTATTCGGGAGTCTGAGACAAGAGAATTGCTTGAATCTGGGAGGCAGAGGCTGCAGTGAGCTGAGGTTGCTCTATTGCACTCCAGCCTGGGCAACAGAGCAAGACTCAGAAAAAAAAGGAAAGAAAAGAAAAACTGAGGGATAATGTAAATAGAGAAAAGTGTACAAGTGCACACCTTGACAAATTTGCGTATGTGTACAACTGCAAAATCACCATTCAGATCAAGATATAAACCATTTCCAGCCTGGGCAAATGGTGAAACCTTGTCTCTACTGAAAATACAAAAATTAGCTGGGCATGGTGGTGCGAGCCTGTAATCCCAACTACTCCGGAAGCTGAGGAAGGAGAATCACTTGTACCTGGGAGGCGGAGGTTGCATTACCTGAGATTGCACCACTGCCCTCTAGCCTGGGTGACAGAGCAAGACCCTGACTCAAAAAATACTAATATTAAGCCCCCTTCGGAGGTAAACGCTCTTGTGTCTTCTCTGGCCTCTTCTTAGACTTCATATAAACAGAATGCAGCATGTGCTCTTTTGTGTCTGCTTTCTCGCATGCAGCCCTACGCCTGTGAGAGTGATTCATGCTGTTGCATTCAGCAGCGGGTTGTTGCTGTTTTTGCTGAGTAGTCTTCCATTGTATGAAATTTATTTATTCATTCTTCTGTTGTTGAGCGTTTGGGTTATTTGCCGTTTGGGGCTATTATGCATGAAGCTATATGAACATTCTTAGAGCTGCCTTTCGTAGGCACTCATTTCTCTTGGGTACTCTTAGGTCTTCTTAACGGCGTTCTTCAGTTGTGCAATTAACTGCTCCATGTTTATCTTCCCTGAGGATTTAGAAGTTCCATGATGGTAAGGCAGGATCTGCCCCTGTGCACTGGAGGCAAAAAGACAGATTCTCCATTGCCCTTCACCTTTATCCTGTATTCTAGCCTGGGAGGAGAGGCAGGTGCCTGCAAAAATGGCAGCCATCTTCTGATAACAAGAGCAAAAGCAAAAGAAAGGCAGAGCGGGAAGCTGTGAGGACTCTAGGTCTTTAATGATGACCTAGAGTCATGGACACCAGCTCTGGACTGCCCACCTTCAGATTGGTCTGCAGGAAAAGGGAGAAAAAAAAAATAGAAATAGGTGCATGGAGTAGAGCAGAGAGGAAGGATGGAGAAGGTCCCGATGGGAATGGGTCTGAGTCCCAGCTCATTCCTGAGACCCGGCTGCACCCTACTCCTTCTCTCTTTGCTTAAGCATTACTTGATTTCCATCACTTCACCCGAGGATCCTGCCTGAGTCAGTCCTTTGGCACTGCATTATCACTGATGTTCATAATTTTGTCGATAACTCATGAAGAAAAGGTTAAAAATATGCTTGATCACCTCTAATTTGAAAGAAATAAGTGAGGCATCACAGCGTGGTGGCCATCCCATGGGCTGCAGGGTTGGACAAAATTGAATTCAAATCCCCACTCGGGCACTCGCTCACCCAGCGTATAATTTTGGCCATGTTACATAAGTTCTCTGGGCTTCTATTTTTCTCACTGGCTAAATGGTGAGAATAATACCGGCTTTTTGGGGTTTTTAAGGGCTAAATGCAACAATGTATGTAAAAGCCTGGCAGATCATTAGTATTCAGTAATGATATGAATTATTTTAAAAGGTGAAGTATATATTCATCTATATATATGAAAGATTTACCTGGGAAGTGATTTTTCTATTTAATGGGCTTATCTTTATTTAGAGAGAGAGGGAAAGAATTCCCTTATTTCCTAGTGATGCCATATGGTAGACTATCAATGTACACTAGTCCCAACTTGGAGTATGGCAAACATTATTTTTAAGTATCAATAAACTGCCAGAAAAAAGTTATGTGTTAGCTAAATGATATCCTCAAAGTAAGATTTCTGAAATTTATAGGCACTGTGAAAAGGGATTGGCAGGCCAGGGCTGCTCTGAGCTTCACTTGCCAGAGCTTGGGGACAAATAGGATGTTTCAGAATACCCGATGACTCTACAGACTGCACGCCTCCTGCAGTCGTTGAAGCCCCAGAGGCTTCGTGCAATCTCTGGGCTAGAAAACCACATGCCCAGGTCTGCTCTTCATCATGGATGGCCATAACTTTAAATACACGACGGTAATTTACAATCAAACACATCCAGATGGACGGCTCCCCCAAAGCCAAATCTATACCCAGGACGCAGATTTCTACAGGAAAATGCAGCCAAGCCAGAAAAAAAAACAACTCAGGGAACAAACAGTCCCTACCACTGTAAAGCCATGGTTCCCTCTGCTGCTCCGAATGGAGCACCACATGAAGGAGGTGAGGAGGACAGCTGCCAGGCGTCTGGGAGGACCTACAATCAGATACCAAGGCCCAGGAAATGGGCAAGGGGCATGCATGCGGAAGACAGAAGTGACAGTGGGGAGGGCAGACATACCCCTTTCTAGTCGTCGTTAAAGTATGAGGGCCCAGCCTTGTACACCCCTGAGGCCCCACTGCGTGGAGAGTCCTGCAGCATGGGCCACCGTTCCCTGGGTTAGGCCCAGCACCTCGAGAAGATGGACCACGGAGGATGCCTACTCTCCTGGAAGCCACTGCGGCTCCAGCTTCTCCCAGCATGGCAGACCAAGATCACAACTGGTTAGGTTGCTCCAAAGTGGCCAGCCTGACGGGAACTGCCTTGTGCTAACTAGATTTGTAGGAGGCTTCTTGTTGGCTGAGATGCCTGTGGACTGGTCTTTTTTTTTTGTTTTTATTTGAGACAGTCTCACTCTGTCGCCCAGGCTGGAGTGCAGTGGTGCCATCATAGCTCACTGCAGCCATGACCTCCTGGGTCCAAGCCATCCTACTGGCTCAGCCTCCCGAGTTGCTGGGACTACAGGTATGTGCCATCGTACCCAGCTAATTTTTCTTTTTTTCTTTTTTGTAGAGACAAGGTCTCGCTAAGTTGCCCAGGCTGGTCTCAGAGTCCTGGGCTTAAGCAGCCTTCCCACCTCAGCCTCCCAAATTGCTGGGCTATTAGGTGTGAGCCACTGCAGCTGGCCCGGACTGATCTTGTATTAGAAGAATGCACCCTTTTGCAGGCTGCCCTTGTTTGGTAACATCCCTTCCTCCAAACCTTCACTTCTGTCTTCCACCAGCCTTTATTCACCCCGTGTCCACATTGTCTGGAGCCTTCTCTTAGGGGCTAAACTACTGGTTAAACTGATAATGAATTATGATGGGGAGAGTCAAAAATAGGTTGTTTCTTTCCTAATAGCAATACCAATAGTTACCATTTATTAAGCAATTATGCACAAAGTTGGTAAGTGTTTTACATATATGACCTCATATAATTCTCAATCCTATGCAATGGACAGCAAATTATTATCATCCTGATTTTTATAGATGAAGAAATGGAAGGTGGGCACAGTAGCATGTGCCTGTAATCCCAGCTACTTGGGAGGCTGAGGCACAAGTTTCACTTGAGCCCAGGAGTTCGAGCTGTAATGAGCCATGACTGCACCTGTGAATAACCACTGCACTCCAGCCTGGGCAACACAGCAAGACCCCATCTCTAAAACAAGAAAAGAAATGGAGGCTCGGAGTGATTAAGTAACTTAACTGTCCCAGGTTGGGCTCCTCAGCAAGGAGACTCCAGGGTTAGTATGCAGTGTGTTCCTCAGGGGGTGCCCTTGAGTTGATACCCTTGGAAGGGAGGGGAGCAGGAGTGGGCAGATAAAGAAGTGGAGCTCTGGTGCAACCACTGCCAGCCTCAGCCAGCATGCAGGAAGCTCTGGAGCCTGAATGGCACTTCATGGTTTTCTCGAAGTGGGCCAGGGTGGCCAGGCCTTTATATGCCCTCTCCATCAGTCACTGGACGTGGGACAGCCCTGAAGGGTGTGGCCTTGGGCAAGGTGGCTCTGCGGCTGAGGCAAACCCTGGGGGTGCTGGCAGCTGGAGGTAGTCTGTGACCACACTCCCAGCAGTTGGGGTAACAAGTCCGTCATTGGCATGAGAATTGAATGTGTCTGCAATGGTAAGAAGGTCCCACTTTGAGTGGTAGGGTGGGATGGGGAGAGAAGCCTCTCTGATCCCAGATCCTCCTAATTACCCACCTTTTCATACTGCCTCCCACAACCCTCTAAATTGAATGCTGAATGTTCGCCTCTCAAAAGGTGCTTTTCTTCTATTTGCTTGGCCTACACAGAGGTCCCCTCCTCCCAGGTAGCTGAGACTCTTGGCTACATTCATGATTCTTGCCTAAAGGAGATGGCCTGTGCCCCTCCGTGGAAGAACAGTGGCCTCAGCAGTGAGAACATTCTGAGTCCTTGGCCTGGGGTAAAATCAAATCTGTGTGTCCCTCATAACATGCTCAGTGGTGACGACCACCCCAAGACCAAGCACACATGCCTCAGAACAAAGCCAAGCATTCCAGTAGCCCCACTTCATCCTGCTAACCATGCACACCCTCCATCTACTGTTTCTCTAAAAATTAATTTTTGAGAATTTTTTTTTCAAGATGGGATCTCACTGTGTCGCCCAGGCTGGAGTGCAGTGGCATGATCATAGCTCACTGTGGCCTCAAACTCCTGAGCTCCAGTGATCCTCCTGCCTCAGCCTCCCAAGTCACTGGGACTACAGGCATGCATCACGACACCCAGCTAGTTTTTAAATATTTTATAGAGATGGAGTCCCGCTATGTTGCCCAGGCTGGTCTCAAACTCCTGGTCTCAAGAGATCCTCCCACCTTAGCCTCCCAAAGTGCTGGGATTTCTGGCATAAGTCACGACACTCGGCATTTTGATGTCTTATTTATTTATTTATTTATTTATTTATTTTTTTATTTTTTGAGATGGAGTCTCGCTTTGTTGCCTATGCTGGGTGGAGTGCAGTGGCATGATCTCGGCTCACTGCTACCTCTACCTCCTGGGTCCAAGCAAGTCTCCTGTCTCAATCTCTCGAGTTGCTGGGACTACAGTTGCATGGTACCACGCCCCGTTAATTTTTTTTTTTTTTTTGTATTTTTAGTAGAGATGGGGTTTCACCATATTGGTCAGGCTGGTCTCAAACTCCTGACCTCAGGTGATTACCCGCCTTGGCCTCCCAAAGTGCTGGGATTACAGCTGTGAACCACTGCGCCCGGCCTGAGATCATATTTCATTTGCTCTTTCCTATCAGAGCTCTTAAACAGAGAATGAGTCAAACAATCCAAGAGTCACAGATCAATTTTATAAAAATGACATTTTACCCCTGTAAAAATTTCAAACCATGTATTTTTAAAGTTGCTCACAATGATACCACCCAGAGGTAACCACGGTGAACGTTTTGAGCATTTCCTTCCTGAAAGTTCTGTGCATGTATACAGATTAAACTATGGGTTCTCAGAATAGTCACTGTGTTCCAGCCTGGGCAGCAAAGTAAGACCCCATCTCTAAAAAAAATTAATATTATATAAAATAGGTGTCTTCAATTTTACATAAATGAGGATATGCCAGACATGCTTTGTATGTCATCTGCTTTTTCCCTACCCAATGTGATAGGGGCACATGTCTGTGCCTTCAGACAGTCACGCAGGGGCATCAGAGTAGCTGGAGATCACGCTGGAGATATGGATACAGTTGAGGAGAAGGGGCAGGCTAAGGTGAAGTCTTGGAATCTTATCTTTATAAGTCTTCATAAGAGACAACATTGAAGGACTGCAAAATACAATTTAGTTTTTTAAAGGCTTATTCTGGGCCAGGCACAGTGGCTCATGCCTGTAATCCCAGCACTTTCAGAAGCTGAGGCAAAAAGATCACTTGAGCTCAGGAGCTCAAGACCAGCCTGGATAATATATTGAGACTCCGTCTCTACAAAAAAAATAAAAAGCTAGCTGGGCATGGTGTTGCACACCAGCTACTCAGGAGGCTGAGGCAGGAGGATGGCTTGAGCCCAGGAGGCAGAGGCTGCAGTGAGCCATGATCACACCATTGCACTCCAGCCTAGGAGACAGAGCAAGACCCTGTCTCAAAAGAAAATAGAAAAGAAGCCGGGTGCCATGGCTCACACGTGTAATCCCAGCACTTTGACAGGCTGAGGTGGAAGGATCGCTTGAGCTCAGCAGTTCGAAACCAGTCTGGGCAACATAGCAAAGCTCCATGGAATTGAACAATGAGAACACATGGACACAGGAAGGGGAACATCACACACCGGGGACTGTTGTGGGGAGGGGGGAGGGGGGAGGGATAGCATTAGGAGATATACCTAATGCTAAATGACAAGTTAATGGGTGCAGCACACCAACATGGCACATGTATACACAAGTAACAAACCTGAACGTTGTGCACATGTACCCTAAAACTTGAAGTATAATAAAAAAAAATTTTTTTAAAGAGAAAAGAAAAGGCTTATTTTGACTACTGGTGGTGACATGAGTGTTGTTATTATGTAGTCAAAATCTCTGTCTAAATAACATTTCTTTAAAAAAAAATTTCTATAGGTTTTGGGGGAACAGGTGGTATTCGTTACACGAGTGAGTTCTTTAGTGGTGATTTGTGAGATTTTGGTGCACCCATCACCTGAGCAATATATACTACATCCAGTTTGTAGTCTTTTATCCCTTAACCCCCTCTCACCCTTTCCCCTGGGTCCCCAAAGTCCACTGTACCATTTTCATGCCTTTGCATCCTCATAGCTTAGCTTCCACTTATGAGTGAGAACATACTGTGTTTGGTTTTCCATTTCTGAGTTACTTTACTTAGAATAATGGTCTCCAGTTCCATCCTGGTTGCTGCAAATGCCATTAATTCATTCCTTGTTATAGCTGAGTAGTTTTCCATCATATATATATATGAATGATGTGGTATATATATATTGATGTGGTATATATATATGATGTGGTATATATATATATGATGTGGTATACACTACAATTTCTCTGTCCACTCATGGATTAGCATTTGGGCTGGTTCTATATTTTTGTAACCGTGAATTGTACTGCTATAAGCACGTGTGTCTGAGTATTTTTTCCTATCACGACTTCTTTTCCTCTGGGTAGATCCAGGGATTGACTGGATCAAATGGTAGTTCTATTTTTATAACATTTCAATGTGTTCAACCTCAAACTTGAGAAAGGCAGATATCTGCTGACTCCACTCAGTCCAACCCTACATATAGCCTTCTTTGACTCGAACGTATTGATTATCAGGAAAAAAGTCATCCATTATAAAGTGTTTCCTATCTGTATAAAACATATCCCTCTGCTTCCAGAAATAGTAAATACTCCTGATAGAAGACACAGAGAATTATAAAAGAAAATAAAATGTAACTCACTTGTTATTCTACCACCCAGAGATAACCACTCATCGGGACCACACTGATGTACCTCTTGCCAGTCTTTTTCTCTAGAAATAGTTTTTCCTTGTATAAACAAGGGCAATCATATTGCACAAACTGTTTTACATTTTAATACATCTCGAAGGTCTTTCTAGATCAAATTAAATAATTTCCTACGACGACCTCATTTTCAGCAATCACCTCATATCTATTGTGTGGTACCATAATTTGTTAAAATATTCTCTTATTGGTGTCAATGTAGGTGATTTCAAATTATTTGCTATTTTTTTCAAGTTGTCACTGACTTGAAGTTATTTGCTATTGTAAACCAAACTGTGATGAACATCCTTGTGGGCAGATATATGTGTGCATTGCCATTTTAAGATTCCACAGTCCCTCCGTGTTCTCACTTTGAGAAATTTCATCCTACCTAATATCAAGCATTGCCAAATGCACATGTGGCTCACGTTAAGTACAATTGTTTTTTTGCAAAAAATTAAAATAATTTTTATAATTTGGCTTCTGAAATTCTTTAACTCTGAGGAACACATTTAATTCCGCTACGACTTCTCTGCAATCAGATAGGCATATACCAGAATTCTTGTGAAGTGAGAAAAGCAAACCTATAGATAGCTTTCAACTATACATGTAATGACATTATATGAACACTAAATTTAATCAATCATAAAATTGATAGAAATTTACACTTTATATATATTTGTTCACTTAGTTCACATGTTCATGTAGTTCAAACATATGTTTATTTCAATTTTTTCCATCTTAGAGTCATACGTTCTTTTTTCTAGACCTCAGATATTTTTTGTAGGCTCCTTAAAAGCTCATAGGCCTCAAGGCAATGCAACTATAGATCCTAACAAAGTGACACTGCTAGTATTCCTAAAAGGGACCAAGGATATAGAAAGATTTTAAAATAGAGCAACGAGTGAAACAATCAACAAAGTGAAGGGACAACCCACAGAATGGGAGAAAATATTTGCAAACTACACATCTGACAAAGGATTAATGACAGCACATATAAGGAGCTCAAACAACTCTATAGAAAAAGAAATGTAACAATCTGATTTTAAAATGGGCAAAAGACGTGAATAGACATTTTTCAAAAGAAGACATAGTAAACAGGTATATAAAATATGCTCGACATCATTGAGCATCAGAGAAATGCAAATCAAAACCACAATGGGATATCATCTCATTCCAGTTAAAATTGCTTTTATCCGAAAGTCAGGCAATAACAGGCTGGGCACTGTGGCTCACGCCTGTGATCCCAGCACTTTGGGAGGCCGAGGCAGGTGGAACATCTGAGGTCCAGAGTTCAAGACCAGCCTGGCCAACATGGTGAAACCCCAGCTCTACTAAAAATACAAAAAAATTAGCCGGGTGTGGTGGCATACACATGTAATCCCAACTGCTCTGGAGGCTGAGGCAGGAGAATCGATTGAACCCGGGAGGCGGAGGTTGCAGTGAGCCGAGATCGCGCCACTGCACTCCAGCCTGGGTGACGGCGGTGGCTCACGCCCCCAATCCCAGCACTTTGGGAGGCCGAGGCGGGCGGATCACAAGGTTAGGAGATCGAGACCATCCTGACTAACACGGTGAAACCCCGTCTGTACTAAAAATACAAAAAAATTAGCCGGGCGTAGTGGCGGGCACCTGTAGTCCCAGCTACTTGGGAGGCTGAGGCAGGAGAATGGCATGAACCTGGGAGGTGGAGCTTGCAGTGAGCCAAGATCACGCCACTGCACTACAGCCTGGGCGACAGAGTGAGACTCCGTCTCAAAAAAATAAATAATAAAATAAAAAAATGTCAGGCAATAACAAATGCTGGCAGGGATGTGGAGAAAACAGAGCCCTTGTACACCGTTGGTGGGAATGTAAATTAGTACAACTGCTATGAAGAACAGTTGGAGGCTCCTCAAAAAACTAAAAATAGAATTACCATATGATCCAGCAATACAACTGCTGGATATAAACCGCGAAGAAAGGAAATCAGTACATCAAAGAGATATCTGCAGTCCCAGGTTTACTGAGGCACTGTTCACAATAGCCAAGATTTGGAAGCAACCCAACTGTTCATCAACAGAAAAATGGATAAAGAAAATATGGTGCTTACACACAATGGAGTACTACTCAGCCATAAAAAAGAACATGATCCTGTCGTTTGCCACAACATGGATGGAACTGGAGGTTATTATGCTGAGTAAAATAAGTAAGGCACAGAAAGACAAGTGTTGTATTTTCTCACTTATTTGTGGGAACTAAAAATTAAAATGATTGAACTCATGGAGATAGTGGAATGATGGCTACTGGAGGCTGTGAAGGTTAGTGGGGGGTGGGGGGAAGTGGGGATAGTTAATCGGTACAAAAGTAGCTAGAAAGAATTCTAAGACCTAGTATTTTGTAGTACAACAGGCTGACTGTAGTCAATAATTTAATTGTACATTTAAAAATAACAAAGTATAATTGGATAGTTTGGAACACAAATGATAAATGCTTGAGGTGATGGATACCCCATTTACCCTAATGTGATTATGCAGCTTTGCATCCTTGTATCAAAACATCTCATGTAACCTGTAAATATAGATGCACCTCCTATGTACCCACAGAAATGAAAAATTAAATAAATACAGCATGAGCCCTTCCACTCTTGATAAACTCGAAACTGCTTCTCCCTCCCTGCCTCTCGTCCTGCCACCCTCTTCCCTAAGTGTAACGTTGACTACCTGAAGTCAGCGGGTGTCCCAGCAGAAACGAGAAAGAAAGACACCTTGCTTCTCAGGAGTTGATGTCACACAACAGCCTGCTTTCTGGTTTTGGTTCAGAGGGCATGTGGGCCAACCCATACATTGGCATATGAACTCATTCTTGCCGAATGGGTCTGTTGAGATGGACATACTAATCGATTTGCCTGGACACATGCAGCAGGGATCTGATGGTGATGGTAGTGGAGGCACAGGCCACCTGAGAAGACTTGCCTCTGGGCCCCAGACCCCTCTCTCCTCCCAGCCTTGCCTTTCTACATCCAAGGAAGCTCATTTTCCTCTCCTGTTCCTACAAGGCCAAGGCATCTTCATGCAGAAGGCATCTCTGGCACAGGAGACCGAAGGAAGGAACCCATCTTCTTCCCGCCATCTGGGATTAGGCAGGCATTAGCAGCAGCTCCGGCTACTCTACGGCAGGATTTCTCAAACCGTCTCCAGATGTCAAGTGAAGGAATGAATTGCAGCTCATCAATAAATGCTTTCTCTTTGAAGAGGCGTTCTAGGAAGAGGAAACGGTCACTGCCAGCCCTAGTTCTTCCCTTCTCACTCATTTCTTTTCCAATCCCCTTTATTCCTTCTTTTGGATTTTTCTTTGAAAGCCTCAGACGCCCTTCTCTTCCCGGAATGCGTCTCTGCATCTCACACACAACGTAGCTTTGGCTTTAGCCCCGTAACTCTGCAATCAAACATGTTCGGCTTCTTCTTAGGCCTTCACTCCAGCTTTGTTTTCTCTACAAAACATTTCCCTCATTATTCTCTGACTTTATCAACAATGCATTTACTTCTTGTTTATTTCAGAGACAAGGTCTTGCTCTGTCACCCAGGCTGGAGAGCAGTGGAGAAATCTTAGCTCACTAGCCTCAAACTTCTGAGCTTAAGCAATCCTCAGTCTCCTGAGTAACTAGAACTACAGGCACACGCTCCCATGCCCAGCTGAATTTTTTTTTTTTTTTTTTTTTTTTTTTTGGTAGAGATGGGATCTTGGTTTGTTTCCCAGGCTGGTCTTGAACTCCTGGCTTCTAGTGATGCTCGCACCTCAGCCTTCCCAAGTAATGGGATTACAGGTGTGAACCACCACACTTGGCCCGTTTTCTTCTTATTGCAATTTTTTTTTTTTTTTGAGGCGGAGTCTCACTTTGTTGCCCAGGCTGTAGGGCAATTGCACGATCTTAGCTCATTGCAACCTCTGCCTCCTGGGTTCAAGCGATTCTCCTGCCTCAGCCTCCCGAGTAGCTGGGATTACAGGTGCCTGCCACCATGCCCAGCTAATTTTTGTATTTTTAGTAGAGAGGGGGTTTCACCCTGTTGGCCAGGTTGGTCTCATTAAAAAAGTAAATATTTTTATTTATGTGAATGGCTTGCTATTTATATCTAATGACCATGTAGCACAGTAACAAACACATGTGTCACTATTGCAGATGTTATTACCAAACTCTGCATGTACATAGACAGTCCTCACAGCTCAAGCAGCAGGGCTGCCTCCTCACAACTTAAAATGGCCTGGAGGAGCTTTGCTGATCAACACCTGAACTCCTTTCCCCATGATTTTTTTTTTTTTTTTTTTGAGACAGGGTCTTACTCTGTCACCCTGGCTGGAGTGCAGTGGCATGATCATAGCTCACTGCAGCCTTGAACTCTTGAGCTCAAAGGATCTGCCCGCCTCAGCTTCTCAAGTAGCTGATACCGCACGCGTGTACCACCACTCTCAGCTAATGTTTTTAGTTTTAATTTTTGTAAAGACAGAGGTATCCCTATGTTGCTCCGGCTGGAGTTCAAAACTCAAAGCGATCCTTCCACCTAGGCTCCCTAAAGCACTGGGATTATGGGCATGAGCCACCGTGCCCGGTCCCTCCCCCATGATTTTTATAAAATAATACTAACAGTCACAGATCACATTTGGTGAGCACTGCTACATGCCAAACGCTGTGCTAAGTCTCTACATTCCTTACATCATTTACGTGTCATAAAGCCTGTGCTATCCTCATCCCCATTTTACAGATGAAGAAAGAGTGGTGGAAGCAGTGAGGTCACCTGCTCATGATCACGCAGCCATTGAGTGGCAGAGCCAGGCAGTGCAACCGTCGATCAGGGAAGGCGCTGGGTGCTGCTCTTCAACACATTGCAGCGGAGAGGTTGAGTGGTTGTTGGCAAAAGGGCAGGTTTTAGTGAATTGAAGTGTCAGCTTAGACTAATGACAGGTAAAAGCCAATATCATTTTTCTCACCAACCAGATTTAAGCCTCTCTGGGGGTGGGGACCTTCATATGCCTGTTGCATCTGAACACTGCATAACAGTTTCTGCTGTTCTGAAAATAATACCAAATTCAGTTGATGTTCCTAACTCAATCACATAGAAATAGCTCTCTCCTTCACCTGCCCACAGCCCACTAATCACCTATCTTGAGTCGATTCTACTATAGAAAAGGTTTTTCAGTCCATCCCATTGCCAATGACCTGGGTCAGCTCCTGGTCATCTCTGCCTGGTTTAGGACAGCACCCCTCTTTCTGCCTAGGAACTTTGAGAAATTTTTCCAAAACCCAAGTCTTCTGTGACCCCGCCACACAGCATTAGTCTCTCTCTCTCAGTGGGGCTTTTTCCACTGTGCTATAATTATCTATAAATGGTCTTCAGTGAGACTGAGTTCTTCCAGCAAAGGTGCATGTCTCTTTTATACTTTTTCTTCCCTTGTGTCTGCCACAGAATGTGGAACACAACAAATTTCAGTAGGCGTTTGCTAAATTAATCATCTCCAAAAATCTTTATTAAAATGTTTTAAAGTAAAAATTACGTATTTAAAAAGGAAAATGTAATATATTCAAACAATATAGACATTTCAAAATAAAGATAAATCTTCCTCCCTCCCCACTCCCAGTTCCCCCCTCAAAGATTATCTGCATGTATGTTTTTTAATTTACCAAAAAAAAAAACACAACTCCTTAGAATTCCTCTGTGGAGACATCTATAGCTTGCTTTTGTTGTATGTATCTAGCAGATATTCCCCCATGGAGTTTGTCCCACTCATTTCTGTCACCCAGGCTGAAGTGCAGTGACACGAGCATAGCTCACTGCAGCTTCCGTCTCCTGGTCTCAAGTGATCCTCCCACCTCATTCTCCTGAGTGGCTGGAAATACAGGCAGGGACCACCACTTCTGGCTTTTTTTTTTTTTTTTTTCTTGTTTTTTTTTTAGAGATAGGGTCTCTCTATGTAGCCCAAGCTGGTCTTGAACTCCTAGCCTCAAGCGATCCTCCTTACTCAGCTTCCCAAAGTGCTGGGATGACAGGCATGAGCCACCATGCCTGGCCTCATCTCACTCTTTTAAGCAGCTACATAGATTCCACTGTCTGTACATTTACTCAAGCAGTCACCTGTTGATGACCATCTGGGTATTTTTCAGTGATTTGCAATAGTAATGTTACAATGAACATATCTTGAAGTCCTTTTTTAAATTATGTTTTTTAATTGACAAATAACAATTACATATTTATGGGGTGCATAGTGATATTTTGATACATATAATGTATAGTGATCAAATGAGGGTAATTAGCATATCCATTATTTCAAACATTTATCATTCTCTTTTGTTGGGAACATCAATATCCCCCTTCTAGCTATTTGAAACCATATAATAATTATTGAGTTTTGTAAACTTTTAGGTTCAGGGATATATGTGCAGGTTTTTGTTTTCAGTAAACTTGGGTCACAGGGATTTGTTTTACAGATTATTTTGTCACCCAGCTACTAGGAATAATATTATTATATACACTCATCTTACAGTGGTGAGGTCCTCTTTTTAAGTTTTTTTTAAATCATTTTTAATGTAAAACAAATTTGTTAATGATTTTATATACTCATTTACAAAATTCAAAATTCAAATATCTAAGAGATTATAAAGCAAAAAGTCTCCCCTTCTTCCTCTGTAATCCCCATTGCATCCCTCCTAGACAGCCCCCAGCCACCATTTTCCCCTCCATGGGGGAAATTTATGTTACTTGTTTCTTATCTATGGCTACATTGGTACTTTTAGGTGAATATCCAAGGGCTGAATTCCTGGTACTCAAATTGCTGAGTCAAAGAGTATGTGTGTGTTTTTTTAAAGTTGATATTGGATACTTGTTCTTCCAAAAGGTCGTACGGATGTAATTAGTGATTACTAAATATTAATTAAGTAATTAGGAATTAATAAATAGCTATTTATGTTTCTACTAGTAGCAAACAATATTTATTTGCCCACACACTCACCGACACTGGCTCTTTTCAAACTCGTAAATATTTGCCAATATAATAGGTGATGAATGGTTTGGCTCTGCATCCCCACCCAAATCTCATGTTGAATTGTAATCCCCAATGTTGGGGGAAGGATGTGTTGGGAAGTGATTGGATCATGGGGACAGATTTCTCCCCTGCTATTCTCATGACAATGAGTGAATTCTCACAAGATCTGGTTTTTTAAAAGCGTGGAGCATGTCCCCCTTCACTCTCTCCTCTGGCCATATGATGATGTGCCTGCTTCCCGTTTGCCTTCCACCATGTTGTAAGTTTCCTGAGGCCTCTCCAGCCATGCTTCCTGAACAACCTGCAGAACCATGAGCCACTTCACCTTCTTTTCTTTTTAAATTACCCAGTCTCAGGTAGTTATTTTTAGCTATGTGAGAATGGACAATACAGGTGATAAAGAACATCTTATTGCTTTGATCTACAGTTCTGCATTTTGAGTATGAAGGTAACCAACTTTTCATATGCTTGTTGGTGTCTGGATTTCTTTTTCTGTGATCTGCCTATCCAGTCCCTTTGCTCATTTTTCTTTGGGGTTGTTTATATTTTTCTTATTGATTTGTAAATTTTCCTAAGTTAATATCTGCAAATATTTTTCCTGAGAATATACTTATTGTTAAAGCCACATAATTCAAAATTTGAAGCTTCTGGTCACGATTGTCACTTTGTCTTCCCAGTCAGAGTATCAATTCTTTGAAAACAGGGACCCAGAAACTACTCTAGTCTTAAGTTGCATGGTAAATACTGGTTGATGAGCCTTGTCCTTCATCCTGGGCACCTGCCGTGGAATGCGATCCTCTGGGGAAGAGTTGTATCTTCCCTAGTTACAGAAGAAGATGAGATTTGCCTTCCTGGGTCAGACCCTCCATCGATCCAGTCTTGCTTTCTATCTGACAGCAGCAACAGGAAACATGTTGAAGAGAATCCAATTACCCTCTTCGACATCCACTTCAAAAGGTTAGGAATTTATCGTACGTATCACTGTTTGAGATCTATCTTCCATCAATTCCTCCAAACCCTTCTTGAACCTACTTACATTTCAGCATACAGTCCCACTGAGGGCACTAGAGGTAATGAGTTCTTTTGTTTATAATGCAACATGTCAATTTCTGGGTCAGTAGGACAATATTATATATGAACATATAGAATTCTTTCCAATTCGATTCAAACATCTACGAATAATATATTTAAAATAATTTTAAAATATTAATACGTTTTCTTTATTAATTCCAAACATTTTTCAGACTTTTCTTTGAGCTTTTTTATTGTGTATTACTACATATTTTAAAAAGACCAAAAAATATAAATATACAGTTTAATGAGTAATTTTAAAGGGAACAGCTGTGTACTCATACTGGGTCAAGGAAAGTCCTTGCCAAGGTCCCAAAACCCCTTAAGTGTCCCCTCCCCACAGAGGGTGAGTAAACACTATTCTGACTTTTTAGATAATTACTTTCTTTGTATTTCTTTATCTTTTACCATCTATGGATAGCCCCCCTAAATTCTGTGTTTTAGTTTCTGCTTTTTAGTTTCAGGTTTTTGAACTTTATGTAAATGAATTAATACTGTCTATATTTCTGGTGTCATGTTTCTTTCCTTCAACATTAAGTTTTTAGGCTTCATCCACATTTGGTGAGAATAGTTTTAGTTCATTCATTTTCTTCTCTCAAAAGTCTTCCATGATATTGCCATACTACAATTTAATTGCACACTCTGATGATGGACATTTGGGTTGTTTCCATTTTGGAGTCATTGCAATTAATGCTGCTATTCTCCTAAATGTATCCTGCTACACATGTGTACAAGTTTCCCAAGGGGATATATTCAGGAATAAAATTGCTGAGTCATAGAGATACTATGTAGTCTTCAACTACTAGATATTGGCAAACATCTTTCCAAAGTGGTTATGCTAATTTTCATTCCCATCAACATCACTTGAGAGTTTCCACTGCTCCATACCCTTCTTTTTTTCAGTACAGAGAGTCCTGTACCATACCCATCTTATTGAGATATGATTCACATATCATACAATTCACACTTTCAACTTATGCAAACCTGTGGTTTTTAGTATTTTCACAAAGTGCACTTCTAGGACCACAATTAATTGTAGAACATTTTAATTACCACAAAAACAAAACACAAAACCTATGCCCCTTAGACACCACTGCTGAAACACCTCATCCCACTGACCCTAGTCCTAGGCAGCAACTACTTTCTGTCTCTACAGATGTGCCTGTTCTGGGCATTTTATATAAATAAAATCATACAATATGCAGTCTTTTGTAACTGTTTTCTTTTTCACTTAGCACAGTGTTTTCAAGATTCATGCGTGTTGTAGTATGTATCAATATAGACATTCCCCAACTTAAAATGGCTCAACTAACAATTTTTTTGACTTCATGATGGTGCAAAAACAACACGCATTCAGTAGGAACTGTGCTTCAAGAACCCATCCAACCATTCCGGTTTTCCCTTTCATTATAGTATTCAATAAATTATATGATATATTCAACACTTTATTATAAAATAGGCTTTGTGTTAGCTGATTTTGCCCAACTGTAGGCTAATTTAAGTGTTCTGAACACGTTTAATGTAGGCTAGGCTGAGCTATGTTGTTTGGTAGATTAGGTGTATTCAATGCATTTTTCGACTTTCGACGTTTTCAACTTACAATGGTTTATTGGGATGTAACCTCAGTGTGAGTTGAGGAGCACAATACTTCATCTTATTGGCAAATATCTCATTCTATGGACATATCACATTTTATTTGTCCCTTCATCAGTTGATGGATAGACATTGGAGTTTTCCCTCTTTTTGACTTTTATGAACATGCTGCTAGGAATGATCATGTACAAGTTTTTGTGTGGACATGTTCTTACTTCTCTTGAGGATCTACCTAGGAGTGGAGTTGTTGGATAATATGGAAACTCTATGTTTAACACTTTGAAGAACTGCCAGACTATTTTCCAAAGCAGCTGCATCATTGTACATTCTCACCAGAAGAGTATCATGGTTTTGATTTCTCCAAATCCTCACCAACACTTGTTTTTTGGGTTTTTTATTTATTTTTTATTTTTGGGGGTTTTTTGTTTGTTTTTGTTTTTTTTGGTTTTTGTTTTGTTTTGTTTTTTTGAGACAGAGTTTTGCTCTGTTGCCCAGGCTGGAGTGCAGTGGCATGATCTCAGCTCAGTTCAACCTCTGCCTCCCAGGTTCAAGTGATTCTCCTGCCTCAGCCTCCCGAGTAGCTGCTACTAGAGGTGTGTGCTACCACGCCTGGCTAATTTTTTTTTTTTTTAGTAGAGACGGGATTTTGCCATGTTGGCCAGGCTGATCTCTAACTCCTGAGCTCAGGCAATCCACTCGCTTCACACTCCCAAAGTGCTAGTGAGAGGTGACAGCGTGCTGGCAGTCGTCACAGCCCTCGCTTGCTCTCGGCGCCTCCTCTGCCTGGGCTTCCACTTTGGCAGCACTTGAGGAGCACTTCAGCCCACCGCTGCACTGTGGGAGCCCCTTTCTGGGCTGGCCAAGGCCGGAGCCGCCTCCCTCAGCTTGCGGGGAGGTGTGGAGGGAGAGGCGCGGGCGGGAACCTGGGCTGCGCAAGGTGTTTGCGGGCCAGTGCGAGTTCCGGGTGGGCGTGGGCTGGGCAGTCCCCGCACTTGGAGCCACCGGCCGGCCGCGCTGGCCCCGGGCAGTGAGGGGCTTAGCACCTGGGCCAGCAGCTGCTGTGCTCAATTTTTCGCAGGGCCTTAGCTGCCTTCCTGCAGGGCAGGGCTCGGGACGTGCAGCCTGCCATGCCTGAGCCTCCCCCACCCTCGTGGGCTCCTGCTTGGCCCAAGCCTCCCCGACGAGCGCCGCTCCCTGCTCCGTGGCACCCAGTCCCATCGACCACCCAAGCGCTGAGGAGTGCAGGCGCAGGGCGCGGGACTGGCAGGCAGCTCCATCTGCGGCCCTGGTGCGGGATCCACTGGGTGAAGCCAGCTGGGCTCCTGAGTCTGGTGGGGACGTGGAGAACCTTTAGGTCTAGCTCAGGGATTGTAAATACACCAATCAGCACCCTGTGTCTAGCTCAGGGTTTGTGAATGCACCAATCTACACTCTGTATCTAGTTACTCTGGTGGGGACTTGGAGAACCTTTGTGTGGACACTCTGTATCTAGCTAATCTAGTGGGGAGGTGGAGAACCTTTGTGTCTAGCTCAGGGATTATAAACGCACCAATCAGCGCCCTGTCAAAACAGATCACTCCGCTCTCTGTAAAATGGACCAATCAGCAGGATGTGGGTAGGGCCAGATAAGAGAATAAAAGCAGGCTGCCCGAGCCAGCAGTGGCAACCCGCTTGGGTCCCCTTCCACAATGTGGAAGCTTTGTTCTTTGGCTCTTTGCAATAAATCTTGCTGCTGCTCACTCTTTGGGTCCACACTGCCTTTATGAGCTGTAACACTCACCGAGAAGGTCTGCAGCTTCACTCCTGAAGCCAGCGAGACCATGAACCCACCGGGAGGAAAGAACAACTCCAGATGCACTGCCTTAAGAGCTATAACACTCATCACGAGGGTCCGCGGCTTCATTCTTGAAGTCAGTGAGACCAAGAACCCACCAATTCCGGGCACACTAGGATTACAAATGTGAGCCACTGTACCCAGTCAACACTTGTTACTATCTGTTTTTTTTAATTAGTTTTTTGTTGTTTTTATAATAGCCATTCTAGTGGTGTGAATTGGTATATCCCACTAGATACCAATAGTTTCGACTTTCTTTTCTCTGATGGCCAATAATGTTGACCATCTTTACATGTGCTTATTCATCGTTTGTGTTTCTTCTTTGGAGAAATGTCAGATCCTTTGGCCACTTTTTAATTGGGTTATTACCTTTTTATTATTGAGTTGTAAAAGTTCTTTATACTAGATACAAATTTCTTATCAGACATGATTTGCAAAAATTTTCTCCCATGCTGTAGAGTGTCTTTTCACTCTCTTGGTCGTGTCCTTTGAGGCACAAAAATTTAAACTTCTGGTGATGTCCAGTTTATCTATATTTTTCTTTTATTGCTTATGCTTTTGGTGTCATGTCTAAGAAACCATTGCCTAATCTAAGGACATGCAAGTTTATACCTGTGTTTTCTTCTGAGAGTTTTATAGTTTTAGCTCTTTAATTTAGGTTTTTAATCAATCTTTTAGTTAATTTTTGCATATGGTGTGAGATATGCATCCAGCTTTATTCCATGTAAATTTCTATTTGCATGTGGATATTCATTTGCATGTGGATAATCCATGTGACCCAATACCACTGGTTGAAATGATAGTTCTTTCTCCCACTGAATTGTCTTGGCACTCTAGTAAAAAAATCAATTAACTGTATACATGCCAGGACCTATTTCTGGAATTTCAGTTCTATTCCGTTGATCTATGTGTCTATTCTTACACCCGTTCCACACTGTCTTGATTTTCATATTTTTGTAGTTCTTTGAAATTAAGAAATGTGAACCTGGTCTTTTTTCTCAAAATTGTTTTGTCTATTCTGAGTCCCTTGCATTTCCATATGAATTTTTGGATCAGCTTGTCAATTTCTGTAAAGAAGGCAGCTGGGATTTTGATAGTGATTGCATTAAACATCCATATCAATTTGGGGAGTATTGCCACTTTAACAATATTACATCTTTCCATTCATGAATATAGGATGTCTTTCCATTTATTTAGCTCTTCTTTCACATTTTTCAATAATGTTTTGTAATTTTCATTTTATAAGTTTTGCGCTTCTTTTGTTAATTTATTCCTGAGCATTTGATATGGTTTGGATCTGTATGCCTACCCAAATCTCATGTTGAATTGTAATTCCCAGTGTTGGAGGTGGGGTCTGGTTAGGAGGTGATTGTATTAAAGGGGTAGTTTTCTCATAAATGGTTTAGCACCATCACCTTAGTGCTGTTCTCGTGATAGTGAGTCCTTGGGAGATCTAGTCGTTTAAAAGTGTGTAGCACCTCCCACCTCACTCGTTCTTGTTTCTACTCTGACCATGAGATGCCTCACTCCCCCTTTGCCTTCCGCCATGATTGAAAGTTTCCTGAGGCCTCTCTAGAAGCTGATGCTGCCATGCTTCCTGTACATCCAGTAGAACTATGAGCCAATTAAACCTCTTCGTTTTGAATTACCCAGTCTCAGGTATTTCTTCATAGCAGTTGGGAATGGACAAATATAGTATTTTATTCTTTTTGGTGCTGTTCTAAATAAAACTACTCTCTTAATTTCATTTTTAGTTTGCTCATTGCTACTGTACAAAAATACAATTGATTCCATCAGGACTTGGTGAAATGAAAAAGATAGGAAACCATAGAAATACAATGAAATATTGTTTATATTCATCTTGTATTCTGAAACTTGCAAGACTCACTTGTTAGTTCTAAGAGATTTTTAGTGGATTTTCTTGTATTTTCTGTATACCAGCTCATGTCATCTGCAAACAGAGATAGTTTTACTTCTTCTTTTCCAATCTGTATCCATTTTTATTTCATTTTCTTACCTAATTGCCCTCACTAGAACCTCTAAAACAATGTTCAATAGAAGTGGCAAGAGCAGATGTCAGTATCTTGTTCTTAATCTTTAAATTCAGACTTTTACCTTTAAGTATGATGTTACTTGTTGGTTTCCCTAGATGTTCTTTATCAGGGTGAGGAATTTCCCTTCTATTCCTGGATTGTTGGGTGGTTTTTTTTCATGACAGGGTGTTGGATTTTGTGAAATGCTTTTTCTGCAACTATTGAGATGATCATCTGGTTTTTTTGTCCTTCATTCTATTTATGAGTATATTATGTTAATCGATTTAGGTATGTTAAACACACTTGCATTCCTGGGATCGTCATAGTGTATATTCTTTCTATATATTGCCAGATTCTGTTTGCTAGTATTTTGCTGAGGATTTTTTTAATTGTACATTAAGTTCTGGGGTATATGTGCAGAATGTGCAGTTTTGTTACATAGGTATACACGTGCCATGGTGGTTTGCTGCACCCATCAACCTGTCGTCTACATTAGGTGTTTCTCCTAATGCTATCCCTCCCCTAGCCCCTCAACCCTGAACAGGCCACTGATGTGTGATGTTCCCCTCCCTGTGTCCATGTCTTCTCATTGTTCAACTCCCACTTATGACTGATAACATGTGGTGTTCGGTTTTCCGTTCTTGTGTTAGTTTGCTGAGAATGGTGGTTTCCAGCTTCATCCATGTCACTGCAAGGGACATGAACTCATCTTTTTTTATGGCTGCATAGTTTTCCATGGTGTATATGTGCCACGTTTTCTTTGTCCAGTCTATTATTGATGGGCATTTGGGTTGGTTCCAAGTCTTTGCTATTTTTAACAGTGCCACAATAAACATACATTTGCATGTGCCCCTCTAATAGAATGATTTATAATCCTTTGGGTATATACCCAGTAATGGGATTACTGGGTCAAATGTTATTTCTTGTTCTAGATCCTTGAGGAATCGCCACACTGTGTTCCACAACAGTTGAACCAATTTACACTCCCACCAACAGTGTAAAAGCGTTCTTATTTCTCCACATCCTCTCCAGCAGCTGTTGTTTCCTGACTTTTTAATCATCACCATTCTAACTGGTGTGAGATGGTATTTCATTGTGGTTTTGATTTGCATTTCTCTAATGACCAGTGATGATGAGCTTTTTTTTATGTTTGTTGGCTGCATCAATGTCTTCTTTTGAGAAGTGTCTGTTCATATCCTTTGCCCACTTTTTGATGGGGTTCTTTTTTTTTTCATGTGAATTTGTTTTAGTTCTTTGTAGATTCTGGATATTAGCCCTTTGTCAGATGTACAGATTGCAAAAAATTTTCCCCCATTCTGTAGGTTGCCTGTTCACTCTGATGATAGTTTCTTTTGCTGTGCAGAAGTTCTTTAGTTTAACTGGATCCCAGTTGTCAATTTTGGCTTTTGTTGCCTTTGCTTTTGGTGTTTTAGTCATGAAGTCTTTGCCCAGGCCTAGATCCTGAATGGTATCGCCTAGGTTTTCTTCTAGGGTTTTTATGGTTTTAGGTCTTAGGTTTAAGTGTTTAATCCATCTTGAGTTAATTTTTGTGTAACGTTTAAGGAACAAATCCAGTTTCAGATTTCTGCATATGGCTAGCCAGTTTTCCCAACACTATTTATCAAATAGGGGATTCTTTCCCCATGGCTTCTTTTTGTCAGGTTTGTCAAAGATCAGATGGTTTTAGATGTGTGGTGTTATTTAAGAGGTCTCTGTTCTGTTTCATTGGTCTATATATCTGTTTTGGTACCAGTACCATGTTGTTTTGGTTACTGTAGCCTTGTAGTATAGTTTGAAGTCAGGTAGTGTGATGCTTCCAGCTTCGTTCTTTTTGCTTAGGATTGTCTTGGCTATGTGGGCTCTTTTGTGGTTCCATATGAAGTTTAAAGTAGTTTTTCCAATTTTGTGAAGAAAGGCAGGGGTAGCTTGATGGGGATAGCATTGAATCTATAAATTACTTTGGGCAGTATGGCCATTTTCACGGTATTGATTCTTCCTCTCCATGAGCATGGAATGTTTTTCAATTTATTTGTGTCCTCTCTTATTTCCTTGAACAGTGGTTTGCACTTCTCCTTGAAGAGGTGCTTCTCGTCCCTTGTAAGTTGGATTCCTAGGTATTTTATTCTCTTAGTAGCACTTGTGAATGGGAGTTCACTCATGATTTGGCTTTCTGTTTGTCTGTTTCTGGTGTATAGGTATGTGATTTTTGCACATTGATTTTGTATCCTGAGACTTTGCTGAAGTTGCTTATCAGCTTAAGGAGATTTGGGGCAGAGACAATGGGATTTTCTCAATATACAGTGATGTCATCTGCAAATAGGGACAATTTGACTTCCTTTTTTCCTATTTGAATACCCTTTATTTTTTCTCTTGCCTTATTGTCCTGGCCAGAACTTCCAATACTATGTTGAATAGGAGTGGTGAGAGAGGGTATCCTTGTCTTATGCTGGTTTTCAAAGGAAATGCTTCCAGCTTTTGCCCAGTCAGTAGGATATTGGCTGTGGGTTTGTCATAAATAGCTATTATTATTTCAACACACGTTCCATCGATACCTAGTTTATTGAGAGTTTTTAGGTTAAAATGGTGTGGAGTTTTGTCGAAGGCCTTTTCTGTATCTACTGAGATAATCATGTGGTTTTTGTCATTGGTTCTGTTTATGTGATGAATTATGTTTATTGATTTGCATATGTTGAACCAGCCTTGCATCCCAGGGATGAAGCCAAGTTGATCTTGGTGGATAAGCTTTTTGATGTGCTGCTGGATTCGGTTTGCCAGTATTTTATTGAGGATTTTTGTATTGATGTTCATCAAGGATATTGGCCTGAAATTTTGTCTTTTGGTTGTGTCTCTGCCAGGTTTTGGTATCAGGATGATGCTGGCCTCATAAAATGAGTTACAGAGGATTCCCTCTTTTTCTATTGTTTGGAATAGTTTCAGAAGAAATGGTACCAGCTCTTCTTTGTACCTCTTTTAGAATTCTGCTGTGAATCATTCTGGTCTTGGACTTTTCTTGGTTGGTAAGCTATTAATTATTGCCTCAATTTCAGAACCTGTTATTGGTCTATTCAGGGAATCAACTTCTTCCTGGTTTAGGCTTGGACGGGTGTATGTCTCCAGAAATTTATCCATTTTCTTCTATATTTTCTACTTTATTTGTGTAGAGGTGTTGATGGTATTCTCTGATGGTAGTTTGTATTTCTGTGGTATCAATGGTGATATCCCTTTTATCATTTTTTATTGCCTCTATTTGATTCTTCTCTCTTTTCTTCTATATTAGTTTGGCTAGTGGTCTATTTTGTTGATCTTTTCAAAAAACCAGCTCCTGGATTCATTGATTTTTTTGAAGGGTTTTTTGTGTCTCTATCTCCTTCAGTTCTGCTCTCTTCTTAGTTTTTTTCTTGTCTTTTGCCAGCTTTTGAATGTGTTTGTTCTTGGTTCTCTAGTACTTCTAATTGTGATGTTAGGGTGTTGATTTTAGATCTTTCCTGCTTTCTCTTGTGGGCATTTAGTGCTATAAATTTCCCACTACATACTGCTTTGAATGTGTCCCAGAGATACTGGTACGTTGTGTCTTTGTGCTCATTGGTTTCAAAGAACATCTTTATTTCTGCATCAATTTCGTTATTTACCCAGTAGTCATTCAGGAGCAGGTTATTCAGTTCCCATGTAGTTGTGCGGTTTTCAGTGAGTTTCTTAATCCTGATTTCTAATTTGATTGCCCTGTGGTATGAAAGACTGTTTGTTATGATTTCCATTCTTTTGCATTTGCTGAGGAGTGTTTTACTTCCAATTATGTGGTCAATTTTAGAATAAGTACGATGTGGTGCTGAGCGGAATATTCTGTTGATTTTGGATGGAGAGTTCTGTAGATGTTTATGAGGTCCGCTTGGTCCAGAGCTGAGTTCAAGTCCTGAATATCCTTGTTAATTTTCTGTCTCATTGATCTGTCTAATATTAACAGTGGGGTGTTAAAGTCTCCCAATAATATTGTGTGGGAGTGTAAGTTTCTTTGTAGGTCTCTAAGAACTTGCTTTATGAATCTGGGTGCTTCTGTATTGGCTGCACATATATTTAGGATAGTTAGCTCTTCTTGTTGCATTGATCTCTTTACCATTATGTAATGCCCTCTTTGTCTCTTTTAATCTTTGTTGGTTTAAAGTCTCTTTTATCCAAGATTAAAACTGCAACTCCTGCTCTTTTTTGCTTTGCATTTGCCTGGTAAATATTCCTCCATCCCTTTATTTTGAGCCTATGTGTGTCTGCACATGAAATGGGTCTCCTGAATACAGCACACTGATGGGTCTTGACTCGTTGTCCAGTTTGCCAATCTGTGTCTTTTAATTGGGGCAATCAGCCCATTTACATTTAAGTTTAACATTGTTATGTATGAATTCGATCTTGTCATTATGATGCTAGCTGGTTATTTTGCTCATTTGTTTATGTAGTTTCTTCATAGTATCTATGTTCTTTACAATTTGGCATGTTTTTGCAGTGGCTGGTACCAGTTGTTCCTTTCCATGCTTAGTGCTTCCTTCAGGAGCTCTTGTAAGGCAGGCCTGGTGCTGACAAACTCTCTCAGCAGTTGCTTGCCTATAAAGGATTTTATTTCTCCTTCACTTATGAAGCTTAGTTTGGCTGGATATGAAATTCTGAGTTGAAAATTCTTTTCTTTAAGAATGTTGAATATTGACCCCCACTCGCTTCTGGCTTGTAGGGTTTTGCTGAGAGATCCACTGTTAGTCTGACGGGCTTCCCATTGCGGGTAACCCAACCTTTCTCTCTGGCTACGCTTAACATTTTTTCCTTCATTTCAACCTTGGTGAATCTAACAATTATGTGTCTTGGGGTTGCTCTTCTCAAGGAGTATCTTTTTGGTGTTCTCTGTATTTCCTGAATTTGAATGTTGGCCTGTCTTGCTAGGTTGGTGAAATTCTCCTGGATTGTATCCTGAAGAGTGTTTTCCAACTTGGTTTCATTCTCCGTGTCACTTTCATGTACACTAATCAAATGTAAGTTTGGTCTTTTCACGTAGTGTCATATTTCTTGGATGCTTTGTTCGTTCCTTTTCATTCTTTTTTCTCTAATCTTGTCTTCATGCTTTATTTCATTAAGTTGATCTTCGATGTCTGATATCCTTTCTTCCACTTGATAGATTCAGCTATTGATACTTGCATATGCTTCACGGAGTTCTTGTCCTGTGTTTCCAGCTCCATCATGTCACTTACGTTCTTCTCTAAACTGATTATTCTAGTTAGCAATTTGTCTAACCTGTTTTCAAGGTTCTTAGCTTCCTTGCATTGGGTTAGAACATGCTCTCTTAGCTTGGAGGAGTTTGTTGTCACCCACCTTCTGAAGCCTACTTCTGTGAATTCGTCAAACTCATTCTCCGTCCAGTTTTGTTCCCTTGCTGGCGAGGAGTTGTGATCCTTTGTGGGAGAAGTGGCGTTGTGGTTTTTGGAATTTTCAGGCTTTTTGTGCTGGTTTCTCCACATCTTTGTGGATTTATCTACCTTTGGTCTTTGAAGTTGGTGACCTTTGGATGTGGTCTCTGAGTGGACGTGCTATTCATTTCTGTTTTTTAGTTTTCCTTCTAACAGTCAGGTCCCTCTGCTGCACATCTGCTGGAGGTCCACTCCAGACCTTTTGCCTGGCTATTACCACGGAGGCTGCAGAACAGCAAATATTACTGCCTATTATTTCCTCTGGAATCTTCATCCCAGAGGGGCACCTGCCAGATGCCAGCCAGAGTTCTGCTGTATGAGGTGTCTTTTGGCCTCTACTGAGAGGTGTCTCCCAGTCAGTGTATACGGCTGTCAGGGACCTACTTGAGGAAGCAGTCTGACCCTTAGCAGAGCTCGAATGCTGTGCTTGGTGATTTGCTGCTCTCTTCAGAGCTGCTAGGCAGGGACGTTTAAATCTGCTGAAGCTGCGCCCACAGCCGCCCCTTCCCCCAGGTGCTCTGTCCAGGGAGATGGGGGTTTTATCTGTGAGTCTCTGACTAGGGCTGCTGCCTTTTTTTTTCCAGAGATGCCCTGCCCAGCGAGGAGAAATCTAGAAAGGCAGTCTGGCCACAGTGGCCTTGCTGAGCTACGGTGGGCTCCATCCCATTTGAACATTCTGGTGGCTTTGTTTACACTGTGAGGGTAAAACCACCTACTCAAGCCTCAGCAATGGCAGATGCCCCTCCCCCCCCACCAAGCTCCAGCATCCCAGGTCGATCTCAGACTGCTGCTGTGCTGGCAGTGAGAATTTCAAGCCAGTGGATCTTTGTTTGCTGGGTTCTGTCGGGGTGGGACCCGTCGAGCCAGACCACTTGGCTCCCTGGCTTCAGCCCTCTTTTCAGGGGAGTAAACGGTTCTGTCTCGCTGGCATTCCAGGTGCCAGTCGGGTATGGAAAAAGAACTCCAGCAGCTAACTCAATGTCTGCCCAAACGGCCGCCCAGTTTTGTGCTTGAAACCCAGGGCCCTGGTGGCTTAGGCACTGGAGGGAATCTCCTGGTTTGCATGTTGCAAAGACCATGAGAAGAGCGCAGTATCTGGGCTGGAGGGCACGGTTCCTCAGGCTCAGTCCCTCCCGGCTTCCCTTGGGTAGGGGAGAAAATTCCCCAACCCCTTGCATTTTCTGGGTGAAGCAACGCCCCACTCTGCTTCGGCTCGCCCTCTGTGGGGTGCATCCACTGTCCAACCAGTCCCAGTGAGGTGAACCGGGTACTTCAGTTGGAAATGCAGAAATCACCAACCTTCTGCGTCGATTTTGCTGGGAGCTGCAGACCAGAGCTGTACCTATTTGGCCATCTTGCCAGCAATCCCCTCTGCTTTTTAATATAAATTTTATGTTTAACTTTTCTGTCTACAAAAACTCCTGCTGAGATTTTGGTTGGGATTGTATCAAATTCACAGATTAAATTGGTGAAATTTGGTGTTTTAATGAAATTAAGACTTCCAGTTGATGAATAGGGCATATGTATTTAGGTCTTTTTTGACTTTTTAAATTTTGTTGTGTCTAATATAAATATAGCTACACTGAAGCTGAGTGTGGTGGCACATGCCCACAGTCCCAGCTACTGGGGAGGCTAAGGCAAGAGGATTCCTTGAGCCCAGGAGTTTGAGGTGAGCCTCGGCAATATAGCAAGACATCTATCTCTAAAACATAAACTATAGCTACCCTGGCTTTCTTTTTTATTAATACTTTCATGGTATATCTTTCCCTATCTATGGCCCTCATTGATGTCCACATTCTAATTCCTCAGAACCTGTCAAATATGTTATGTAGCCAAGGGTAATTAAGGTTGCAGATATGTGCTGATCACCTAACCTTAAAATAGGGAAAGTGTCCTGAATTAGCCAATTGGGCCCAATATAATCATCATTGTCCTTAAAAGTGAAAGAAAGAGGCAGAAGTAGTGACTGGGTCAGAATGATGCAATGTGAGAAAGACTTGGCTCAATATTGCTGGTTTTGAAGATGGAGGAGGAAGGCCATGAGCCAGGGAATGTAGGCAACTTCTAGAAGATTCCAGAAGCAGGAAAAGACCCCAAAATAGATTTCTTTTTATTTTTTTAAGACAGGGTCTCACTCTGTTGCCCAGGCTAGAGTACAGTGTCACAATCTCAGCTCACTGCAGCCTCTACCTCTCAGGCTCAAGCAGTCCTCCCACCTCAGCTTCCTGAGTAGCTGGGACTACAGGTACATGCCACTGAACCCATCTAATTTTGTTTATTTTATGTAGAGATAGGGCTTCCCTATGTTGCCCAGGCTGGTCTTGAACTCTTGGGCTACAGTAATCCTCCTGCCTTGGCCTCTCAAAATGTTGGCATTACAGGCATGAGCCACCACACCTGGCCAAAAATGTTTTTGTATCTAAAACCTGCAAGAAGAATACAGCCCTGAAAACATATTGATTTTAGCTCAATAAAACCTTGTTTGTATCACATAAGCCACTAAGTTTGTGATAAATTGTTACAGCAGAAATAGAAAGCTAATACACTATCCTCTTACTCATACTTTGATTATTTTATGCTCAAAACATCTCTTATTAAATAGCACATGATTTCGTTTTCCTTCTTTTTTAATAATCTGAGGATCTTTGTTAACTGGAGCATGTGATTCACTTATATCTAATGCAGTTGCTAATAGATTTAGTTTAAATCTAGCATCTTGTTTTGTGCTTTCTTTTTTGTTTTGTTTTGGGTTTTGTTATTAGTAGAGATAGGGTTTCATCATGTTGGCCAGGCTGGTCTCAAGCTACTGGCCTCAAGTTATCCGCCTGCCTCAGTCTCCCAAAGTGCTGGGATTACGGGCATGAACCATCATGCTCAGCCTTATTTTGTGCTTTCTAATTGTCCTGTGTGTTCTGTTTTCCCCCTTCTTGCTACTTAATTATGTTTTATTATTCTGTTTTTCCTACTCCTGATTTATAAGTTACATATTCTATTTCCACTATGTTACTGGATACCTAGAAATTAAAACATGCATAATTAACATATCAGATTCTAAAGTTAGTCAATATTTTACTCTTTTCTTGGACAATTAAAAATCTTTAGAACACTTACATTTCATTTCTCCCTCTCCAACATATTTGCTGGCATTGTCATGTATTTTAATTTTATTTTAAACCTCGCAAGGTATTATTATTGTTTTATCTAACCAATGTTAATATAGATTTTATCTAGATATTTACCACTTTTTTTTTTTAAGATGGAGTTTTGCTCTTGTCACCCAGGCTGGAGTGCAGCGGTGCAATCTCGGCTTACTGCAACATTTGTCTCCTGGGCTCAAGCAATTCTCCTGCCTGAGCCTCCCGAGTAGCTGTGATTACAGGTGCCCACCACCACATGCAGCTAATTTTTGTATTTTTAGTAGAGATGAGGTTTCATCACGTTGGCCAGGCTGGTCTCGAACTCCTGACCTCAGGTGATCCACCTACAACTGTCTCCCAAAGTGCTGGGATTACAGGCTTGAGCCACCATGCCCAGCCAATGTTTACCACTTTTTGTTCTATATTCATTTCTTCCATTTAGTATCATATGATTTCTGTTTGAAATATATCCTTTAGAATTTGCCTCATTGAGAATTTGATAATGAAAAACCCTTCATTTTGTCTGTATGAAAAATATGTCTATTTCAAAATCATTCCTGAAATAGCTCTTTCTGGTATATAAAGTAGTAGTTATTTTCTTTTAATGCATTGACAATGCCATTCCATTGTCTTTGGTTTCCCATTGTTGCCATTGAGAAGTCAGCAGTTGGTCTCACTGCTGCTCCTTTGAAGATGTCTTTTTCCTCTGGTTGTTTTGTTTTGTTGTTTTGTTTTTGACACAGGGTCTCGCTCTGTCACCGAGGCCAGAGTGCAGTGGTACAATCACAGCTCACTGTAGCCTCAAACTCCTGGACCCAACAATCCTCCCACCTCAGCCTCCCAAGTAGCTAGGGCTGCAGGTGTGCACCATGATGCCCAGCTAATTATTATCCTTTTTTTTTTTTTTCAGAGATGGAGTATCAGTACGTTGCCCAGGCTCCTCTGAAACTCCTGGCGTCAGGCAATCCTCTTGCCTCAGCTTCTCAAAGTGCTGGGATTACAAACATGAGCCACCATGCCCAGCCTTTTCTGGGCATGGTTGTTTCTAAGATCTCCATTGTTTTGATCTTTTAAGCTTTACTGTAATCTCAGTGTAAATTTTTTTGTATTGAACCAGTTTGCGATTCACAGCAAATCTGTGGTTTGCTCTCTCAGCACTTCTAAAAAATTATTCACCTTTCTCTGTTCATACGTTGCTGCTGCCCCATTCCCCCCTACTTATAGAACATCAATAAAATATATGTTAGACTTTTTCTCTCTGCCTATTAATCATTTTTCTATGTATTTGATCTTTTGTTTCTCTGCGCTACTTTCTGGAAAATTTTTTGTGCCTATTTTCAAGGTGATTAATTATCTCCTCAGCTATGTCTAACATGATTGTGAACCAATCTGGTGAACTTTTAATTTCAGGATTGTGTGTTCTATTTCTAGAAGCTATATTTGTTTTTTCTATTATATTTGCTTTTTGTTGTTGTTTACTTCTATTTCCCCGTAGATGCATCCAAGCTTATGTTTTGTTCATTTAAATATAGTAAGAATGACAGTTGTTTAATTGTGTTCAACTGTTTCAATTCTTATTGGAATTTTAATATTCCAATGACATCTTTGTGGACTTTGTTCTGTTGTTTTTCTGGTTCTTAGTTATGTTTTGTTCTCCTTTTGCATTTATTATTTTTGTGTACTGCTATTATACTAACAATAATTATTGTCAGGCATGATACTTACACCTGTAATCCCAGCACTTTGGGAGGCTGAAGTGGGTGAATCACTTGTGCTCAGGAGTTCAAGACCAGCCTGACCAACATGGTGAAACTCCATCTCTACTAAAAATACAAAAAATTAGCCAAGCATGGTAGCAGGCCCCTGTAATCCCAGCTACTTGGGAGGATGAGGCAGGAGAATCACTTGAACCCAGGAGACAAATGTTGCAGTGAGCCGAGATTGTGCCACTGCACTCCAGCCTGGGAAACAAAGTGAGACTCTATCTCAAAAAAAAAAATTATTTATAGGAAGCACTTAGACATTGGGTGAAGCTTCTTTTCCCCAGAGAGGATTTGCACATGCTCCTGCCTGCAGTAGAAGCACTACCCATCTAGGAACTGCTTGAGGTTTCCTGAACAAACCAGATATGAAAACCTGAGGGCTAGTTCACCCTTATGCTGAAGATACAGGCCTTTGGATTTCTGATAATATTCATCATTCAAACTATGCTTTCTTGGGAGCTTCTTTTCTTAAAGTACCATAAATCATACAATATTCCACGTGGAAAAATTCATGACTTTAACAAAGGATAAGACAATGATGTCTGGGTTCTTTCTTTTCAATAATATTCCCTATGAGATTAAGAAGATTGCAGCCTCTTTAAGCCAAAACAATATGCTATTTCAGTTTCCTTGAGAAATAGTTTATAAAACAAAAACAGTGTACAATTCAGGAGATATTTATTAAGTGTCTGCCACAGACCAGGTGCTATGGTGCTAGGAATACCATGGTGAGAATTACAGAAACCAGCCTTCCAATGACTACTGAACTTCTTTCCTGCATATAATTGGTGGCTTAAAGATTATCTTATTATTTTGATTTGGAACTGTAAGGGTAAAATAAATAAATCATCACATTTTCATTATTTTCCATTTGCTACTATTCCTCAGGGAGCTCAAAGCCTATTTGGGGAGAAAACATAAAACAGCATGGATAATTCAATTATCCACTCTTGTATATGGAAGGCCTCCTACACGGAGGATACGGGAAGTAATGATCACATGGCTGTGAGGTAAAATGTACCCAGTAATCTACATGTATTTCCTACCTCAAGTCTATGAGGTAGGCATTATTATCCCCATTTTACAATGAAAGAAACAAGTACATGGACATTCACTTTCCTGAAGTCACACAGCATGATAGGCAGCTTCTTAATAGCTCCCAAAGACCCCTTGCCTCCTAGTATTCCTACCACACACTTCCTTGTATTATCACCTCTCCTTTAGTGGCTGAAATTAGTAACTCACTTCTAATCAATACAACATGGCACAAGTGATGGGCCGTCACTTATTAGCTCCCAAGAGTGTGTAACTTCCATCTCCTCTTCTCTCTTTCTCCCCAGCTCTTCTTACTTGCTTATTCTGATGAAGCACACTGCCTTGTTATGAACTGCCCTATGGAGAAGCCCATGTACAAGAAACTGAAACCAGCCTGGCACGATGGCTGCTTCCTGTACTCCCAGCAGTTTTGGAGGCTGAGGTGAGCAGACTGCTTGAGTCCAAGAGTTCAAGACCAGCCTGGGTGACATGGTGAAACCCCATCTCTACAAAAACTACAAAAATCAGCTGGGTGTGGTGGTTTGCACCTGTAGTCCCAACTACTCAGAAGGCTGAGGTGGGAAGATTGCTTGAGCCTGGGAGGCAGCGGTTGCAGTGAGCTGAGATTGTACCATTGTACTCCAGCCTGGGTGACAGAGTGAGACCCTGAAAAAAAAAAAAAAGAAGGAAAGAAAGAAAAGAGAAGAGAAGAGAAACTGAAACCCTCAACTGAACAGTCCATAAGGAAATGAAGCCTGCTAGTAGCCACAAGAGTAAGCATTAAAATGAATCCTGCTCCCAGTCAGGCCTTCAGGTGAGACCACAGCCCCAACTGACACCTCGATTGCACCCACGTAAGAGGCTCTGAGACAGGAGACCCAGGTAAGCCACAGCCAGATTCCTGACCCACAGATGGGGTGGGATAATAAATGTTGTTGTTTTAAGCCACTAAGCATTATGGCAATGTGTTACACAACAATTGATAACTAATACATGCCTAATATGGGCCAATCTGATATCTTACAGGCCTGAAACCACACTGTCTTCCCGGGCATTGCTATGCACTAACAACCAAATTTTCAGGGGTGGGGCCTTTGAATAGAAATTTCAGTAAGAGTCCAGACAACATAAATCATACAAAAGTAAAGCTAAATTTGTCTTTAAAGGTCACTTAATTAGACTCTCTCACTTTACATTTGAGAAAAATGAGGGCCAGGAGGGGTGGCTCATACCTGTAGCCTCAGCAGGTGGGAGGCTGAGGCAGGAGGCTTGCTTGATCCCAGGAGGTTGAGACGAGCCTGGGCAACACAACAAGACCTCATCTCTACTAAAAAGAAAAAAAAAGTTAGCCAGGCATGGTGGTGTGTGCCTGTAATCCCAACTACTGGTGAGGCTGAGGCAGGACAATCGCTTGAGCCCAGGAATTCAAGGTTGCAGTGAGCAGTGACCATGCCACTGCATTCCAGCCTGGTCAACAGAGTGAGAACCTGTCTTAAAAAAAAAAAAAAGGAACAAGAAAAAAGAAAACTGAGGAACTGATAGACTTTCCTAGTGCCCTATGGTCATTTGAGCAGGGCCAGGACTAGAACCTTGTTTGTTTTCCCATCCAAAATTCTTTACGCTGTTTCTTCCTGGCTTTCCTTGGTGCTTAAAGAGGAAAAATACCCTCACTAATGTGTTTTGCATAAATGGCATGCGTGTGTGTGTGTGTGTGTGTGTGTGTGTGTGTGTGTGTGTGTGTGTTTTCGCAATGAATACTTGCTGCTGGGTTAGAAGACCAAGGACAATTTGCCCTAGCTGGTCACAATGAAGAGAAATTTCTCAATGTTCCCTCATTCCCTTTGTTCTCCACCTCCTGCCCCAGCAGCAAGAAACAAACACTGAACAGAATTAGTAAGAGCTCTGGATAATGGGTTACCTGGGTGCTTCATGAAGAGAAAGCAGAGGTGCCAGGAGACAGGCCAGACATATGCAAAACGGAGGAAGCTAGTTAGGTTAGCTATATTTGATAATTTATCAGCCAAAGAATTGCAGATTTGTGCCTCCTTGTCTTAGTCCATTTTATGTTGCTATAAAGGAATACCTAAGACTGGGTAATTTATAAAGAAGAGATATTTAATTTGGTTCATGGTTCTGCAGGCTGTGCAAGGAGCGTGGTGCTAGCATCTGCTTTTGGTGAGGGCCTCTGGCTGCCTCCACTCAGGGCAGAGGTGAAAGGGAGCTGGTGTGTACAGAGACCACATGGAAAGAAAGGAAGCAAGGTGGGGGTGGAGGTGCCAGGCTCGTTCTGACAATCAGCCCTCCAGAACTAACAGAGTAAGAGCTCGTTTTAACCCCCTGCCCAGGGCATTAATCTATTCATAAGGTATCTGCCCCATGACCAAACATCTGCCACTAGGCCCACCTCCAATGGTGGGGGCCAAATTTCAACATGAGATCTGGAGGGTCAGATACCCAAACTGTAGCACTCCCAAAATGTGGAAGGTACAGGAGAGATTTTCAGGATCCTGAGGGATCCGCAAAAGCAGAAAACAGAGCAATCTTTCTAGAGTGCATTTTTCAATAGTATTCTCCCTAAGCAACTTCTCTGCAGTGCTGTAGTGCTATATATGTCCACTAGAGGTCAGCACCTACTTCCGTGTAGAGCTGTATTGCTACACATGTCCACTAGAGGTCAGCACCTACTTCTGTGTAGAGCTGTATTGCTACACATGTCCACTAGAGGTCAGCACCTACTTCTATCTAAAGCAGGGGTTCCACCTGTTTCATCTAAAGATGAAAGATAAAACAAAAAATAAAGCTCCTCCGCCTGGAGATATGTTGTCTGCCAAACAAACTGAATTTATTAAGAAACAGTCAACTTAGGTTTCCAATTTTTCTTTATAAAAGACACTCATAATAGTAGCCGTTAGAGTTTTCTGAGTACCCTGAGATAATCCGTGTTGTAAAATTCCAGCATGACCACCACCACCACTACCCCAATTTTTTTTCTAGTTAGACTTTTCACCAGAAATGTATCCACTGGAGATTTGAAATGCTGAAAGTTAAAAAGAAAGATGGGAAGAAGGGAGGGAGGGAGGGAACAAAGCAAAAAAGAGATAAAGGAAAAAAAGAAAAGACGAAGGGAACTCTCTCCTCAAGAAAAGATACTTCCATTTTCCTTCTCAGTGACAGACAGACATGCGCCATTGGCTGGAGCTTCCTAATCTGTCCTTGGGTGAGGGGAGGACTGAATGCATTGAAGGAATCTGCTAGCTCGAGTAAGCTCCTAATCGCATTTGCTTGGCCAGTGACGAATGCTTTAGAGTTAGTGTGGTCGTGTTTGAAATCCACTTAATTTCATTGTCTACCTGCATGTGCGTGCTACAGGGTGTGGGGAGACGGTATCAGGCCAATTCAAGGCAATTTGAGGGAACTTAATCATCTTGACCGGGTTGTCATCTGTCCGAAGTCAGGGACTCTGTGGTATGTATCATTTTTCTCTCTGATGTCACTACAGGGTTTGGGACACAGTATGAATGGGTTAATGACAATGCATTAAAACGCAAAACGTGTTCATAAGCCACCTAATGAATAAAGAGCACCCATTTTCCGGAGTCTAGAACTCTTGAGGTACATGCAGAAACAGGCAAGGCACTGTATATCCGTGATTTACATGTGTATGGTCCGTATTTAATGCTCAGGTTAAGACTTGAACAGCTGACAAGGCTGGACGCAGTGGCTCACGCCTGTAATCCCAACACTTTGGGAGGCTCTGTTGGGAGGACCGCTTGAGCCCAGGAAGTCAAGGCCGCAGTGAGCCATGACCGTAGCCACTGCATTCCAGCCTGGGTGACAAAGCAAGACCCGTCTCTTAGAAATAAATATAATGGATGATTGGATGCAGAAAAATAAATGAACAAGCATATATATATTTTAAAACAAATATGTATAAACATATATAAAAACAAATATATATAAAAACATATAAAAACATTAAAACATAAAATATATAAAAATATATTTATTAACACATATATAAACACATATATTAAAACATATATATATATATATATATATATAAAACAGCTGACAAAACCGAGAAGTTTCGGGAAGCAATCTTGTTCATATTTTACCCGCATCACCACCCTCTGAGGTCCGCGGCTGGAGCGCATTGACAGTAGTAAAAATATTGGTCACAAGGTGGCGCTGTTGCCTTAGCGTAAAGCCTTTCCCCTCCCTCAGTACCAGCTTTAGTTCCAATTCATGAGGCCAAAAGGTCCACAGATTGGTTTACATTAATAAATCTAAGAAGGGCGAAGAGGGGGTTGACAGAAAGATAAAACCACAGCCAGTCTCTTCACCTTTGGGTTAATTTGAGACTCAATTTGATTTTCTCAGAGGAGGAAGAGAGAGAGCTTCACAGAAACTCATTTCCTATTTTTGACAGGCGTGCCCGGCTGGAAAGTTAAGTGTGCTTTGTCGGGGCTGGATTCTTTCTCTGTCCGTCTCTATCCTATTGGATCATCAGTGAGACATGGCCATGGTCTTACTCCTGGTAGAAGGGAGAGGAGGGCTGAATGTGTATATAAAGTGGCTTGGAGAGAGTGCCGCTCGGAGGGCGGAGGCCAGAGGTGACTTAAAAAGCCCTTTTGAGTTTACAATGTTTTCAAATAAAACAAAGCAGGAAAGGTTATCAGATATTCTTGATCAAGATTCAGGCAAAACCTAAATAGGCAGCAGCAATTGGCTAGATCCGTAGACGAAGGTGTATCCGGATCCCATTAAATGAATGGCCCCAATTGGGCTGAATGGCCCGACCCACCACCCTGTGCACACCTGGCCTCTTTTGTATCTGCTCTGGGACATGCTTTATGTCACCCTCACAACAGCCCAGGGAAGAGGCTGTGAGCCCCATTGTTAAGGATGAGGAAAACAAATTAATGATCTTGTCTGAGGGTACATAGCTAGGAAGAGGCGGCTCTGGGATTTGAACTCCTCTTCTCTGAGAGGATGCGTCATCTGCCTTGCCCGTGCAGCCTCCCCTGCAGGCTTCAGCAGAGCGGGTGGGGCCGATGACTGCTGTACTGGAAGGGTGGCTCTTGCTGAGACCCTGTGAGGTGGCTTCACAATTGCATGGTTGTGGGTGGGGTTATTATTACTTACTGTGACTCTCAAGCAGTGTAACATAGTGGTTAAAAGCTCTGACTCTGGGCCAGGTGTGGTGACTCACTTCTGTAATCACAACACTTTGGGAGGCGGAGGCAGGAGGATCACTTGAGGCTAGGAGGTAAAAATCCACCAGGACAAGGTAGTGAGACCTCATCTGTACGAAAACTAGAAAACCTGGCCAGGCACGGTGGCTCACGCCTGTAATCCCTGCGCTTTGGGAGGCCCAGGTGGGTGGATCACCTGAGGTCATGACTTCAAGGCCAACCTGGCCAATATGGCAAAACCCCATCTCTATTAAAAAAAAAACAAAACAAAAATTAGCCAGGCATGGTGGCGGGTGCCTGTAATCCCAGCTACTCAGGAGGCTGAGGCAGGGAAAATTGCTTGAACCTGGGAGGTGGAGGTTGCAGTGAGCCGAGATGGTGCCACTGCACTCTAGCCGGGATGACAGAGCAAGACAGTCTCAAAAAAAAAAAAAACAAAAAAAACGTAGCCGGGCCATGGTGCTGCATGCCTGTAGTCCCAGCCATTCAGGAGGCTAAAGCAGGAGGGCCAGTTGAGCCTGGGAGGTGGAGGCTACAGTGAGCTGTGATTGCACCACTGCCGTCCAGCCTGGGCAAGACAGCGAGATCCTGCCACAAAAAGAGAGAAAAAAAAAAAAAAAGCTTGGACTCTGGCCCCAGGCTGCCTGATTTGAGTCTCAGCTCTGTCACTTACTAGCTGTATATAACCTGGGCAACTCGCTTACCCACTCTGTGCCTCAGTTTCCTCATCTGTACATCAGGAATAATAGCTCCCATCATAGGGTTGTTGTGAGAATTATGTGAATGATATACATGTAAAGCACTTTATATCATACTTGGCACATTATGAAAACTATTTTTGTTATTGTTTGCAAAAAAAAAAACCTGTATTGTTTGCTGTTATTGCGATTCGATGAATGACAGTCATCAAATTCTTAGCAAAAGTGAAGTCAGAGAAAGCTTTAAATCAGCCAAATATTTTTTTAATCTCTCTAGTTTTCTCTGCACAAACCAAGACTCCTCTACTCATCCTATGAACAGTCAGCCTAGGCTTTTTTTTTTTTCTTTCTTTCTTTTGTTGAGACAAGGTCTTGCTCTGTTGCCCAGGATAGAGTAGAGTGGAACAATCACGGGTCACTGCAGCCTCAACCCACCACCTCAACCCCAGGTCTCAAGCTGTCCTCCTACCTCAGCCACCCCAGTAGCTGGGACTATAGGCAAGCACCACCGCATGTAGTGCTTTTTTTTTTTCTTTTTCTTTTTCTTTTTTGTAGAGATGGGTTCTCACTAGGTTGCCCAGGCTGGTCTTGAACTCCTGGGCTCAGGTGATCTACCTGCCTCAGCCTCCCCAAGTGCTGGGATTACAGGCGTGAGCCACAGCTCCCGGGCCAGCATATGCTTTGATAAGGCTTTAGTGAAGATCATTCAACTAAACCACTGAGACAGCACATACCTTGAGCGCCTACTGTATGCCAGACCCTGGCTAGCTATGAGATTCATAGATGAAGCCCTGCTCCCTCCACCCTGCGGGCTCTCCCCATTCTGCAAGAGAGGCAGGCCAGTCACAAACAAGGAGAACAGTGAGTTAAGGGGACCCAGGCACTGTGAGGGCAAGAGGAGGTGCACCCCATTCTGCCCCAAACAACAGGGAGTGTCCCTAGAGCAGGTAACTGATCCAATACCCGTGAGGCAGGACCTGCAGCAGGAAGCGAACTCCAGAGACTTGCAGGACTTTTGGTCTTGGGCTGCAGCATGCAGGGGCTGGCAAACATGTTCTGAAAAGGACGAGCTCATCAGTATTTTAGGCTTTGCAGACCCCGCAGTCCCAAATGAATCAGCGTCGGCTAGGGGCGAATGACACTTTATTTACAAAAGCATGCGGAGGGCGGAACTCCGTCCGTGGGTCGGAGCTGATCCCTATTGCAGGGTTGGCCGACCCCTCCACAGATCAGTGGCATCCAGTCCTGGGGACGGCAGGAAGGCCGTGACGCCTGGAGGCAGGAGGCCTCGCTCATCACCCAGTGAAGGAACCGTGGCCTGAACCAGTGGTTCTCCGCTCAGGCTGTACCTGACAGTCACCCAGAGGGATCTGAAACTGCCTCATACCCCGGCCACCCCATCCAATTACATGTGAATTTCTGGACATGGGACTCTGGCATTGGTGCTTTTTACAGTACCCCAGGGGTTTCCAATTTCAGCCCACACTGAGAACCACTGGCAAAGTCTAAGGAAGTACAGGCAGGAATGTGGGAGGGAAACAAATTTAGACAGTACCATACTTGTGATGGCGCCGCTTAACAATTTATTATTATTATTGTTATTATTTTGAGACAGGGTCTTATTGTGTCACCTGAGCTGGAGTGCAGTGGCACAATCTTGTCTCACTGCAACCTCCGTTTCCCGGGTTCAAGTGATTCTCCTGCCTCCGTCTCGGGAGTAGCTAGGATTTCAGGCGCCCGCCACCACACCCAGCTAATTATTGTATTTTCAATAAAGAAGGGGTTTCACCATGTTGGCCAGGCTGGTCTTGAACTCCTGGCCTCAAGTGATCTGCCTGCCTCAGCCTCCCAAAGTGCTGGGACAGCAGGCATAAGCCACTATGCCTGGCCCACTTAACAATTTTTTGACTTTACGATGGGTTAGCAGGCAGTGTAACCCCATTGTAAGCTGGGAGCATCTATATTGGGAATTTTCGGAAGTACACAGCCCTATAAAACTGCTGGGATATGAGTAAGTAGATTTGAGGAAAGAATTAACCACATCATGCCCCCTTAATTGGGGGGGTTAAGTGTTCTCTCCCGCCTAGCTCTCAAAGGGCCTGGATCAGTGCCTACCACATGCTCATCCCCTGTTCTCCTTGTTCATAACTTGCCTCTCTCCTTCTCTCTCTCTCTTTCTCTTTCTAAAATTGTGGTAAAATATAATTATAAAATTGACCATTTTAGCCACTTTTTTTTTTTTTTGAGATGGAGTCTCACTCTGTTGTCCAGGCTGGAGTGCAGTGGCACAGTCTTGGCTCACTGCAGCCTCCACCTCCCGGGTTCAAGCAATTCTCCTGCCTCAGCCTCCCCAGTAGCTGGGATTACAGGTGCTCGCCATCACACCCAGGTAATTTTTGTAATTTTGGTAGAGACGTGGTTTCACCATGTTGGCCAGGCCGGTCTCAAACTCTCAACCTCAGGTGATCCACCTGCATCAGCGGACTTTTTCTCTTTTTAGGCAGGGTCTCACTCTATCACCCAGGCTGGAGTGCAGTGGTACAATCTCGGCTCACTGCAAAATTCCCCTCCCAGACTCAGGTGAGCCTCCCACCTCAGCCTCCTGAGTACCTGGGACTACAGGTGCACACCATGACACCTGGCTAATTTTCGTATTTTTTTTTGTTTTGTAGTGACAGGGTTTTCCCATGTTGCCCAGGCTGGTCTTGAACTCCTGACCTCAGGTGATCCACCAACTCAGCCTCCCAGAGTGCTGGGATTATAGGCGTGAGCCACCACGCCCAACATTTTAGCCACTTTAAAGTGTACAGTTCAGTGGCATTTAAGGATGTTCACATCGTGGTGCAACCGTCATCACCATCCATCTCCAGAACTATTTCATTTTCTCTGACTGAATCTCTGCACTTATTAAACACTAACTCCCCCATCTTCCTCCCTGCAGCCCCTGCAACTCCCATTCTACTTTCTGTCTCTATGAATTTGATTCTCTAGGGACCTCAGATAAGCAGAATCATACACAATTTGTCCTTTTGTGTTTGTCTTATTTCACTGAACCTAATGTCGTCAAGATGCATCCATGTTGTAGCATGGGCCAGAATTTCCTTCCTTTTTCAGGCTGAATACTATTCCACTATGTGGCTGGACCACATTTTGCCCATTCATCCATCTGTTGATGGACAGTTGGGTTGATTCCACCTTTTGGCTATCGTAAATCACGCTGCTGTGAACATGGGTGTGCAAATCTCTCTTCAAGATTCTGTGGTCAATTCCTTTGATTCTATACCCAGAAGTGGAATTGCTAGATTTCTATACTTTTTCTTTTCTTTTTTTTTTCTTGAGACAGGATATCACTCTGTCACCCAGGCTGGAATGCAGTGGGGCAGACAGGATTCACTGCAGCTTCCACCTCCTGGCTCAAGCGATCCTCCAGCTTCAGCCTTCCAAGTAACTGGGATCACAGGTGCACACCACCATGCCTGGCTAATATATTTTTTTTTAATTTTTGAAGAGACGGGGTCTCACCATGTTGCCCAGGCCAGTTTTGAACTCCTGGAGTTAGGAGATCCTCCCATCTTGGCCTCCCAAAGTTGCTGGGATTACAGGCATGAGCCACCAAGCCCGGCTTTTGTTTAATTTTTGAGAAACCAGCCAGGTGCAGTGGCTCACGCCTGTAATCCCAGGACTTTGGGAGACTGAGGCAGCCAGATCACTTAAGGCCAGGAGTTTGAGACCAGCCTGGCTAACATGCTGAAATCCCATCTCTACTAAAAATACAAAAATTAGCCAGGCATGGTGGCGGGCATCTGTAGTTTCAGCAACTCGGGAGACTGACTCGGGAGGATTGCTTGAACCCGGTAGGCGGAGGTTGCAGTGAGCCGAGGTGGCACGACTGTCTACAGCCTGAGCAACAGAGCGAGACTCTGTCTAACAACAAAATTTTTTTTGAGGAAACTTGCCTGTCTTTCTTGCAGGAATGTGGCTTTATCTATGAATCCCTCCACAGCTGGTCATTGTCATGGCTCTTTCTGGCCTGTTTGCACGTGGATTGGTGAGACCCTGTATGAAATTCAATGGCAACAAGAGGGTCATTCAGTGAACTCTTTTCTAGCACACTTTCACTTGGTGGCAGAGGAGAGCTCCAATTTGTATGGAGAACAGTCCCTCAAAACTGTAGCCAGTACAACTAAAGAAACTCCAGGGCAGGGGTTGCTGGGTGGAGGCGAGAAGTTAAAAAGGAAATACATCTCAGGAGCAGAGGCGCAGGTAGGCCTGGAGCTTGTGTAAGACAGGTGCTGCTGCGGCCTAGGTGAGGAGAAGTTATGCCTGTCCGTACATGACCTACCTGCCCATTAGCAGACCTTCTTTAAGAAAAGAAAAGTATCTGGTCACGCACAGTTGCTCATGCCTGTAATCACAGCACTTTGGGCGGCGAAGACGGGTGGATCACCTGAGGTCAGGAGTATGAGATCAGCCTGACCAACATGGTGAAACCCAGTCTCTACTAAATACAAAAAATTAGCTAGGCATGGTGGTGGGCACTTGTAATCCCAGCTACTTGGGAGGCTGAGGTAGAAGAATCACTTGAACCCGGGAGGCAGAGGTTGCAGTGAGTTGAGATTGTGCCATTGCACTCCAGCCTGGGCAACAAGAGCGAAACTCCATCTCAAAAAAAAAAAAAAAGAGGTTTTTTTATTTTTATGAAATCAGTTTTTGGGCTATATTATTTTAAAAAAAATTAAATAGGATGAGTGTCATTCCCACCAATAAACACAATCAAATGGCTATAGGAGAATAACTGGAATCTGTAGTAAAAATGAGGGACAGAGACAGGCACAGAGGGGCTTATGCCTGTAATCCTAGCACTTTGGGAGGCCGAGGCAGGAGGATTGCTTGAGGCCAGAATTTTGAAATCGGCCTGGTCAACATAGTGAGATGGCAACTATACAAAAGAAAAATTAAAAAATTAACTGGACATGGTGGCATGTGCCTGTAGTCCCAGCTACTGGAGAGGCTGAAGCAGGAGAATCACATGAGCCCAGGGGAAACCTGGGCAAGATGGTGAGATCCCATCTCTAAAAAGAAAAAAAAAAATGAGGGATGACAAAACTCTTGCTTTCAAATACATTTTGTGGTGAATGAAATTGGGTTCCTGAAAGTGTGTGTTGAGCATCTCTGGGCCTGAAATGTGTGGATTCAAAGACCTTTATGAGCCCATCAGGCAAGAGGAGGAACAAAATGAGTACCAAGTAAGTTAGGGCAGATGGACTTCCTGGAACTGGGGTAAGCCTGACACCGCAGAAATGTGTGTGAGTTAAAATTAACGTTGGTAGTAAATGCCAGATTCTGATAGCAAAAAAAAAAAAAAAAAGTTAACTTTGGAATACAAAAGCATTTCAAAAGATTCAGAAGCCCACCCCGAAATATGCTGACAAAAATTAAAATATATGCATATTTAGCAAGGTATGAAATAGTTAAAAGAATAAATCAATAAAATATACATATATAGTAAAAAAAGCTTACAAAAGAGTATAAAATAGCACTTGGTTCAGCAGCATGTATACTAAAATTGGAATGACACAGAGATTAGTATGACCTCTGTAAAAATATGTATTTTTTTCTTTTATAAATTTTTTTAAAATTATACTTTAAGTTCTGGGGTACATGTGCAGAACGTGCAGTTTTGTTTCATAGGTATACATGTGCCATGGTGGTTTCCTGCACCCTTCAACCCAACACCTACATTGGGTATTTTTCCTAATGTTATCACTCCCCTAGCCCCCTACCCCCAGACAAGCCCCGGTGTGTGATGTTCCTCTTTCTGTGTCCATGTGTTCTCATTGTTCAACTCCCACTTATGAGTGAGGACATGCGGTGTTTGGTTTTCTGTCGTTGTGATACTTTGCTGAGAATGATGGTTTCCAGCTTCATCCATGTCCCTGCTAAAGACATGAACTCATCCTTTTTATGGCTGCATAGTATTCCATGGTGTATATGTGCCACATTTTCTTTATCCTGTCTATCATTGATGGGCATTTGGATTGGTTCCAAGTCTTTGCTATTGTGAATAGTGCCTCAGTAAACATAGTGTTCATGTATCTTTATAGTAGAATGATTTATAATCCTTTCAGTATATACCCAGCAGTAGGATTGCTGGGTCAAATGGTATTTATCCTTCTAGATCCTTGAGGAATCACCACACTGTCTCTCACAATGGTTTAACTAATTTACACTCCCACCAACAGCGTAAAAGCATTCTTATTTGTCCACATCCTCTACAGCATCTGTTGTTTCCTGACTTTTTAATGATTGCCATTCTTACTGACATGAGATGGTATCTCATTGTGGGTTTGATTTGCATTTCTCTAATGACCAGTGATGATGAACATTTTTTCATTTGTCTGTTGGCTACATAAATATCTTCTTTTTAGAAGCATCTGTTCATAAACTTTGCCCACTTTTTGATGGGGTTGTTTTATTCTTGTAAATTTAAGTTTTTTGTAGATTCTGGGTATTAGCCCTTTGTCAGATGGATAGATTGCAAAAATTTTCTCCCACTCTGCAGGTTGCCTGTTCACTCTGGTGATAGTTCCTTTTGCTTGCAGAAGCTCTTTAGTTTAATTAGATCCCATTTGTCAAATTTGGCTTTTGTTGACAATGCTTTTGGTGTTTTAGACATGAAGTCTTTGCCCATGACTACGTCCTGAATGGTATTGCCTGGGTTTTCTTTTAGGATTTTTATGGTCCTAGGTCGTACATTTAAGTCAAGATCAATCTTGAGTTGATTTTTGTATAAGGTGTAAGGAAGGGGTCCAGTTTCAGTTTTCTGCATATGGCTACCCAGTTTTCCCAGCACTGTTTATTAAATAGGGAATATTTTCCCCATTGATTGTTTGTGTCTGGTTTGTCAAAGATCAGATGGTTGTAGTTGTGTGGTATTGTTTCTGAGGCCTCTGTTCTGTTCCATTGGTCTATATATCTGTGTTGGTACCAGTACCATGCTGTTTTGGTTACTGTAGCCTTGTAGTATAGTTTGAAGTCAGATAGCGTGATGCCTCCAGCTTTGTTCTTGCCCAGGATTGTCTTGGCTATGCAGGCTCTTTTTTGGTTCCATGTGAAGTTTAAAGTAGTCTTTTCCCAATTCTATGAAGAAAGGCAGTGGTAGCTTGATGGGGATAGCATTGAATCTATAAATTACTTAGGGAAATATGGCCATTTTCACAATATTGATTCTTCCTCTCCATGAGCATGGAATGTTTTTGATTCATTTGTGTCCTCTCTTATTTCCTTGAGCAGTGGTTTGCAGTTCTCCTTGAAGAGGTGCTTTACATCCCTTGTAAGTTGTATTCCTAGGTATTTTATTCTCTTTGTAGCAATTGTGAATGGGAGTTCACTCCTGATTTGGCTTTCTGTTTGTCTGTTGTTGATGTATAGGAATGCTTGTGATTTTTGCACATTGATTTTGTATCCTGAGACTTTGCTGAAGTTGCTTATCAGCTTAAGGAGATTTAGGGCTGAGACAATGGGGTTTTCTAAATATACAGTCATGTCATCTGCAAACAGAGACAATTTGACTTCATCTTTTCCTATTTGAGTACCCTTTATTTCTTTCTCTTGCCTGATTGCCCTGGCGAGAACTTCCAATACTATGTTGAATAGGAGTGGTGAGAGAGGGCATGTCTTGTGCTGGTTTTCAAAGGGAATGCTTCTAGTTTTTGCCCATTCAGTATGGTATTGGCTGTGTGTTTGTCATACATAGCTCTTATTATTTTGAGATACGTTTCATTGATATCTAGTTTATTGAGAGTTTTTAGCATGAAGAGGCGTTGAATTTTGTTGAAGGACTTTTCTGCATCTATTGAGATAATCATGTGGTTTTTGTCATTGCTTCTGTTTATGTGGTAGATTACTTTTATTAATTTGCATATGTTGAACCAGCCTTGCATCCAAGGTATGAAGCCAACTTGATCGTGGTGGATAAGCTTTTTGATGTGCAGCTGGATTCAGTTTCCCAGTATTTTATTGAGGATTTTCGCATCAATGTTCATCAGGGATATTGGCCTGAAATTTTCATTTTTTGTTGTGTCTCTGCCAGGTTTTGGTGTCAGGATGGTGCTGGCCTCATGAAATGAGTTAGGGAGGATTCCCTCTTTTTCTGTTATTTGGCATAGTTTCAGAAGGAATGGTACCAGCTCCTCTTTATACCTCTGGTAGAATTTGGCTGTGAATCCATCTGGTCCTGGACTTTTTTTTTGTTGATAGTTTATTAATTACTGCCTCAATTTCAGAATTTGTTATTGGTTTATTCAGGGATTCAACTTATTCCTAATTTAGACTTGGGAGGGTATGTGTGTCCATGAATTTATCAATTTCTTCTAGATTTTCTAGTTTATTAGTGTTTATAGTATTCTCTGATGGTAGTTTTTATTTCTGTGGGATCAGTGGTGATAACTCCTTTATCATTTTTTATTACATCTATTTGATTCTTCTCTCTTGTCTTCTTTATTATTCTGGCTAGCGGTCTAACTATTTTGTTGATCTTTTCTAAAAACCAGCTCCTGGATTCATTAATTTTTTGAAGGGTTTTTCTAGTCTCTATTTCCTTCAGTTCTGCTCTCTTCTTAGTTATTTCTTGTCTTCTGCTAGATTTTGAATTTATTTGCTGTTGCTTCTCTAGTTCTTGTAATTTTGATGTTAGGGTGTCAATTTTAGATCTTTCCTGCTTTCTCTTGTGGGCATTTAGTGCTATAAATTTCTCTCTACACACTGCTTTAAATGTGTCCCAGAGATTCTGGTATGTTGTGTCTTCATTCTCATTGGTTTCAAAGAACATTTTTATTTTAGCATTAATTTTGTTATTTACCCAGTAGTCATTCAGGAGCAGGTTATTCAGTTTCCATGTAGTTGTGCAATTTTGAGTGAGTTTCTTAATCCTGAGTTCTAATTTGATTACACTGTGGTCTGAGAGACTATTTGTTATGATTTCCATTATTTTGCATTTGCTTAGGAGTGTTTACTTCCAATTATGTGGTGAATTTTAGAATAAGTGCAATGTGGTGCTGAGAAGAATGTATATTCTGTTGATTTGGGGTGGAGAGTTCTGTAGGTGTCTGTTAGGTCTGCTTGGTCCAGAGGTGAGTTAAAGTCCTGAATATCCTTGTTAATTTTCTGTCTCATTGATCTGCCTAATATTAACAGTGGGGTGTTAAAGTCTCCCACTATTATTGTGTGGGAGTCTCAGTCTCTTTGTCGGTCTCTAAGAACTTACTTTATGAATCTGGGTGCTCCTGTATGGGGTACATATATATTTAGGATAGTTAGCACTTCTTGCTGCATTGATCCATTTACCATTATGTAATGGCCTTCTTTGTCTCTTTTGATCTTTGTTGGATTAAAGTCTGTTTGATCAGAGATTAGGATTGCAACTCCTGCTTTTGTTTGCTTTCCATTTGCTTGGTAAATATTCCTCCATCCCTTTATTTTGAGCCTTTGTGTGTCTTTGCACATGAGATGGGTCTCCTGAATACAGCACACTGATGGGTCTATACTCTTGATCCAATTTGCCAGTCTGTGTCTTTTAATTGAGGCATTTAGCCCATTTACATTTAAGGTTAATATTGTTATGTGTTAATTTCATCCTGTCAGAATGATCCTAGCTGGTTGTTTTGCCTGTTTGTTTTTTTTTTTATTGTTTTTTTTTTAAATTATTATTATACTTTAAGTTTTAGGGTACATGTGCACAATGTGCAAGTTAGTTACCTATGTATACATGTGCCATGCTGGTGCACTGCACCCACTGACTCGTCATCTAGCATTAGGTATATCTCCCAATGCTATCCCTCCCCGCTCACCCCACCCACAACAGTCCCCAGAGCCTTTTTGTTGATGGAGTTTCTTCATAGTGTCGATGGTCTTTACAATTTGGTATGTTTTTGCAGTGGCTGGTACCGGTTTTTCTTTCCACGTTTACTGCTTCTTTCAGGAGCTCTTGTAAGGCAGGCCTTGTGGTGACAAAATCTCTCAGCATTTGCTTGTCTGTAAAGGATTTTATTTCTCCTTCACTTATGAAGCTTAGTTTGGCTGGATATGAAATTCTGGGTTAAAAATTCTTTTCTTTAAGAATGTTGAGTATTGGCCCCCACTCTCTTCTGGCTTGTAGGGTTTCTGCAGAGAGATCCACTCTTAGTCTGATGGGCTTCCCTTTGTGGGTAACCCAACCTTTCTCTCTGGCTGCCCTTAATATTTTTTCCTTCATTTCAACCTTGGTAAATCTGATGATTATGTGTCTTGGGGTTGCTCTTCTTGAGGAGTATCTTTATGGTGTTCTCTGTATTTCCTGAATTTGAATGTTGGCCTGTCTTGCTAGGTTGGGGAAGTTCTCCTGGATAATATCCTGAGGAGTGTTTTCCAACTTGGTTCCATTCTCCTCATAACTTTTAGGTACACTAATCAAACATAGATTTGGTTTTTTCACATAGTCCTATGTTTCTTGGAGGCTTTGTTCATTTTTATTCCTTTTTCTCTAGTCTTGTCTTCTCTCTTTATTTCATTAAGTTGATCTTCAATCACTGATATCCTTTTTTCTGCTTGATCGATTTGGCTATTGAAACTTGTGTATGCTTCATGAAGTTCTCGTGTTGTGTTTTTCAGCTCCATCAGGTCATCTATGTTCTTCTCTACACTGGTTATTCTAGCTAGCAATTCATCTTACCGTTTTTCAAGGTTCTTAGCTTCCTTGCATTGGGTTAGCACATGGTCCTTTAGCTCGGAGGAGTTTGTTATTACCCACCTTCTGAAGCCTGCTTCTGTCAATTCATCTAATTCATTCTCCATCCAGTTTTGTTCCCTTGCTGCTGAGGAGCTGTGATCCTTTGGAGGAGAAAAGGCATTCTGGTTGTTGAATTTATCAGCTTTTTGCACTGGTTTCTCCCTATCTTTGTGGATTTATCTACCTTTGGTCTTTGATGTTGGTGACCTTCGGATGGGGTCTTTGAGTGGACCTGCTGTTCCTTTTTGTTTGTTAGTTTTCCTTCTAACAGTCAGACCCCTCTGCAGCCAGTCTGCTGTAGTTTGCTGGATGTCCACTCCCGACCCTATTTGCCTGGCTATCACCAGTGGAGGCTGCAGAACAGTAAAGATTGCTGCCTGATCTTTCCTCTGGAAGATTCGTCCCAGAGGATCACCTGCCAGATGCCAGCCAGAGCTCTTCTGTATGAGGTGTCTGTCAGCCCCTACTGGGAGGTGTCTCCCAGTCAGGATACACAGGGGTCAGGGACCCACTTGAGGAGGCAGTCTGACCCTTAGCAGCACTCAAACGCTGTGCTGGGAGGTCTGCTGCTCTCTTCAGAGCTGTCAGGCAGGGACCTTTAAGTCTGATGAAGCTGTGCTCACTGCCTCCCCTTTCCCCAGGTGCTTTGTCCCAGGGAAATGGGGGTTTATCTGTAAGTCCCGCCTGGGGCTGCTGCCTTTTTTTCAGAGATGCCCTGACCAGAGAAGAGAAATCTGGGTCTGGCCACAGCAGTCTTGGTAAGCTGCAGTGGGTTCCACCCAGTTCTAACTTCCCAGCAGCTTTGTTCACACTGTGAGCGTAAAACCACCTACTGAAGCCTCAGCGATGGCAGATGCCCTGCCCCCTGCCAAGCTCAGATGTCCTGGGTCAATCTCAGACTGCTGCTGTGCTGGCAGCAAGAATTTCAAGCCAGTAGATCTTAGTTTGCTGGGTTCCTCAGGGGGTGGGACCCGCCAACCCAGACCACTTGGCTCCCTGGCTTCAGTACCCCTTTCTAGGGAAGTGAAGGGTTCTGTCTCCCTGACGTTCCAGGGGCCACTGGGGTATGGGAAAAAAGAACTGCAGCTAGTGTCTGCCCAAATGGCCACCCAGTTTTGTGCTTGAAACCCAGGGCCTTGGTGGGGTAGGCAGTGGAGGGAATCTCCTGGTTTGCAGGTTGCAAAGACCATGGGACAAGCTCAGTATCTGTGCTGGAGGTCCTCAGGCTCAGTCCCTCACGGCTTCTCTTGGGTAGGGGAGAAAATTCCCCGACCCCTTGCGCTTCCCAGGTGAGTCGACGCCCCACCCTGCTTCAACTCGCCCTCCATGCACTGCACCCACTGTCCAACTGGTTCCAGTAAGATGAACCAGGTACCTCAGTTGGAAATGCCCACCTTCTGCGTCAATCTTGCTGGGAGCTGCAGACCAGAGCTATTCCTATTTGACCATGTTGCCAGCAATTCTCATCAAAAATATCTTTTTAAGTTTAAAATAAGAAGAGTTTTTTTCTTTGTCAAACTCTCCCTGGTATATCTTTCTAGAAAACACCATTTATGTATGCCAGTTTATTTACATGTACTATTTTTTGTATTTGCATAAAAATATTATACACACTATTCTGTACCACCTTAGAGCTTTTTGTTAATTTGTGGGGTTTTTTGCTTTGTTTTTAACTCAAGAGAGAAAAAAAAAGTAGCAAGAGAAGAACATGAACAATTAAGGCAGGAAAAGGGCAGAGTTCCATGAATTCAAATGCTGTTCATAGGATTCCACTAAACTTTTATTTTAACACAACTTTTTTATCAAAACATCCCTTGAGCAATTAAAAGTGTCAGCACCTACAGCTGGGGCAGAGGATGGCGAAGACAAAGGTCACCAGTAGCTTCAAATTTCTCACAAGCACGTTAGATATGAACACAATGTCAGCAGGCTCAAGCATCTCACCCATCACACGGGATGAGAAAAGAAAAACTACTCATGAACTGTGTTTAAATGGCCTCTTGGCAGCATTCCCACTCTTCTTGTGACTAAAGGAGAGAAGAAATACCATTGAAATACTATCTGACAGGGTGCCTCACACCTGTAATCCCAACACTTTGGGAGGCCAAGGCAGGAGGATTACTTGAGCCCAGGAATTGGAGACCAGCCTGGGCAACATGGCGAAACCCCATCTCTACAAAAAATGTAAGAATCAACCAGGCATGGTGGCTCACACCTGTGGTCCTAGCTACTCAGGAGGCTGAAGTGGGAGAATTGTTTGAGCCCAGGAGGCAGAGGTTGCAGTGAGCCAAGATCATGCCACTGCACTCCAGCCTGGGTGACACAGCCAGCCCCTGTCTTGAAAGAAGAAAGAGAAAAGGAAAAGAGGAAGGAGAGGAGAGGGGAGGGGAGAGGAGAGGGGAGAGGGGAGAGGAGAGGGGAGGGGAGAGGAGAGGAGAGAGGAGGGGAGAGGAGAGGGGAGGGGAGAGGAGAGGGGAGAGGAAGGAGAAGGAGAGGAGAGGGGAGGGGAGAGGAGAGGGGAGGGGAGAGGAGAGGAGAGAGGAGGGGAGAGGAGAGGGGAGGGGAGAGGAGAGGGGAGAGGAGAGGAGAAGGGAGAGGAGAGGGGAGGGGAGAGGAGGGGAAGGGCATCTGTATTGCTAGTGTTTCCAGAAGAACATTGTCGAGCGTGCTCTGACTTTCCGCCTCTTTGGACAGCCATGCGGGGAGAAGCACAGATTCAACATGGCCTTCGTGGGGTTGTTCATGTCTTCCTAGCTTTTCACAGCACCTTTGTGAACGTAAAAGTCCTCTTGCAGTGGGAATGGAAATAGTTATAAAAGAAAATCGTCCAGAAAATGTGCGGTTACAGTTGCCAGGCATTTGCCTAAAGTACGTCTCCAAGTTCTCTATATTGGGACGGCCGCTGCAGGTGAAGGTATTAAATATACTGTATTTGTTTTTCAAGATTCCCCACAACCTTGAATTTCAGGAGAAGAAATTCTGCTCAATCCTTGTCAAAAGTATATCATTCTGTTTTTCTTCCTAGTTTTTTTTTTTTTTTTTTTTTTTTTGAGATGGAGTCTTGCTCTGTTGCCCAGGCTGGAGTGCAGTGGTACGATCTTAGCTCACTGCAACCTTTGTCTCCCGGGTTCAAGCGATTCTCCTGCCTCAGCCTCCCAAGTAGCTGGGATTATAGGCATGTGCCACCACACCTGGCTAATTTTTGTATTTTTAGAAGAGGAGGGATTTTCACCATGTTGGACCAGGCTGGTCTCAAATTTCTGACCTCAGGTGATCTCCCTGCCTTGGCCTCCCAAAATGCTGGGATTACAGGTGTGAGCCACAGCTCCTGTAATCCCAGCCCAGCCTTAGTTTTTATTTTTATTTTTCCCTTGAGACAGGGTCTCACTCTGTTGTCCAGGCCAGAGTGCAGTGGTGAAATCTTGGCTCACTGTACCCTCAAACTTCTGGCCTCAAGCAGTGCTTCCACTCAGCCTCCCAAGTAGCTGGGACCACAGACACATGCCACCATGCCCAGTTAATTTTTTTTATTTTTTGTAGAGAGGGAGACTCACCGTGTTGCCCAGGCTGGTCTCAAACTCCTGGACTCATATGATTCTACCTCCTTGGCCTCCCAAAGTGCTGAAATTACAGGCTTGAGCCACTGCACACAGCCAGTTTTTTTTTTTTAATTATTATTTTCCTTTTGGTTTTTTAAAATAGAAATGGGGCAGGGCACAATGGCTCACGCCTGTAATACTACCACTTTGGGAGGCTGAGGTGGGTGGATTGCTTGAGACCAGGAGTTTGAAACCAGCCTGGCCAACATGGTGAAACCCCGTTTCCACTAAAATACAAAAATTAGCCAGGCATGTTGGTGGCACATGCCTGTAATCCCAGCTACTCAGGAGGCAGGAGAGTCGCTTGAGCCTGGGAGGTGGAAGTCACAGTGAGGCAAGATTGCCGCTGCACTCGAGCCTGGGCAATAGGGCAAGACTCTTTCTCAAAAATAAAATAAAATATAGACAAGGTCTCGCTATATTGCCCAGGCTGGTCTCGAACTCCTGACCTCAAGCATCCTCCTGTCTCAGCCTCCCAAAGTGCTAGGATTATAGGTGTGAGCCACCATGCCCAGCCCTTCCTTTCTTCCCAGTTTCTAGAACCATGCATTCAGGATCACCTTTGCCTACTTGGTTATAAAAGCTAAAATATAAGAAACTCGTACATTTTATTCAACAATCATTTTAGGAAGCACCTACTGGGAAAACAGATCTCTTGGAAATACAGGGATGTGATGTCTGCCTCCGCCCTCAAGGGAAGGCTCACTGCCAGCTGAGCCAAAAGACTTGTCCTGTCCTTGTCCTCAGCAAATGCCACCTCCAAGTTGTTCAAGCCCAAAACCCCGAGGCTACAACCTGGAGAAACCCTGAGGACATTATGTTACGTGGAACAAGCCAGTCACAAAAGGACAAATGGACAAATGACTCCACTTATGTGAGGTCCCAAGAGAAGTCAAATTCCTGGAGACAGGAGTGGTGGCTCCCAGGGACTGGGATGGGGATGAGGAAGACAGAGCTTCAGTTGGCGAAGATGGGAAAGTTCTGGAGAGGGATGTGACACTGGCTGCACAGCAGCATGGATGCACTTACCGCCTCTGCGTTGCACACTTGAACACAGTTGAGCTGGTGAATTTTGTCTTTTCATCCAGCAGTTGCCTCAGCATGAAGTTCCATCAGCTCTACCTTCAAAGCATGCCGAGTCTGTCCTGCAGACTCTGGCCAAGCAATGGATGAAAGGAGCATGCTGACACAGGTATTTTGTCTGACAGCGTGGCGAGGGGACTGCACAGCTCAGCACTGCTGACGAGAGTCCTGTAGCTACGGAGAGAATGCAGCCCCCATAAGCTGGCCTTGCTCGCATTTATTTAGTACAGATTTAATGACAAAGGCTTGGAGCAAACACAATTTGTGGATAATAAATATTGTTGACTCCCCAAGTAGAGAGCAGTCCTGCACACGAATGATCAAAGGTTGGTTTCTGGAGACAGGAGTAAACAAATTTATCTAGATATGTTCCTTTACATTCCCTTGTTATCTACCCTTTGCTCTCAGGCTCCAGATAAGAGAATTTGGCTGCCTTCAGCCAAATTTTCTTTCAAAGCTTTTGCAAAACCTCCCAGCCTTCCAAGAAGGTTTGTGTCTTTCCCTGCAACTTTTTCTTACAACTTTCCCCACCACCCTGACTAACTCCTACATCCCCCCCTTTTCTGTTTTTTGCATCAGGTTTTGTTGATTGGAGAGTACAGATGAGTGCAGCAAACCAGTTTGTCTGGCGTAGCAGTTACTGCTCATATTCTGGCTTTGCATCCTAGAATTAGTAAATAACATAAGACAAACATTAGTATAATCTGTAACATTCTTTTCCAATCAAGGAGTGACCCCCAGGAGTGGGAGTCTATCCAGGAGAGATGTTCTTGCACATCCTGCCATATGGCTGTTTGTTGGGCATGTAGATCTATGGCATTTAGGGATTGTAGAATTTTAGTTTTAAGTTGACTTATGTCTGCTCTGAAATTATCATGTAAGATTCCCCGAGGGGTTGTTTCACCTCATCCCAACTACACATCGATTGATTCCAAGGTGACACAGATGTGCTTATGCTCCCAGTCCCAGTTTCATTGCTGTCGGAATGCCAGTGCATCTTGCCACTCCCCTACGTATTCCGAGGCAGCATCAAGGGTTCGAAGGCATGCGAGAGTCTTTTCATCTATACCCTGCTGTAAGAGAAGTTGATTAGACACATTTTTGGCCAAGTTATCTACAAAGGTAGCTGTTTGTACTGATTCAGTAATAGAGGCCACAGCAACACTAGCAGTTGCCAAGATGACTATGGCTGAGACTATAAAGGCTATAAGTGTGCCTATGAGTCTTTTGGGTCTGACCTGGGACAGGGCACCTTCTAAGGCGGCAAAGGCAGAGAAGCCTTGCCAATTGCGTGTCAAATTCACAGGTAAGAATGCCTCAGATTTACTCCTTAATACCATGACACTAGTAATATTTAAATTAGATATATTGTAATTAGTATTACATGAGACGAACCAAGCCTGTCCCTGCACTCTAGTCAGAAACGTGGAGTTTAGGGGTGTAATGGAAATATTAGTTCCCATAAGGAAACCATATGGATGGGTAGTGCAAATCAGGCACTGATCTGTGTGATCATGAATAACAGTCATGGTATAGGAGCAACTATACTATGGGAGGTACTAAGATGTCCCAGGAGCCATAAAGTGTCTTGGGGTGGCATGGGCTTTACTTGGGGCCTGGGATATCCCATCCCCCAATCAGTGCAAATTATAGAGGAATGGGACGTGGCTATGAAACTGTGATTGATGCTGTGATAGATGTGGACATGAGTATGGTCGCCCCACAAATGGCAGTGGGGGCTCCAGTCTAAGATGTTATAATTGCCTAAATGGAGGCCACAGGCTTGTCCCCCATGACAGACCTCCCAGCCAAAGTGGAATCCATTACTTTGCCAGCTATGTTCTTTAGCACAGGAAGGAAGGTTGGGGAAAGTGGCATTGTTTGCATTGCCTGGTTTGAGGCTACCTGTAACCAAGAACCTTAAGGCATTTCCTTTGCCATGATGTAGCCACAATTGTGATTGTGTAGGTACACAGTAAGGGTTAGAAATTTTATAACTTACACACGGTGGGAGGATAGTGGAGTGATATATAGTGTTACTTGGCACCTTAGTCCAATGTGTGCCATTAATGAGGGATCCCACTGGGGGTAAGTCAGTCCCTCCTTGCCAAGCAGTTACATTATTAGAGGCTGGGAAGGGGTGTCTGCCCAAGTAACAGGGAAGAACTTTTTCAGGTGCTATGATTTGCGGGTGCTAAGGATCTAAGAGATGTGTCCAATAGAGAGTAACAGGTGCAGATTGCAGGCAGAACAATGGCATAAAAAGGATCAATACCCTATGTGAGTTGCAATGTACAACAGAGAGCATAGCAAGGAATAAATTATCTGGAGTGACTGGTGTCTGTGTCCGGAGCAGGATTCACTCAGCCTCCTGAGTTGTCTTCTTTAGCATCCCCCAGGTAATGTCTGGGGCTTGTGTCATCCCAGGAAGCCGCATCGTCCAGTGTTGCGGGTCCTGCAGGGTCATTCCCTTCATTTCTTGTGCCAGGTTGGGTCCTAGCCACGCCATGGTAAGGTTTGATGCCTCATGCTGGAATCCAAAGAGGACCTGAGGGGGTGTGAGCACAAGCATATCCTCTTCCCCACATTAACAAATCATTTGGACCACAGCATACATTACTGTTTACATCTTTCCATAAAACTGCGGGTCTTATGTCTTGAGAGGTTTTAGCAAAGTGCTTTTCTATAGCTGATTGAAATTTATCATTTAAATTTAAGAAATTAAGGGTAAATAAGGCTTGTGCTAGTAGTGTTGCAGGGTTCTGACTCATATTCCCCTTTTTTGTTTTCGAGCCTATTTTTAAGAGTGGAATGGACATGTTCTACTATGGCCTGTCTTTGGGGGTTATATGGGATGCCTGTGAAATGTTGGATGTTCCACATGTGACAAAATTGTTGAAATAGTGAGCTGGCATATGCCAGACCATTATCAGTTTTAATTTTTGTAGGCTGCCTCATAAATGCAGAAGTTAAGGGAAGATGTTTAATAACATATTGGGTGGACTCTCCAGGAAGAGCATGTGTGCTAATTAGGTGAGAATTGGTATCAATGGATACATGTACATATTTAAGTTTTTCAAATTCAGGGACGTGTGTAACATCTGTTTGCCATAACTGATTAGGTTCTAGTCTTCTAGGGTTAATGCCTGTTGAAGGAGGGTGTCACACACATCCATGTGAAGAGACCACCAAACAGGCTTTGTGTGAGCAGTAAAGCTTTTTAATCACCTGGGTGCAGGTGGGCTGAGTCCGAAAAGAGAGTCAGCAAAGGGAGTTAGGGGTGGGGCAGTTTTATAGGATTTGGGTAGGTAGTGGAAAATTACAGTCAAAGGGAGTTGTTCTTTTGCAGGCAGGGGCAGGGGTCACAAGGTGCTCAGTGGGAGAGATTCTGAGCTGGGAGAAGGAGTTTCACCAGGTAATGTCATCAGTTAAGTCAGGAACTGGCCATTTTTACTTCTTTTGTGATTCTTCAGTTGCTTTAGGCTATCTGGATGTATACATACAGGCTTGGGTTCAGAGGCCTGACATTCCTGTCTTCTTATATTAATAAAAAAAAATAATGTTGAAGTGTTGGGGCAGCAAAAATTTTTTGGGGGTGGTATGGAGAGATAATGGGTGATGTTTCTCAGGGCTGTTTCAAGTGGGATTAGGGGCAGCATGGGAACCTAGAGTGGGAGAGATTAAGCTGAAGGAAGATTTTGTGGTAAGAGGTGATATTGTGAGGTTGTTAGAAGGAATATTTGTCATATACAATGACAGGTGATGGCCTGGATATGGCTTTGTATGAATTGACAAACTAAACAGAAGACACAAGGTCCCAGTAAGAGGAGAAAAACAGGTATTGAAGGACTAAGAATTGAGAGGACCAAGGATATCCAATCAGAGTGCCTAAAGGGGTTTAGTGTGATTATTTGCTTGGTTGGCAAGTTTTTGGGCTCTATCCTTGAGTTTTTTTATGTTGTCATATGTCAGTCCAGATTGATAAAAACAACACTCTTCATTTAAAAATATACCGAGTCTCCTTTTTTTTTTTTTTTTTTTAGCAGTGAGTAAGTTGAGGCCTCGGCGATTTTGGAGGAAAGAGAAATGCAAAGACAAGAATTGTTTGTTAAAGAAGGATTAGAAATGGCTAGGAGAGAGTGAGTGAGATTGACAGTGTGGTGGAGATAGCTGGGGAGAGGTAGAGAGTGGTATAAGAACGGGAACGAGAGTAAGAGTGAGTATAAAAGTAAAGAATAGGAATTCATCAGGGTGAAAGTATTGGAGTACACTTTTTGGAGTATTGGTGAAGATTGCCAGTGAAGATCTTCTATCCACTTCAAGAGAGACCTAAGGGTGGTGGTTTGAGGTAAAACCAGGAGCCGCTAAATACCAAGAGCCTGAGAAACTGCTTGGGTGACTTGATTAATAAAGGCCAGTCTGTTATCGGACTGTATAGAGGTGGGAAGTCCAAACTGAGGAATTATGTCTGACAGAAGAGAAGAAATGACCACAGTGGCCTTCTCAGACTCTGTGGGAAAGACCTGTACCCATCCAGTGAAAGTGCCTACCCAGACCAAGAGGTATTTTAGTTTCCTGACTCAGGGCATGTGAGTAAAGTTAATTTGCCAGTCCTGGGCAGGGGCAAATCTCTGAGCTTGATGTGTAGGAAGGGAAGGGGCCTGAACAATCCCTGAGGAGTAGTAGAACAACATATGGAACACTGAGAAGTGATTTTTTGAGGATAGATTTCCATGATGGAAATGAGAGGTTTTAAGAGGTGGGCCAGAGGCTTGTAACCTACATGGAAGAGGTTATGAAATGACAACAGAATAGAATGGGCCTGTGAGGCTGGAAGGAGATATTTTCCTTGGTCCAAGAACCATTTGCCTTGTGTGGAAAGAGATTGATAGGTGGAAGTTTCAGTGGGGGAGTGGGTGGAAGTGACTGATGAGAAGGAGAAAAACTTGCCATGAGGGAAAGAAATTGAAATGCTAGCTGCTTCTTTAGCTACCTTATCAGCATAAGCGTTGCCCTGAGCGATGGGATCTGATGACTTTTGATGGCCCTTGCAGTGAATGACTCCAGCTTCCTTTTGGAAGTAAAGCGGCCTTGAGAAGAGTTTTTATTAAAGAGACATTAATGAGGGAGGACCCTTACGTAGTGAGGAAACCTCTCAGCCCATATAATAGCACGGTGGTGCAGGATATGGAAGGCATATTTAGAATCAGTATGAATATTGACACGTAGTCCTTTTGCAAGAGTGAGGGCCTGAGTTGAGGCAATGAGTTTGGCTTGCTGAGAGGTAGTGGGGTGGGGCAGAGCGGTAGATGTGGAAGATACTATAGCATAGCCTGCCTTTGCTGGTGAGTGGCAATTAGGCCTGGTGGAACTGCCATCAATAAACCAAGTGTGATCAGGGTGAGGAACAGGGAAGAAGGAAATATGGGGAAATGGAGTGAATGTCAGGTGGATCAGAGACATATAGTCACGGGGGTCAGGTGTGGTATCAGGAATAATGTGGGGGGCCAGACTGAAACAGTAAAGTTAAGTTGTTTGGACAGAAAGGCTACAGGCTGCAGTCCTGGTTCTTGTGTAAGAAATGCCACCACACAGTCCTGTACTTCAGCTGTGTTTAATGAAAAAGGGTTGGGATGAGTTAGGGAGAGCTAGTGTGGGAACAGCTTCTAGGGCTGTTTTTAAGGAACAGAAAGGCAAGTGGGGAAAGGATTTAGGATCTATGGGGTCAGCTAGGTTTCCTTTTGTGAGTTTATATAATGGTTTTGTTAGCATGGCAAAGCCAGGTATCCAAAGATGAAAGTATATCTGACCATGCCCAGGAAGGAAAGGAGTTGTTGCTTTGCAGAAGGGGTTGGGTTTGGGAAATTAGCCAGACATGATCAGCATGGAGAGTACGTGTGTTTTTATGAAGAATTATGCTGAGATAGGTAATGGATGTGGAAGAAATTTGCGCTTTGATGGGGGATACGTGATATCCTTTTGAGAACAGATGTTGGAGGAGCAGGAGGGTGTCCTGTTGGGAAGATTTGTAGGAGGGGTTCTAAAGTAGAAGGTTGTCAAAATATTCAATAAGGTGAGAAGCAGATGGACGGAAAGAAAGTAAATCACAAGGAAGTGCTTGACTGAAGTAATGGGGGCTGTCCCTGAAGGCTTGTGGCAGTACAGCCCAGGTAAGTTGCTGAGGCTGATGGGTGTCAGGGTCAGTCCAGGTAAAAGCAAAGAGAGGCTGGGATGAGGGGTGCAGGGGAATAGTGAAGAAAGCATCTTTAAGATCAAGAATGGAATAGTGAGTTGTGGAGGAAGGTAACGAGGACAGGAGAGTATATGGGTTTGGCACCGTGGGGTGGATAGGTAAAACAATTTGGTTGGTAAGGCACAAATCCTGAACTAACCTGTAAGACTTGTCCGGTATTTGGACGGGGAAAATGGGGGAATTGTAAGGAGAGTTTATAGGCTTTAGAAGCCCATGCTGTAGCAGGCGAGTGATAACAGGCTTCAATCCCCTTAGAGCATGTTGAGGGATGAGATACTGGTGTTGAGCAGGGTAAGGGTGATTAGGTTTTAATGGGATAGTAATGGGCATATCATCGGTTGCCACGGAGGGAGTAGAGGTGTCCCATACTTGTGGGTTACGGTGGGGGGATACAAGAGGAAGACGCAAAGGAGGCTTTGGGTTGGGGAGAATGGTGGCAATGAGATGTGGCTGTAGTCCAGGAATAGTCAGGGAAGCAAATAATTTGGTTAATATGTTTCATGCCTAACAAGGGAACTGGGCAGATGGGGATAACTAAAAAGGAGTACATAAAAGAATGTTGTCTAAGTTGGCACCAGAGTGAGGGAGTTTTAAGGGGTTTTGGAGCTTGGCCGTCAATACCCACAACAGTTGTGGGGGCAAAGGAAACAGGCCCTTGAAAGGAAGGTAATGAAAGGTGGGTAGCCCCTGTATCGATTAAACAGGGGATGGACTTACCCTCCCCTGTAAGAGTTACCCGAAGCTTGGCGTCCATGATGGTCCACGGGGCTTCCGAGGCGATCGGCCAGCATCAGTCTTCAGCTGCTAAGCTGAGGAGATCTGGGAAGGAGTCGGCCAAGGAATGTTGGGTTTCAGCCCCAGAAGTTTTAGGAGTGGCGGTGATGTGAGTTGGACAGTCCAACCTCCAGTAGGGGCTCACACAGACAGGGCACAGCTTAGGAGGAATCCTGGGCTGTGGCATCCTGAGGCCCAGTGGCCAGGCTTTTGGCATCTGAAGCAAGGTCCACGAGGAAGTTTTGAAGGAGCCCCGGGAGCTGTGGCTTGGATGTTCTGAAGTTCTTGTATGCTGGAGACGTGGTTGTGGGTTGTCTTACAGGGGTGGCAAGTAGCTGTAACTCAGAGATGCGTTGTCATTTGGCTGCCTCCTCTCTATTATTGAACATCTTGAAGGCGAGGTTGATTAATTCCTGTTGTGGGGTTTGAGGGCTGGATTCCAATTTTTGATGCTTTTTTCTAATGTTAGGAGCTGACTGGGTGATAAAATGCATATGTAGAATGAGACGACCTTCTTACCCTTCAGAGTCTAGGGCTGTAAAGCATCTAAAGGTTGTTGCCAAACAGGCCATGAACTGGCCTGGGTTTTCATATTTGATGAAAAAGAGTCTAAATGCTAACTGATATGGGAGAGGTCAGATAAAGAAAAAGGAACATTAACCTTGACTTATGCCTTTAGCTCCAGCAGGTGGGGGAGGGCTAGTTGTAGAAGAAAACTGTAAGCTGGACCAGGGGTGAGGAGGGGAGGTGATAAAAGGATTATAGGGTGGGGAGCAGAGGCTGAGGAAGAATTGGGACCTGGCTCAGCCTGGTGAGGAGCAGCCTGGGGAGGAGGGGAGAGGTCAGATGGGTCCATAGAAAAGGAGGATTCAAAGGACTCAGAGCTTGGGGTGGAGACTGAAGGAACAGACAGGAGAGAAAGAAGAAAGATTTGGGATGAGTCACATTGGGAGCACAGACTAGGGAGGAACCAATGTGTAAAAGAATGCCCAGACGTCAGGCACTTCAGACCCATTTGCCCATTTTTTTAGACAAAAACTATCCAGGTCTTGCAAAGTGGAGAAATCAAAAGTGCTCTTTTCTGGCTATTTAGAACCATTATTGAGTTTGTATTGGGGCCAAGCAGTGTTGCAGAAGAAAATAAGATGCTTAGGTTTTAGATCAGGTGAGAGTTGAAGAGGTTTTAAGTTTATGAGAACACAGGCTAAGGGAGAAGAACAGGGAATGGAGGGTGGAAGGTTGCCTATAGTGAAGGAGGCAAGCCCAGAGAAAAGAAAGGGTGGAGACACAGAGAAGGGGGATGGTGAGCAGCCCTGGGCTGCAATGTGGGTGAGCAGCCAAAGCAGGTGTCCCCACAATTGAGTTGCCACCAAGGGAATGTGGGTGAATGACCAAGACAGGCATCCCCACGATGATCAGACACCAATGGAATGTGGGTGAATAATCAGGCAGGCATCCCCGCATTGATTAAACACCAAGGGAAGACTGTCTTCCTGAATCCATGACTGGCACTGGAGTTTTTGATCCACAGATAAAATGTGTCTCCTTTGGGAGGCTGAGGTGGGTGGATCACGAGGTCAGGAGATCGAGACCATCCTGGCTAATATGGTGAAACCCCGTCTCTACTAAAAAATACAAAAAATTAGCCGGGCGCGGTGGCGGGCACCTATAGTCCCAGCTACTCAGGAGGCTGAGGCAGGAGAATGGTGTGAATCCAGGAGGCGGAGCTTGCAATGAGCCAAGATCGCGCCACTGCACTCCAGCCTGGGCGACAGAGGGACACTCTGTCTCAAAAAAAAAAAAAAAAAAAAAAAAGTGTCTCCCTTGTCTCTACTAGAGAGGAAAAAGAACTGGAATTGGAAGGACAAGGAGATTGAAGGGTAGTGAGAGAGGAAGAGTGAAGGGTAGTGAGAGACGCTGGAAAAGAGTGAAAAGACTGCTTACCCGATTTGAAGTTGGTGAGATATTCCTTGGGCTGGTTGGTCTGAGGACCCGAGGTCGTAGGTGGATCTCCTCATGGAGTGAGGGCGAGGACAGGTGACCAGTCTTCCAAAGGAGTCCTCTTGTCCCGGGTCTTCGGCACCAAATGTCATGCGTGTCCATATGAAGAGACCACCAAACAGGCTTTGTGTGAGCAATAAAGCTTTTTAATCACCTGGGTGCAGGCGAGCTGAGTCCGAAAACAGTCAGCAAGGAAGATAGGGGTGGGGCAGTTTTATAGGATTTGGGTAGGTAGTGGAAAATTACAGTCAAAGGGAGTTGTTCTCTTGCAGGCAGGGGCGGGGGTCAGAAGGTGCTCAGTGGGAGAGCTTCTGAGCCGGGAGAAGGAGTTTCACCAGGTAATGTCATCAGTTAAATCAGGAACGGGCCATTTTTACCTTTGTGATTCTTCAGTTGCTTCAGGCTATCTGGATGTATACCTGCAGGCTTGGGCTCAGAGGCCTGACAGAGGGGATGTGCCTGTGAGCTGGCAATCTGGGCATTGCAGGATAATTTGTTTAGCTCCTCTTTGGGTAAGATGAAATTGTTTAGACAAATTCCTCCAATTTTGGTGGAAAAATTGATGTGACGGGGTGATTTGGTCAATTAGTGACGTCATAACCGGCAGGTCTGCTTGATCATTGCCGTAAGCCAGGGGGCCAGGCAGTGAGCTGTGGGCTCGAATATGTGTGATAAAAATAGGATGTGTATGTTGATCTAGCAATTGCTGAAGTCAAAGAAAAAGTGCACACAGGGTGGGCCCGAGAGTGGACTTAATGAGGGCTGTCTCAAAGTTCTGCGATAAATAAACAGAGTGAGCAGAGTCACTAACAATATTGATGGGCTGAGTGGAAAAGGTCTCCACGGCCAATATTAAGGCTCCAACCTCAGCTCTCTGAGTGCTAGTAAGTCCAGAACGAGTGAGGGAATTATGCAGTCTCCACCATTTTCCATTTTTCCCAGAGCCGTCAGTAAAAAGCATTAAAGCGTTAGGTATGGGGGAGTGAACTACTTTTGTAGGCACAAGTTCAGGAGTATGAGATAAGAACTGAATTAGTTTGTCAGCAGGAAGGACATGCTCTGTATGGCCTGTATAATCAGAGTGCTATCTGAAGATCTAGAGATAGGGGCAGTAGTGCTTCAAGTTGCGTTTTACTCAAAGAAATTCTTGTGACATCAGGGTCATAACCTAGCAACTAATTGCATTGTCTACAGCCTGTATAGAGGACTTCACTAACCAGCTGGATATAGGGAGATAGTGTTTTAGTTCCTGTATGTGAGCAAAAAACCCATTCTAGAAAGTGCAGCCCTGGGGCCATCTGTCCTGGTAATCCTGTTGGGGAATGTTTAGTAGGAAAAACAAACAATTGAACTGAATATCGTGGATCTATGTGATCTAGTTGCCTCTGAGAAATAGTTAGCTCTATTTCCTCAATTTCCCTTTTTGCTGCAGGAGTTAAATACCTGGGAGAGTTTAGGAGTGTATTGCCCTTTAGGATAGAAAACGGGTTTTGTAACTTATTAGTAGTTATGCCCAAGGTGGGGCAAAGCCAATTAATATCACCCAGTAATTTTTGATAGTCTTTAAACATACGTAAGTTGCTTGTATTTAATACAACCTTTTGAGGTCTTATTGACTGGGAAGTTAATATGTATCCAAGATATTTCCAAGGAGAAGACAATTGTACTTTTTCAGGTGCTATGATGATTAAACCTCTTAACTGTGTATTCTTTATGACAGACGCATATAAACTTAAAAGCACTGGCTCCGTTGGGGCTGCTAGTAAAATATCATCGACAAAATGAATAATCTTGCAATTAGGAAATTCTTTTCTACTGGGAAACAAAGCCTGATTTACATGATACTGACGCATGGTAGGACTGTTCAGCATTCCTTGAGGAAGTACTTTCCAATGAAATAGGCAAGCTGGCCTTTCATTATTGATGGCTGGTATTGTAAATGCAAATTGTTCTCTGTCCTGTTCTACTAGGGGAATAGTATAAAAGCCGTCTTTTAAGTCAATAATGACTATAGGCCAATCTTGAGGAATCGTTGCGGGGGAAGGGAGGCCCTGTTGAAGGGACTCCATAGGTTGCAAACAAGCACTGATAGCCCATAAGTCATACAAAAGTCTCCACTTGCCAGACTTTTTGGGATTGACAAAAATGGGTGACTTCCAAGGGCTGTTTGATGGTTCTGTATGGCCGGCTTTTAATTGCTCCTGAACTAATTCATGGGCTCGTTGTAATTTCTCTCCCTTTAAAGGCTACTATTCTACCCAAATAGGATTTTGAGAAATCCACCTCAGGGGTAGGGGAGGAATAGCAGTGGCCATGATTAGAAAGCGGTCTGCAGAGTGACCTCAATTAACCCTTTTGTAAATGGGCTAGTGGCTCCGTTTTCTCTAATGCTTTTTCTTATCTCTTTATAAGTGTTGGAAATAATGGGGTCATATACCCGATGGCCTTCTCGATCTCGCATTACCGGGCAGGCTAAGAGCTCCCCTTCTAATGCCGCTTGCCTAAGACAGGGTCCCATAGCTGTAGCATATCCCTTGTCTTTTTTCCAATTTATTGGGGGAGGGGGCTTAGGCAAAACCTCTGTTTCCTTTGGTATTTTTGCCTGGTAATGGCTGGGCTGAGGGAGAAGGAGGAGGCGGTAAGGTAGGTGACAGTTCCTCCTCCCTTCCCTTTTTAGGCTCTTCTGTGTAGAGGGGGGCAAAAGCAGCCCTAACTAAGGCCCATAAATTAGAGATGCTACTGGGACCCATTGCCCTTGTGCATGATGTTGTTTAAGATTTCTCCCCACTTGTTCCCAGAGCTCTACGTCTAGTGTCCCTTCTTCCGGGAACCATGGGTTATGGGAAACAACAGTTTGCATTAGGTCCCTTAATTGAGCCTGCAAAACCACTAGCTTTAAATAGCTGTTTCAATACGTTTATATATTGTTTCTGTTGAGGTGATAACTGTTGTCCCACAATGAAACTCCAGCCTGAACAATTCCCTTGAACTTGGAAATCCCGAATGAGCACCAATGACTTACTGACTGTGCAGTCTCTTCACCTTTGTTTTTGAGGGTTCTGTCACGATCTGTTGCAGTGTGCATCACATGGGGCACCACCTGCTGAGTCTGTCCCACAGACTCCAGCCAAGTCACAAATGAAAGGAGTACACTGACACAGATATTTTGCCTGACAGCTCAGCTAGGGTACCGCGTGGCTCAGCACCACCAACGAGAGTACCGCAGTCGCCAAGAGAATGCGGCTCCCATAAGCCGGCCCCACTTGCATTTATTTAGTACCGATTTAATGACAAGGGCTTGGAGCAGACACAATTGGTGAGTAATAAACATTGTTGACCCCCCGAGTAGAGAGCAGTCCTGTGTGCAAATGATCATAGGTTGGTTTCTGGAGATAGAGTAACCAAATTTATCTAGATATGTTCCTTTACATTCCCTTGTTATCTACCCTTTGCTCTCAGGCTCCAGATAAGAGAATTTGGCTGCCTTCAGCCAAAATGTTTTTCGAAGCTTTTCAAAACTTCCCAGCCTTCCAAGAAGGTTTGTGTCTTTCCCTGTAACTTTTGCTTACAACTTTTCCCACCATCCTGACCGAACTCCCTACAAAAGCAGCTCCCAGGTATGACCTCTCCCCAACTTCTCCTTGTCGTCCTAGGCTGGCCACAGGGCCCTTGCCTGGCCCCTGCCCTGGCCTCCTTGTGGGGCTCACTGCTCAACACCCGTAAGAGCAGAATGACCTCCCTTTCCAGCACTCCAGCTGCGAGGGCCTCTCCCTTGTCCCCTGAGTGCCCTGAGCACATTCTTGCTCCAGCCCGTGCTGCTCCCCCATGCCTGGGACCCTCTCCCCAAATCTGCCCTGGCCCTCGCCTCACTTCGTCCACAGCTCACTCCAGCGCCTCTCCGAGTGCCTTTTCCCGGCTGCTTCCTCTGAAGTGAAGCATTACTCCCTCCTGCGCCACCTCCCCTTCCCTTCCCGACACTCTGCTGCACTTTTCTTCAAACCCGACATTCTGTTTTATGTTGATTTGTTCCAGCCATATGTTCTTAGCCTTCAGATGAGCTTCAGGAGAGAGCTCACAGCGGCATTGCTAGCATTTAAAGAGTGCCTGCCACCTAATAGGCACATCCAGTATAGAAGAGCTGTTTGAATAAATGAATGAATGAATGAATGAATGTGAATAAAACAGCCAGACAGACTTCGTAGATTTCCACACAATTGGCCTTTCCTATCTCCATAGGTTATTATGAATAATATCAAAGGGTGTACACCCACTGTGATATAAGGAGTAATATCTCCTTAGGATATTACAAATACTATCACAGGGTGTACACCCACTGTTATATTAGGAGTAACATATTTCTTTGATATTACAAATAATATCACAGGGGAACACCCACTGTGATATTAGGAGTAATATCTCCCTTAGATACTTTGAATTATATCACAGGGTATACAATCCTTGTGATATAATTAAATATTACGAATAAGCCGGGCGCGGTGGCTCATGCCTGTAATCCCAAAACTTTGGGAGGCCAAGGCCGGCAGATCATGAGGTCAGGAGATCAAGACCATCCTGGCTAACACGGTGAAACCCTGTCTCTACTAAAAATACAAAAAAAAAAAAAAAATTAGCCTGGCGTGGTGGCGGACACCTGTATTCCCAGCTACCGGGAGACTGAGGCAGGAGAATGGCATGAACCCGGGGGGCGGAGCTTGCAGTGAACCAAGATCGCGCCACTGCGCTCCAGCCTGGGCGACAGAGTGAGACTCCATCTCAAAAAAAAAAAAATTATGAATAATATCACAGGGTGTACACCCACTGTGATATTAGGAGTAATATCTCCTGTAAATATTTCGAATAATATCACAGTGTGTACAGCTACTGTGGTATTAGGGGTAATATCCTCCTTAGATATTATGAATAATATAATAGGG